>NC_000008.11:12890405-13193435 GCF_000001405.40 Homo sapiens | reverse complement strand
TTCCTACTAAGTCCTACTTTAGAAATAACATTTTTAAGACTTTTTTGGTCTTATCATACATAGCCCTAAATGGGTCTCTTCTCCCCTAACTCAAAAAGCGACACTCAATTTTTTTCTAACATTTGATAATAAGATGTTGTCCCTGATAGGCTTCAAAACACTGACCTGATAAGGAAGAAAAGTTATGGTCTTTTGAAAAGTCAAACTAACACAACAGGATAATAATATAAGAGCTGTGGCAAGGAAATTCCTATTTGTTTCCCAAATGAGTGACAGTCAATAGGTGTCAGTGTGTTCTAAGATTGAGAGGTCTCTCCATAAGGAAGACTTAAAGAAGAAAAGTCCTGAGTTGGATTGGATAGGAACAGAGAGGAGGGGGATGGTTTGGGACAAGGGAACAGACATGAAAGAATAAAGTCCTTAGGCAGAGGAAGATTCATCAAGAGGGTCACTGTATTAGTTTGCTTGGGCTGCCATATTAAACGCCACAAACTGGGTGGCTCAAACAACTGAAATTTATTTCCTCATAGTCCTGGAGGCTAGAAGTCCAAGATCAAGGCGCCAGCAGTGTCGGATTCCTCCGAGGCCTCTCTCCTTTGCTTGCCGACGACCACCTTCTCTCTGCTTTGCCCTCAGAGGGTCATCCCTTTGTGCACCGTTGGTGTCTCTTCCTCTTCTTATGAGACCAGTCCTATTGGATCAGGATCCTGCCCTAACAGCATCATTTTAACCCACTCACCTCTTTAAAGACCTTATCTCCAAAGTCAATCACATTCTGACTACTGGGAGTTGAGACTTCAAAATATGAACTTTGAGTGCTACAATTCTGTCCAAAACATTAATGAAAATTACAGACTAGAGACCCTGACTTAGATGGGTTGCTGTGAGTGTGAGGATTTGCAGTGCTGGGGGAGAGGAGAAGCTGTGTTAGAAACAGGAAACATTTCTATGTACGCATGTGTGGGAAATTGCCAAAAGAGATACCACACAAAAAAGACTTGAATCTTCAAAACTCTGGTAACTTCCTGTGATTTCTTTTCTCGTTCTAAGTCAATATTCACTTTCATCATGAATTTTGTATTACTAATTTTGTCATCTCATTTTTAAAAAGGGCATCACCCAAAATTGCACAGCATTGAGTTTCACAAACTCGGCTCCTTCCTGACATACAAGAATAATCAGGCTGGCTGGGCACAGTGGCTCACACCTGTAATCCCAGCACTTTAGGAGGCCGAGGCCGGCAGATCACCTGAGGTCAGGAGTTCGAGACCAGCCTGGCCAACATGGTAAAACCCTGTCTCTACTAAAAAAAAATACAAAAATTAGCCGGGCACGGTGGCATGTGCCTGTAATCCCAGCTAGTCTACTTGGGAGGCTGAGGCAGGAGAACCTCTGGAACCCGGGAGGCAGAGGCTGCAGTGAGCCGAGATCACACCACTGTACTCCAGCCTGGGCAACAGAGCAAGACTCCATAAAAATAATAATAATAATAATAATAATAATAATAATCAGGCCACTCCCCTTAAAGCAGAGTTTTAATAGAAAAGGAGACGAGAGAGGTCAGAGTCATAGGCACTGTAGGCAGAAAGGACTACAGAGTTAGTACTGCCCAATCTATTATTTCACAGATGAAGAAACTGAGATCCAGAAAGGAGAATGTTGTGGCCACAGTCACACACAGCCTGGACACCAGGAAAAACAGAATCCTAGGTTTTGACCCTCAGTCCTGTGGTTTGTCCCATAGATTTAGGCTTTATAAAATTAAGGAGCACAGAAATTGATTTAACATTGTGATTCATCATCTGGGCTTATATGGGGAAGCCTCCCATGATCAAATTCTCGGGGCATCTTAAATACTGTCTTCAGTGCACGCCACCAGGCACATACTTTACTTTCTCCTCCTTACTGTTCTGGTCGTTAAGGGTTTGTTGTTGTTGTTGTTTTTGAGACAGAGTTTTGCTCTGTGCAGTAGCACAATCTCAGCTCATTGCAACCTCAGCCTCCCAGGTCAAGTGATTCTTCTGCCTCAGCCTCCCAAGTAGCTAGGATTACAGGCCCAGGCCACCACGCCTGGTTGATTTTTGTGTTTTTAGTAGAGACGGAGTTTCACCATGTTGGCCAGGCTGGTCTTGAACTGCTGACCTCAGGTGATCCACCCGCCTCCACCTCCCAAAGTGCTGGGATTACAGGCATGAGCCACTGTGCCTGGCCAATAAGGGTTTAATAGCAATGTAAGCAAACCCCCAATTTATCTTTGGCTTCCTATAAATCATGTGGCTACGAAGAGGCCTCAGGAACTCCACTTTCTTTGCTATTACCAGTCATTTGTAATTTCCTTTCTCACCTTTCTTTTGAATTTTCTTGTGGAGCTGATGGAAACCCATTTCTACTTTTCTACCTCGTTATCTATCTCACCCCCAATATAATCCCCCAGCACTCCCCCAAACACATACTACAGTGTGGAGCAAGCTTATCATTTAATCCCTCTTCCAGATTTTTCCTCAGGCCAATGAATGTTTAGGGGAACATTTTGGTGAAGAAAGGGTGGAAACGGAGTTAGTGGCCCAAGGATACTCCTTCAACTTCCCCCCACACTTGGCGACTTCATCTTCATCTCTAGGTGAGGTCAGCATCACTCTAACCCTGCTTGGTTCTTGTCCCCTGTGCCACCCTTCCACTCACCTCTCGGGCCCACGCCTCTCCCTCCACTCCACCAGTAATCTGAAACCTTCTTCTGATCCCACAGCCCACAGCTTCTGATCTGCTAAATCCTGGTACTTCTCTAAACATAACTGCATCTTAAGTTAGTTTTTGTGTACCTGCAAATTCATTATTTGCTACCTATTTATGACTTTTGCCTTTCTCAAAGGCATTCAAAAGACACTTGACCTGTCAGTATAATTCATTGTTTCAGCAATCACTAAAACCCTTCATAAACCCTATAAGGGGAATGTAATTCCAAGGTCCAGAAAGAGAGAGAGAGAATACTGTCTGCAGACAGATTTTATTATGTGGCATTGACACCAGAGAAGAGAGGAAAACCTCACCAGCCATGGGTGGTGACAGTGGAAAGGGAAACAGGGACCACAATCCCTGGCTCTCACCAGCAAGCTCACACCAGAGGCACCCCATAGATATCTCCAAAGCCTGCAATGGCCAAGAGGGTAGCCACAGCCACTCGTGGCCACCAAGCACTGGAAATGTGGCCAGTACCACCTTGGATAAAGTGTAAAATACACACCAGATGTCAAGCACTCACCTTGACATAAACAATGTAAAATACTTTGTTAGTCTTTACATCGTTTACCTGCCAAAATGATATTTGGAATACATTGAGTAAAATAAAAAATTGCATTAGAGTTAGTTTCATCTGTTTCTTTTGATGTTTTTTGCAGCGGCTACTGGAAAATTTTAAATTACAATGATGGCTTCATCATATGTCTTTTGGATCCTTCTAAACCTCTGTCCATGCGCTGGGCTCTCTCTCACCTGGCTGAAGGCTCTGGCTTTGTGGGAAGCCAGGGCCAAGAGTGCAGCTTCTTTTTTTTTTTCTGGGATGGAGTTTCGCTCTTGTTGCCCAAGCTGGAGTGCAATGGCGCGATCTTGGCTCACCGCAACCTCTGCCTCCCGGTTTCAAGCGATTCTCCTGCCTCAGCCTCCCGAGTAGCTGGGACTACAGGCATGTACCACCACACTTGGCTAATTTTGTATTTTTAGTAGAGATGAGGTTTCTCCATGTTTGCCAGGATGGTCTCAAACTCCTAACCTCAGGTGACCCACCTGCCTCAGCCTTCCAAAGTGCTGGGATTACAGGCATGAGACACAGCGCCCTGCCAGAGTGCCTTCTTTTCTCTCCGTGCTAATCACATGCCTAATTGGATCTGAATACATTTTTACTTGATTACAGTTGCATTTAGCGGTTAGGGCCTGAGTATTGTCACTACACTACCTTGAATTCCATAGGCTTTTTCTTTTTGTTTGCTTGGGTGGAGTGCAATGGCATGATCAGAGCTTACTGCAGCCTTGAACTCTCAGCCTTAAGTGATCCTCCTGCCTCAGCCTTCCAAAGTGCTGGGATTACAGGTGTGAGCCACAGCACCCAGCACGCAATTTATTTCTTGGCTGGAGTTCCACTTGTATTGGTGCAAAGAGGAGAATATTTAGAGTTTAAAACAAATGGTTCATAAACAAACAAACGAAATGAATCTGTATATAACCTTAACAGGAAGAGGCTATTTTAGCCTCTATTGTTGAATGACCTTACATAAAAGCTTTCCGCAGAGAGAGTTGAAATACTTACAATTATTTTATCATGAAAAACTATGTCTTTTAATGCCACTGAAGTAACTTTGTTGAGTCTAAATCTAACACATACTAAAGACTTTTGATTGTTTGAGAAAAGGCTTGGTCCATAGGGATTTTTATTTGTTTAAAAATATTTAATAAAGGCCGGGTGTGATAGCTCATGCCTGTAATACCAGCACTTTGGGAGGCCGAGGCGGGCGGATAACGAGGTCAGGAGTTCAAGACCAGCCTGGCCAACATGATGAAACTTCATCTCCACTAAAAAAAAAAAAAAAAAAAAAAAAAAATATATATATATATATACATATATATATATATATATATATATACACACACACACACACACACACACATTAGCTGGGCATGGTGGCACATGCCTGTAATCCCAGCTACTTGGGAGGCTCAGGCAAGAGAATTGTTTGAACTGAAACCCAGTTGGACGAAGTTGCAGTGAGCCAAGATCACACCACTGCACTTCAGCCTGGGCTACAGAGCAAGACTCTGTCTCAAAAAAAAAAAAAAAAAAAGTAATAGACATTGTATAGAAATATAGAATATATGAAAAATAATAAACTTCCTTGTACTCACCATCCAGCCTAAGAAATCTAACATCTCCAATACTATAGAAAGTCCCTCTCAACTCCCAAAAGTAACTGCTAATCTAAATTTCATGTTTATCATTACTTTTCTTTTTTTTTTTTTTTTTTTTTTGAGACGGAGTCTTGCTCTGTCACCCAGGCTGGAGTGCAGTGGCACAATCATTACTTTTCTTTTAGTTAGAAATTTACTAACTAAATGTCTACCAAAGTAGACATCTTAAAAGCTGGCTGAGACCAGCCTGGCCAATGTGGTGAAACCCCTTCTCTACTAACAATACAAAAATTAGCTGGGCATGGTGGCCGGCACCTGTAACCCCAGCTACTCTGGAGGCTGAGGCAGGAATCACTTGAACACAGGAGACAGAGGTTGCAGTGAGCTGAGATTGCACCATTGCACTCCAGCCTGCGCAACAAGAGCAAGACTCTGTCTCAAAAAAAAAAAAAAAAAAAATTGCCACTGTTGTATGGACCTGCTTAAAATAAATATCCTGGATTCTGTATAGCAACCTAAACTCCCAAAGCAACTATTCTATTTTTACAAGTACTTTTCCATTAAAAAGAAGGAGGAAAAGAGAAGGAGAGCAAGAGAAAAAAAAATTACCTTATATGTCTGTCTTCTTATATAAGAAAGTGACACCATACAAAGAAACAACTATTCAGGCTGGTGCTAGAGGGTTGGGGAGCCGAGGAATCCCTGGGGAGCAGTCACAGGGAATTCCATCCAAAAGTCCAACATGCAGTGAATATCCCACAAATGTTAGTGGTGCCTCTGCAGAGGTAGCAATGTTGAACGCCTCGAGTATTCCCGGATGATTTTGATTAATTTCCTCATTCCTTTTCTCCTGAGTCCAGATATCCCCAGCATAGATTGCTTCCCACATAGTATCTCCAATTTTAAGTAATATATAGTCTAATATCTGTTTCTTTATTGGCTAAGTGTCTTTCTCTGCGTCTCCTCTATATCATCAATAGTCCTCTGTCATCTTTCTGCACATCTTGGGATGCCGTCCTCAAAGAATCACAGAGTATGTTTTCCTTTAACACAATTTATGACCACCTAGCATTTTCAAGATACCATACTAAAATCTGAAGATCAGAAAAATTAACATGACACAATCTCTGCCCCAATGGGACCTATAGTCTAGTGAAAAAATTAGGGAGGTTAAAGATCCTTCATTCAACAAATATCTATTGAGCACCTATTATATGCCGATTATTTTCTTATGCTCCAGGGACACATCAGTGACTAAAGCAGATCAAATGTCTGCTATCATAGACCTTACATTCTACAGGTGAGAGGCAAACAACAGAGAAAAAATAAATTATACATTCTGTATAGATTCTTACATTGGAAGGTAATAAGTGCTATGGAAAAAAAAGTAAAGCAGGGAAGAGGTGGGGAGGAGAAGGGGAATGTGAGTGACGTTTGAAATACGGCCACCTGATCCACAGACACCTCACATAGGTGGCTGCCCCTCTGGCACGAAGCTTCCAGAGGAAGGATCAGGAAGCAATATTTGCTGTTCTGAAATATTTGCTCTTCTGTAGCCTCCGCTGGTGATACCCAGGCAAACAGGGTCTAGAGTGGAACTCCAGCAAACTCCAACAGACCTGCAGCTGAGGGACCTGACTATTAGAAGGAAAACTAACAAACAGAAAGGAATAGCATCAACATCAACAAAAAGTTCATCTACATCAAAACCCCATCTGTACGTCACCAACATCAAAGTCCAAAGGTAGATAAAACCACAAAGGTGGGAAGAAACCAGAGCAGAAAAGCTGAAAATTCTAAAACTCAGAGTGCCTCTTCTCCTCCAAAGGACTGCAGCTCCTTGCCAGCAACGGAACAAAGCTGGATGGAGAATGACTTTGATGAGTTGACAGAAGTAGGCTTCAGAAGGTCAGTAATAACAAATTTCTCCGAGCTAAAGGAGGATGTTCAAACCCATTGCAAGGAAACTAAAATCCTTGAAAAAAGATTAGACGAATGGCTACCTAGAATAAACAGTGTAGAGAAGACCTTAAATGACCTGATGGAGCTGAAAACCATGGCATGAGAACTTCATGACACATGCACAAGCTTCAATAGTGGATTCGATCAAGTGGAAGAAAGGGTATCAGTGATTGAAGATCAAATTAATGAAATAAAGTGAGAAGAGAAGGTGAAAGTAAAAAGAGTAAAAATAAATGAACAAAGCCTCCAAGAAATATGAGACTATGTGAAAAGACCAAATCTGCGTTTGATTGGTGTACCCGAAAGTGATGGGCAGAATGGAACCAAATTGGAAAACACTCTTCAGGATATTATCCAGGAGAACTTCCCCAACCTAGCAAGGCAGGCCAACATTCAATTTCAGGAAATACAGAGAACACCACAAAGATACTTCTCGAGAAGACCAACCCCAAGACACATAATTGTCAGATTCACCAAGGTTGAAATGCAGAAAAAAGCGTTACGGGCAGCCAGAGAGAAAGGTCGGGTTGCCCACAAAGGGAAGCCCATCAGACTAACAGTGGATCTCTTGGCAGAAACCCTACAAGCCAGAAGAGAGTGGGGGTCAATATTCAACATTCTTAAAGAAAAGAATTTTCAACCCAGAATTTCATATCCAGCCAAACTAAGCTTCATACATGAAGGAGAAATAAAATCCTTTACAGACAAGCAAATGCTGAGAGATTTTTGTCACCACCAGGCCTGCCTTACAAGAGCTCCTGAAGGAAGCACTAAACATGGAAAGGATCAACCAGTACCAACCACTGCAAAAACATGCCAAATTGTAAAGACCATCAATGTTAGGCAGAAACTACATTAATTAATGGGCAAAATAACCAATGAACATCATAATGACAGGATCAAGTTCACACATAACAATATTAACCTTAAATGTAAATGGGCTAAATGCCCCAATTAAAAGACACAGACTGGGCCGGGCGCCATGGCTCACACCTGTAACCCCAGCACTTTGGGAGGCCAAGGCGAGCAGATCACAAGGTCAGGAGGTCGAGATCATCCTGGCTAACACAGTGAAATCCTGTCTCTACTAAAAATACAAAAAATTAGCCGGGCGTGGTGGCGGGCGCCTGTAGTCCCAGCTAGTCGGGAGGCTGAGGCAGGAGAATGGCATGAACCCAGGAGATGGAGCTTTCAGTGAGCCAAGATGGCACCACTGCACTCCAGCCTGGGCTACAGAGTGAGACTCCATCTCAAAAACAAACAAACAAACAAACAAACAAACAAACAAAAAAAACAGAAAAGACACAGACTGGCAAATTGGATAAAGAGTCAAGACCCATCAGTGTACTATATTCAGGAGACCCATCTCGCATGCAAAGACACATATAGGCTCAAAATAAAGGGATGGAGGAAGATCTACCAAGCAACAGAAAGCAAAAAAAAAAAAAAAAAAAAGCAGGGGTTGCAATCCTAGTCTCTGATAAAACAGACTTTAAACCAATAAAGATCAAAAGAGACAAGGCCATTACACAATGGTAAAGGGATCAATTCAACAAGAAGAGCTAACTATCCTAAATATATATGCACCCAATACAGGAGCACCCAGATTCATAAAGCAAGTCCTTACAGACCTACAAAGAGCATTAGACTCTCACACAAAAACAATGAGAGACTTTAACACCCCTCTGTCAATATTAAACAAATCAGTGAGTCAGAAGGTTAATAAGGATATCCAGGACTTGAACTCAGCTCTGCAACAAGCAGACCTAATAGACATCTACAGAACTCTCCACCCCAAATCAAGAGAATATACATTCTTCTCAGCATCACATCACACTTATTCTAAAATTGACCACATAAATGGAAGTAAAGCACTCCTCAGCAAATGTAAAGAACAGAAATCACAACAAACTGTCTCTCAGACCACAGTACAGTCAAATTAGAACTCAGGATTACAAAACTAACTCAAAACCACACAACTACATGGAAACTGAACAACTTGCTCCTGAATGACTACTGGGTAAATAATGAAATGAAGGCAGAAATAAAGATGTTCTTTGAACCCAATGAGAACAAAGACACAATGTACCAGAATCTCTGGCACACATTTAAAGCAGAGTGTAGAGGGAAATTTCTAGCACTAAATGCCCACAAGAGAAAGCAGAAAAGATCTAAAATTGACACCGTAACATCACAATTAAAAGAACTAGAGAAGCAAGAGCAAACACATTCAAAAGCTAGCAGAAAGCAAGAAATAACTAAAGGAGATAGAGACACAAAAAACCCTTCAAAAAATCAATGAATCCAGAAGCTGGTTTTTTGAAAAGATCAACAAAATTGATAGACAGCTAGCAAGACTAATAAAGAAGAAAAGAGAGAAGAATCAAATAGATGCAATAAAAAATGATAAAGGGGATATCACCACCAATCCCATAGAAATAAAAACTACCATCAGAGAATACTATTAACACCTCTATGCAAATAAACTAGAAAATCTAGAAGAAATGGATAAATTCCTGGACACATACACCCTCCAAAGACTAAACTGGGAAGAAGTTGAATCTCTCAATAGACCAATAACAGGCTCTGAAATTGAGGCAATAATTAATAGCCTACTTTCCAAAAAAAGTCCAGGACCAGATGGATTCACAGCCAAATTCTACCAGAAGTAGAAGGAGGAGTTGGTACCATTCCTTCTGAAACTATTCCAATCGATAGAAAAGAGGGAATCCTCCCTAACTCATTTTATGAGGCCAGCATCATCCTGATAGCAAAGCCTGGCAGAGACACAACAAAAAAAGAGAATTTTAGACCAATATCCCTGATGAACATCGATGCAAAAATCCTCAGTAAAATACTGGCAAACCTAATCCAGCAGAACATCAAAAAGCTTATCCACCACGATCAATTCAGCTTCATCCCTGGAATGCAAGGCTGGTTCAACATACGCAAATCAATAAACGTAATCCATCACATAAACAGAACCAATGAAAAAAACCACATGATTATCTCAATAGATGCAGAAAAGGCCTTCAACAAAATTCAACAGCCCTTCATGCTAAAAACCCTCAATAAACTAGGTATTGATGGAACATATCTCAAAATGGTAAGAGGTATTTATGACAAACCCACAGCCAATATCATACTGAAAGGGCAAAAACTGGAAGCATTCCCTTTGAAAACTGGCACAAGGCAAGGATGCCCTCTCTCACCACTCCTATTCAACCTAGTGTTGGAAGTTCTGGCCAGGGCAATCAGGCAAGAGAAAGAAATAAAGGGTATTCAATTAGGGAATGAGGAAGTCAAATTGTCCCTGTTTGCAGATGACATGATTGTATATTTAGAAAACCCCATCATCTCAGCCCCAAATCTCCTTAAGCTAATAAGCAACTTCAGCAAAGTCTCAGGATACAAAATCAATGTACAAAAATCACAAGCATTCCTATACACCAATAACAGACAGAGAGCCAAATCACTAGTAAACTCTCATTCACAATTGCTACAAAGAGAGTATAATACCTAGGAATCCAACTTACAAGGGATGCGAAGCACCTCTTCAAGGAGAACTACAAACCACTGCTCAACGAAATAAAAGAGGACACAAACAAATGGAAGAATATTCCATGCTCATGGATAGGAAGAATCAATATCCTGAAAATGGCCATACTGCCCAAGCTAATTTACAGATTCAATGGCATCCCCATCAAGCTACCAATGACTTTCTTCACAGAATTGGAAAAAACTACTTTAAAGTTCATGGAACCAAAAAAGAGCCCACATTGCCAAGACAATCCTAAGCAAAAAGAACAAAGCTGGAGGCATCACGCTGCCTGACTTCAAACTATACTACAAGGCTACAGTAACCAAAACAGCATGGTACTGGTACCAAAACAGAGATATAGACCAATGGAACAGAACAGAGGCCTCAGAAATAACACCACACATCTACAACCATCTGATCTTTGACAAACCTGACAAAAACAAGAAATGGGGAAAAGATTCCCTATTTAATAAATGGTGCTGGGAAAACTGGCTAGCCATATGTAGAAAGCTGAAACTGGATCCCTTCCTTACACCTTGTACAAAAATTAATTCAAGGTGAATTAAAAGTTTGAATGTTAGACCTAAAACCATAAAAACCCTAGATGAAAACCTAGGCAATACCATTCAGGACATAGGCACGGGCAAGGATTTTATGACTAAAATACCAAAAGCAAAGGCAACAAAAGCCAAAATAGACAAATGGGATCTAATTAAACTAAAGAGCTTCTGCACAGCAAAAGAAACTACAATCAGAGTGAATAGGCAACCTACAGAATAAGAGAAAATTTTTGCAATCTACCCATCTGAATCTACAAAGAACTCAAACCAATTTACATGAAAAAAAAAGAAAAAACCCTATCAAAAAGTGGGCAAAGGATATGAACAGACAGTTCTCAAAAGAAGACATCTATGCAGCCAACAGACACATGAAAAAATGCTCATCATCCCTGGTCATCAGAGAAATGCAAATCAAAACCACAATGAGATACCATCTCACACCAGTTAGAATGGAAATCATTAAAAAGTCAGGAAACAACAGGTGCTGGAGAAGACGTGGAGAAATAAGAACACTTTTACACTGTTGGTGGGAGTATAAATTAGTTCAACCATTGTGGAAGATGGTGTGGTGATTCCTCGAGGATCTAGAACTAGAATTACCATTTGACCCCAAAATCCCATTACTGGGTATATACCCAAAGGATTATAAATCATGCTACTATAAAGACACATGTACATGTATGTTTATTGCAGCACTATTCACAATAGCAAAGACTTGGAACCAACCCAAATGTCCATCAATGATAGACTGGATTAAGAAAATGTGGCACATATATACCATGGAATACTACGCAGCCATAAAAAAGGATGAGTTCATGTCCTTTGCAGGGACATGGATGAAGCTGTAAACCATCATTCTCAGCAAACTATCACAAGGACAGAAAACCAAACACCACATGTTCTCACTCATAGGTGGGAATTGAACAATGAGATCACTTAGACACAAGGTGGGAAACATCACACACCGGGACCGGACATGGGGTGGGGGGCTGGGGGAGGGATAGCATTAGGAGAAATACCTAATATAAATGACGAGTTGATGGGTGCAGCAAAGCAACATGGCCCATGTATACCTATGTATCAAACCTACACGTTGTGCACATATACCCTAGAACTTAAAGTATTACTAAAAAAAAAAAAAGAAAGAAAGAAAAAAAAAAAAGAAATACAGCCACCTGAGACAGTGACAATTGAGTAAAGATGTGAAGGCTGAGGCAGCAGCCATGTGCTTGCTGGGGGAAGAGCTTTCCAAGTAGAGCAAACAGTAAGTGCAAAGGTTTTGGAGTGAGAGCAAATCTCAGGTCCCTTTTGTTCCTGGGTTTCTTTTCAAGAAACAACAAGGGGGACACCATGGGAATAGGAGAGAATGAGGAAAGGGCAGTTGGAGAAAAGGCCAGAAAGGTAACAGAAGGGACAGTGGTAGATACATATATATTTGAATTAAGATAGGACTTTTTGCTGATAAATTTCAAAATAGATATCTTCAACAGAAAAAAAAAGGAACATTATATGTCAAGCGCTAAATAGTGAAACCAATGAGTAAGAAGTAGAAATTCTGAATAAGAAAATAAAAATTAAAAATTGATTCTCATATATACTTTATGTCTGATAGTAAAAATTAGGATTTACCTATTTGAGACAACTCTCTATTTTCAATATTTAAAGGAGTTAGATGTTATATTTTTGGAAACTTAATTTCATGTGATGGTTTTGGTTTTAATTGAATTCTTACTGAGAAAATGGTGAATATAGGATTATATAGGCATGTTAAGGACTGAGATTAGTTGTACAATGAATAAAGAAGTTGAAGTGGGTGTTCATATGTGATTACATTGATTTAGTGACCAGTTCTACATGATGCACTGTAAGAAACTCCTAAATTCAACATGATGCTTCTCGGTGAAAGTTATTGCCAAAATTGTGTTCTTTCTACCCATGGTCTATTGTACATTGGCTTCTTCAAGTGCTTAGTTTGGGATTTATAATAATTAACCTTTATTTATAAGAACTAACCTTTTGATTTTTCACAGTGTCTGGCTTAAGCAGGCTATGAACTTAGAGTACTAAAGACAATCTAACTAATGTTTCTTTGATATTTGGGATGTGATAAATAAGCCATTGTGCTGTGTGACACACACAAAAAAGGTGCTTCCCTTCAAGGGCTAATGATCAAGTGGATAAGAGAGATACATATACAACTAATAAAACTTCATAAGTAATGGAGTAAATGCTTTAACAGCAGTAAAGACGAAACACAATGGAAGGGCCAGGCAGGGAACAAGTAGTTTGACTGCACTAAAGACAGTAAGTCTGCTTCCTTTGATGGGAACCTTGACATATGAATTAAGGGAGTCAAAGAATGTCTGTAAACACCATCTCCCTTGGATAAGTACCTGGATTGCTAATACTACATACGATTCCACCACAAGATCAAGGCTTACGTCTAGAGCAACCACTGATATCACAAAGCCAATGATGTGTTCACGTTTTAAAGAGAATTAAATCAAATAGGCATACCAAGTATGCCTATTTGAAGAGGTAGCAATGCCTCAAGTATTCCCAGATGATTTTGATTAATTTCCCTCATTCCTTCTCTCCTGAGTCCAGATCTCCCCAGCATAGATTTATTCCCAAATACTATCTCCATTTTTATATAATATATAGTTTAATATCTATTTCTTTATTGGTTAAGTGTCTTTCTCTGCCTCTGGTAATTAGCTTCCTGGGGTGTTTTTTCTGTGTGTTTTTGTTTTTTTGAGACTGAGTCTTGCACTGTGGCCCAGGCTGGAATGCAGTGGTATAATCAGTGCTCACTGTGGCCGCAACCTCCTGGGCTCAAGCAATCCTCCTACCTCAGCCTCCCAAATAGCTGGGACTACAGGTGTGAGCTACCATGCCCAGCTAATTTCTATATTTTTTGTTGAGGCAGGGTTTCTCCACATTACCCAGGCTGGTCTCAAACTCCTGAGCTCAAGCAATCTGTCTGCCTCAGACTCCTAAAGTGCTGGGATTACAGGTGTGAGCCTCCGCAATCAGCCATTAATTCTTTATTAAAAAATATATATACAGTGCATGTGTAAGTGTACAGCCCGATAAATTTTTAGGGTTAGGGTTAAATGAACATACCTCTTTAACTAAAACCCGCATCAAGAAACAAAACATTACCAACCAACTCTGCAGACGATCCCTTCCTGCCCCACCCCCCACCTCCCAGTCACTACCACTACCTCCCACCAAGGCTCCTGATTTCTAACAGAAGAGATTCGTTCTGCTTTCACATAAATACAGTCATACAGTGCACACTATTTTGCATCTGTATTCCCTCACTGTTATACTCATGAAATTCTTCAAATTATTTTGCAAAGTTGAAGCATGTCTGTTTTCATCATTCTGTAGCATTCTATTGCATTGCTCTACTACAATTTATTTATCTGTTCTATTGTTGATGGGCATTTGTATCATTTTCAGTCTGAAGCTATTATAGATAATGCTGAAATGAGCATTTCAATACATGTCTTTTGGTGAACAAATCGACACATTTCTATTTGGTAAATTGGTATTCGGTGTATATTTGGTAGAATTGCCATATCACAGTTGATACTTCCAAGTAATTTTCCAAACTGTACTTATTTATACTCCTACTAGAAGTTTATAAGAGTTTCGTTTGCTCCACATCCAACTCTTGGTGTTTTCCATCTGTTTCATTTTAGCCATTCTGGAGGATATGTAGAGGATTATCTGTCTTTTTTCTACTGATTTTTAGGAGTTCTTTATAAATTGGGGATACGAAACCATTGTTGATTATATGTTTTGCAAAAAAAAAAACCTTCTTCCACTCTCTTAATGGTGTCTTTGGATGTATAGAAGTTAATATAGAACAGTAATCTTTTTTTTTTTTTTTTTTGAGGCAGAGTCTCACTCTGTCGCCCAGGCTGGAGTCCCAGTGGTGCAATCTCGGCTCATTGCAAGCTCTGCCTCCCGGGTTCACGCCATTCTCCTGCCTCAGCCTCCTGAGTAGGTGGAACTAGGAGGAACTACAGGCGCCCGCCACCACGCCTGGCTAATTTTTTGTATTTTTAGTAGAGACGGAGTTTCAGTGTGTTGGCCAGGATGGTCTTGATCTCCTGACCTCGTGATCCGCCCGTCATGGCCTCCCGAAATGCTGGGATTACAGGCGTGAGCCACCGCGCCCGGCCTATTTTTCTTGTATCATAGTTTTTTTGGGGGGTTGCCTTTTGGGTTGTCTATGAAGACTTTGGCCATCCCCAGGTCAGGAGTGAGTTCTACTTTTCCTCTAAAAGGTATATTGTTTACTTTTCACTTCTAGATCTGCAATTCATTGAATTGATTTTTTTTAAATCAATGATGTGAGGTTGTTTTTCCCTATACAGATATATGATTGACCCAGAACCATTTTACTGAAACAGGGAATTATTTTTAATTCATTTAAAATGTATTAGAGCTACTGAAATAAGAATCAAATATATCTTATTATCTTAAATATTTCCTATAATCTGAAATCTTAGTTTAAGTGTCAAGTCCCCTTTTTTTTGGGGTCTAACACAAATTTCCAACAAATATGGAAAGAATAAGAGAAGAAATAAGTTTATTTCACTACTATTAATCTATTATCCAAATATTAAATTGGAATAGTTCCACCTGATTCAGCATTTTCCATTCTGTCCAGGTGTAGCACTGGTTTTTACATGATTCTCTGTCCAAGAACCAAAATTTTTTCTGGTTACACTCATGATTAGAATACTATCTGAAATATAAAAAAGCAAAAATGAATAGAAATATAGGCATTTTTGCCCTAGATTACAATTTCATTTGCAGACCTCAGTATTGCTGTATGTTATGTCCTTCAAATTCCACTCGATAGAGTGGTTGTTTTGTAATGCATATATCAATAAACCACTTAACCCAAGTGTATTACCACATCTCTTACGCAGGAATGTGAGGGAAGTAAGATTGAAGACTATGCACTTGTGAAATTCTATAAACAATACACTCAGTTTGCTGAGAAGTGCTATATTTAAATAACATAAGGGTTCTTTTAGTTCTCTATAGTTCCTGGAATTACAAAAACAATGAAAAATTTCATTTCTGAAAGTAAATAGATGACATAGAAAACTAATGACATATCATTAATATCTAGCTTTTTCTATAAAAATTGACACTTTTTAGCACAATAGAAAAGATATAAAATACATTATGAAGTTTCACAAGACCCAAGAAACCCCCCAAAAATTGTTCCTAAAACAAAACTTTGTCTCTCATCTTTCAGAGACAGTAGACTCAATGGCTGGTATATCATTGTCCCATAATATTTGGTTCTGTTCTGACAATCAACTATAAACAATTAAAATTTTAAAAATTATGGGAGAGTTAAGAAATGTAAACACTTGGTTATATTATTATAAGAAACCTATGATTAGATAGTTTAGATTAGATTCAAGATGGCAGCAGGGCTGTATCCCTTCCTGGAGGCTCTAGGAGAGAACTGTCTCCTTGCTGTTCCCAGCTCCTGGAAGCCGCCCACCATCCTTAGCTCACCTCCATCTTCAAACCCAGCAACAGCCAGTTCTTCTCATATTGCTTTACTCTGACCTTGTCGTCTATCTCATTTGTTCACATGTAAGGACTCTTGTGATTACATTGGGCCCACCTAGATAATCCAGGACAATCTCCATATTTGAAGGTCAGCAGATTAGCAAATTTAATTCTATCTGCTACCTTCATTCTTCATTGCCGTGTAACATAACATGTCCATAGGCTCCTGGGATTAGGATATGGTCATTGTCACTGGGGAGCTGGGGCTGTGGGTGTGCATTAGTCTACCTACCACGACTACCTTTTTTTAATCAAAAAGAGAGGGTTTTGTGTGTTTGTTTGTTTGAGATGGAGTCTCTCTCTGTCGCCCAGGCTGGAGTGCAGTGGCACAATCTTGGCTCACTGCAAGCTCCACCTGCCGGGTTCACACCATTCTCCTGCCTCAGCCTCCAGAGTAGCTGGGACTACAGGCACCTGCTGCCACTCCCAGCTAATCTTTTGTATTTTTTAATAGAGACGGGGTTTCACGGTGTTAGCCAGGATAATCTCGATCTCCTGACCTTGTGATCCACCCACCTCGGCCTCCCAAAGTGCTGGGATTACAGGAGTGAACCACCACACCCGGACAAAAGAGAGTTTTTATTAGAAGGCAGTTTTCATCCCTCTATCAAGAATTTAAATCACTTATTTCATTTCTTTTCCCTAGAGGAAATGGAGAAGAAATGAAAAATGTAATAAAAATTTGCTTTAGAATCCATAAAATCAAACCAGGTCCTGACCTGACTATAATATATTTTATGTTTCTGAAATAAAAAAAGAAGTTTATATCCAGAAAAGCAAAGCATGATCCTAGAAATGTAATTTAATAAAGATCCTAGGCAGTGAAATTTGTTGAAATTTGTGGCCAAAAAGTAGATAAATTATTCTCCATTTACAATAAAGATGTGCTACATACTATATGACTCTGTTTATATAACATTCTGTAAATGAAAAAATTATAGAAATGAAGAACAGATAAGTGTTTGCAGGGACTGGAGAAGGAGAGGGAAGCTGTGACCAGGAAGGAAAGCAGGAGGGAGTTCCACTTTGGTGAGAGAACAGTTCTGTATCATGATTGTGCTGCCATGACAGCTATAGGAATATATATATACATGTATTAAGCATGTCATAGAATTATCTACCAAGACAAGAAAAAAGAAGAACATGCAAAATTTGGTAAAATCTGACTCAAGTCTGCGGTCTATTAGTTAATTGTATTATGCCAGTCAATTTCTTGGTTTTGATAGTGCACATTGAGAGAAGTTGAGTGATTGGTGTACTACTTTTGCAACTTTTTGTGAGTCTATAGAGTTATTTTTTTAAGTTGAATTTTAAAATATGTGTTTAAAAAACAAGACAGAAATGAGAGCACAGACAGACGGTTAAAAGTTGAAAATGAGCACTTAAACATCTATCTGCAATGTTTAAGGTAGAAAAGGTGAACTTTCAGATTCAGTGCTATTTCTATCAAACTACAAATGTCATTTTTCACAAAATTAGAAAAAAACTACTCAGAACTTCATATCAAACCAAAAACGAGCCTGAATAGCAAAAATAATCCTAAGCAAAAAAAAAAAAAAAGCTGGAGGCATCACATTACCCAACTTCAAACTATATTATAAAGCTACAGTAGCCAAAACCACATGGTACTGGTGCAAAAATAAACACAGACCAATGGAACATAATAGAGAACCCAGAAATAAAACTGCATACCCACACCATCTGACCTTCAACAAAGTAGACAAAAGCAAGCAATTGGGATAGGGACTCTCTGTTCAATAAGTAGTGCTGGGATAACTGGCTAGCCGTATGCAGAAGAATGGACCCCTACCTTTCACTGTATTCAAAAATTAACTGAAGATGGATTAAAGGCTTAAATGTAAGACTTTAAACTATAAAAATCCTAGAAGAAAACCTAGGAAATACCATTCTGAGTATCAATTCTTTGCCTTGGCAAAGAATTTATGACTAAGTCCTCAAAATCAATTGCAACAAAACCAAAAATTGACAGGTGGGACCTAATTAAACAGAAGAACTTCTGCACAGCAAAAAAAAATTATCAATGGAGTAAACAACCTACAGAATGGGAGAAAATATTCCTGAACTCTGCATCTGACAAAGTTCTAATATGCAGAATCTATAAGGAACTTAAGTCAGCAAGCAAAAAACATACAACCCCAGTAAAAAGTGGGCAAAGGACATGAACAGATGCTTCTTAAAGGAAGACATACAAGCAGCCAACAAACATATAAAAATGCTTATCATCACTAATCATCAGAGAAATGCAAATCAAAACCACAAGAAGATACCATCTCACAGCAGTCAGAATGGCTATCATTAAAAAGTCAAAAAGATAACAGATGCTGGCGAGGCTGCAGAGAAAAGGAAACCCTTAGACAATGTTGGTAGGAATGTACCTTAGTTCAGCCACTGCAGAAAGTGGTTTGGAGATTTCTCAAAGAACTAAAAATAGAACTACCATTCAACCCAGCAATCCCACTACTGGGTATATACCCAGAGGAAAATAAATCATTCTATCAAAAAAACACATGCACTTGTATGTTCATAACAGCACTGCTCACAACAGCAAAGACATAGAATCAACCTAGGTGCTCATCGACAGTGGGTTGGATAAAGAAAATGTGGAACACATACACCATGGAACAGTATGCAGCCTTAAGAAAGAAAGAAATCACATCCTTTGCAGCAACATGGATGATGCAGCTGGAGGCCATTATCCTAAGCCAATTAATGCAGGAACAGAAAACCAAATACCACAGTCCCCACTCATAAGTGGGCCCTAAACATTGGGTACATGTGGACGTAAAGGAAAAACAGACACTGGGGACTATAATAGGGGGAAGAGTGAAGGAGGGAAACAAGGGCTGAGAAATGACCTATTGGATACTATGTTCACTACCTGGGTGATGAGATCGTTCATACCCCAAACCTCAGCATCATGCAATATACCCAGGTAACAAATCTGCACACGTACCTCCCAAATCTAAAATAAAATATGAGATTTAAAAAATAAAAAATGGACTAATTATGATTTAATATTTGGTAGATACATGGGCCAGGTAAATTAGTAAAAGATCCAAAAATTCATTCCAACTCTCAAACCATTCGAAATCTGTAGTTTTATATGTAGTTCTAATTCAAGCAACTAAATAGCTTTATCCTTAATTTAGTAGCGGAAAAAAGGGAGCAGAACAGGCCGGGCGCGGTGGCTCAAGCCTGTAATCTCAGCACTTTGGAAGGCCAAGGTGGGCGGATTATGAGGTCAGGAGATCGAGGCCATTCTGGCCACCAAAGTGAAACCCCGTATCTGCTAAAAATACAAAAATTAGCAGCGCTTGGCAGTGCATGCCTGTAATCCCAGCTACTCGGGAGGCTGAGGCAGGAGAATCGCTTCAACACGGGAGGCGGAGTTTGCAGTGAGCCGAGATCGCGCCACTGCGCTCCAGCCTGGAGATAGAGCAAGACTCCGTCTCAAAAAAAAAAAAAAAAAAAAAAGAGGGCAGAACAAAGAAAGAAGCATTATTTGGTTTCCATAGAAGCATCAAAAGTTAAATAATTAGACTGCTCTCGAAATGAAGAAAATATAGAAAGCTTAAATTCCCACCCCACGCGAGCTCTGAAGAGACCTGGATCCTGCCCAGAGGAGACTTTCCTTCACTGGTTTGCAAGAAGCCAAACCTCTCATGGGGAACTTTAAAAATAGGGCTCAAACGTTTGTCTACTTCAAGCTATTCAAGATAATTCCATAAAGCATCTTTCAAAGATATGTTAAGTTTAAGATATGGGTGTTCACTCTGATTCAAGAAATTTCAAAACAGTCATCCTAACTGTGCCAGGACAAAATGCTGTATCAATAATCGTTACACATAGAGAAAAGAAAACATTTTATACACCCTAATGACTTTTTGGTTACCCAGTAAGGGTCTGTAATCAGAGAAGCAGCAACATCAACTACAGAAAGATGGAGACGCAGCAGAAATTAATGGCAGAAAAGGAACTCGGGATGAGAGTAAGCTAGGATTTGATAAATGAATCTTGCAGCCTCTGGAAGATTTTGAGAGCTGATTCCCACTTTCCTTTTGATAGAGGGCTTTAAAATCCCCTGTTAGATCAGCGAAGCTACTGAGGAATCGAACTTCCATTTTCTGATACTGAAACAGAAACAACCACACAAATCTATATTCAAAGCTTGTTCAAAACAGTACATGCTCCTAACTGAAATCTGGCAAGTTCAAATCCCCATCCTGCCACTTACTGTGTGAGTTGACGAAGTCTCTAAAATAAACTGAGTCTGAATTGCAGCATTAGTAAAAGGGAATTATAATAACGGTTAACATTTATTGAGGGGTTGCTATGTTCCAAGCCTTGATCTGAGTTTATGTATATGGATTCATTTAATAACACTTAATGAAATCCTACTACTTACCTCACAGGAAATGATCAAATGTGAGGGATAAATGAGCTACAAAGTGTAAAATCCCCAGCACTACAAGGTACTGAATACCTGTTGGCTTCCTTTCTTTGGTTTTTCTTTTTTGGAAGTTTCCCTTGCAGTGGTTTTAGTATTGAGGCTCCAGCTGGCCACACCCTATCAGGGGTCTCCATTAGTGAGGTTGAAAATATAGTACTGAAGTATTTGCAGAAGCACCCATACAAGGCTAGCAGATAGCTCTTAAATAATTACCACTTTAATACTTCAGATTCCATCAATTAATTATAAAAATAGCTACCCCCCAAATGACATCTATAAAATGTTTTGTTATCGTAAGAATAATGCCATATAGATGAAGCACAATTATTGCTCTTTTTGGTTATTATAATGATCGACTTTTTAATGGTAGTGATGGCGTGTAGATGTACTGATCTTCTTAGTCTTGGTGCTGAGCCCATTAACTAATTCTGAGCTCTGCTCTGCCATGGATGAGCATTCAGATACCCGTAGCCGTAGGATTCATTTGGAATTCACTTTAGAACCAAACCTCTCTTCCCTTCTCCCTCCAATTGACCCTCACCTGGGGCATTGCCTACACTGGAAACACTGACGTCCCCAAGGGTTTTGAGCCTCCAAGTACTCTAGCTATACCCTCCGCAAGGCCTTGATTAGATGTTATATGTTCAGCTGTACATAGAAGTCCACTTTCTCCTCTGTGTAAACTACTTTTTAAAAGGAAGTGTGGGCCGGCCGTGGTGGTTCACACCTGTAATCCCAGCACTTTGGGAGGTCGAGGAGGGAGGATTGCTTGAGGCCAGGAGTTTGAGACCAGCCTGGACAACCCTTGTTTCTCTACAAAAAAGAAAATAAAAAATTAGTGGGGCATGGTGGCACGCACCTGTAGTCCCAGCTACTCATGAGGCTGAGACAGGAGGATTGCTTGAGCCCAGGAGTTTGAAGCTGCAGTGAGCTATGCACTCCAGTCTGGGTGACAGCACTCCAGTCTGAGTGACAGAGCAAGACCCTGTCACTAAATAAGTAAAAGGAAGTAGGGCACCTACAGAATCTCAGTGAGTTATTTCGGTCCCTAGTGACTCTGTGTCTATTAGAATTTTTTTTAATCATATGAGTTGAGAATAAGAACAAACAGGTTGACACAGCCTAAATGGCATACATCATAACATTCCTGAAAATTGCACTTAGTCCTTAATCAAAACCCGTGACACGTTAATTCAGTAGCAACTCTTTCTTTCTTTCTTGCCCAAATCTCTAATTGCAACTAGAGGGGAGGAGGTATTCCCTTTTTTTCTCCTGCACTTTAAGATTACCAAATCTTTGATCAGTTTAGCAATTTAGTTTCTCTCCCTGATTCAGCAATTTATGAGATAGCTCCACATACCATCTTCTGATAATCAGTAAACATAACATGAGTTATAGTTCTTAAATCACAGAGCTTTGGTGACCCTCAGTCGCAAAGTGGTCTCTTGAGGATTTCAATACTTTTGAGCAAGATCATGCAAGGTTAGACCTTTAGGCTAACTACCCAGGTTAAAAGCCCACGACTGAGAACACCTCTTCCATTCTTCTCACCAGACACCCTAAGTGACTCTATTCTTCTAGCATTAGATGTCTGGAAAATAATGTTAGCTCACATTTTCTGCAACACACATTATACAGAAACTTTTTTTTTTTTTTTTTTTTTGAGATGGAGTCTTGCTCTGTCGCCCAGGCTGGAGTGCAGTGGCGCGATCTCGGCTCACTGCAAGCTCCGCCTCCCGGGTTCACGCCATTCTCCTGCCTCAGCCTCCCGACTAGCTGGGACTACAGGTGCCCGCCACCATGCCCAGCTAATTTTTTGTATTTTTAGTAGGGACGGGGTTTCACCGTGTTGGCCAGGATGGTCTCGATTTCCTGACCTCATGATCCGCCCACCTTGGCCCCGCAAAGTGCTGGGATTACAGGCGTGAGCCACCGCGCCCGGCCCGGAAACACATTTTCAAAGTGCTTTTCTGAGATAAGTAATGTATGCCATTTATATGTTACTAATGTTCAATTCAGAAGACTACTATTAATTTCTAGTTGCTATGAAAGAGTGTTTAATGGATTTTCTTCTCAATGATTGTGACTGCATTTTAAATAAGAGTTCTATTGTAATTACTGCATCAAGAACTCTTTGGCTCTTCAAATATTAAAGAACATATAGAAATGTATCCATCATAACATCTCCATCTCTAAAGAATTTTAGTATACATCAGCGGCCTTTTCTAGTATAGCATGTCTTAACAATTAGCCAAAAAATTATATGCTAAATAAACTTGAAATTAGCTTTATTTCATAAATCACAGAATTTTCGAGCTCAGGGGACCTAAAGCATGAAATATTCCTCTAATTTTTTTTATTTTTTTATTTTTTTGAGACAAGGTCTTGCTCTGTTGCCAGGCTGGAGTGCCACAGGGTGATCACAGCTCACCGCCACCTTGACCTCCCAGACTCAAGTGATCCTCCCATCTCAGCCTCCACAGTAGCTAACTGGAACTACAGGCATGAGCCACCGCATCTGGCTTTTTTTTTTTTAGATGAGGTATTTCTATGTTGCCCATGCTGCTCTCAAACCCCTTGACCTTAAACAACCCCCCCACCTTGGCCTCCCAAAATGCTGGGATTACAGACTAGAGCCACTGGGCTCAGGCTCTCTTCCATGTTCTTAATCTCTTTCAGAACGTAATAAAAGGCAATAACACCTGCAGACTTTTTAAAAAACAAAGTCCTGATTTAGACCACCTCTTTTATTTTTCAGATGGGAAAACTGAGTTTCCAAAGATTAAGACTTGGCCAAAACCACAGAGCAGGTTCTAAGGCTCAAGGGTGAACTGAAACCTAAGTACCCCCTCACTTGACCAATAGTGGTTTTTATTAGGAAAAAAAGCTGTTCTTTAGTGAATTTCTACTTTAAGCCAGGCAATATTTTGAGATATTTTATCCATATTAGCTCTAAAGTTACAAATGATAAAACCTTACAAGATAGGAATTATTTCCCCATTTTACAAAAACATTCACATTTGAGAGATTAAATAATTTTCCCACGTTCTCATATGTAATTCAACAAGAAAGCCAGGATTTAAATCCCTGAATATCCAAACTCCAAAGCAAAAACAACAACAAAACCCCACAGTATTACATTCAGGATAGTATCTTTCACTGAACATAGTTGATTCATCTGTAAGAAAGGAACAAACCAATCAAAGGTTAAAAATGAGTAATGTTGAGTAAGTTCTAACCTTGAGCTACATAGTAGTAAAGCCCCCAAATTTCCAAGTACTATATATCACATTTCCTTCTGATCCATAACAAGGTGAAGATGAAGATAGATGCCTATGTACTATTTATGGCTGAATAATAAACTTCACAGAAAATTCTAAATCATATTTCCTATACCCATGACCTTTTCTACAATGCAAAGAGGACTATGTGCTCCCCCTAACATTATGATAATAAATTAGACTCTTCTGTCCAACGGTCATAACCACAGGGTCACCATCAGGAAACACAGAATTCTAATCACCGACTTCATTTCCTGACTGCTGTGGGGAATTTTGACCGTTTTAGGAACACAGATAGATATAGCAACGAGAAGGTCACCCGTGTGTCCGTTTGACAGATCTAATGCCTGTCGATAATCGGTTTGATGTGGACTTCACTTTGAATTTTAAACAGCAAATGCAAAACAGCCAATTGTTTCTCCTTATTCCATGGGGAAGATCAAAAGGAGCCTTATCTGGACTAGAGACAGTTTATTTCCATCTCAGAACAAAAGACAAAAGATACTGTGTCTTTTCCTTTCCTCTGAGTTCCTTTCCACTCCCTTTCCTGATTGGCAGTAATATCCTGACCATTAATCTACGTATTTTAAGCATAAAATCAATTTCTGGGACTTGTCTCATTTATTTCCATAACAGGAATAATGGAAATAGCACCAAGTTGCTACTGAGAGTAAAAGAGATTTAAAATACTGTGTTAAGCTCTCCTTTCAGACACATGATGATATGAGGAACTGAAGTACAACTGGAACGAGATCTAGATACAGACCTAGAGCTCTGGGAAGAATAATTTCATTTAGGAAAATATTGGTCCTTCCTCTCATTAAAATTTTGAGAATCCAGCCAATAATCAAATTTATAAACTTCTTTCTCGGGAAGCCATTCTAATCTAAAGGCTATTTGTGCTGTCTTCTTCACTCAGTCAAAGCCTTAGAGATAGACGTTTTATGTCTTAGAAGTGGCCTCATAAGAAAGATAAGAAATGGAGAACAAGTACAGCATGGCTGCACTATTAGAGACATCACTGTGGCTTAGAGAGGCCAATCTGAGACAACATCTAGCCTGATTCTTTATATGCAAAAGCTTAATTTCCCTAAGAACACAGAAAATGAAAAAAACATGCAGATTTATTTTTTAAGAACACTCTAAAGGGACTAAGTATTAATAAATGGTACTTGGTGTACATTGTCAGTCATAGAAGGCCAATTGTATGATTGGGTGGTCTAAAAATAAGTTTAGTTTTTGTTTTTGTTTTAAATTGCGGTTTAATAAAATAACAAATGTGAGTTATACTTCCCAGTTGGAGTTACTTAAGGCTAAAATAATACATGCAGGTAATGCCATTTGCAAGACTGTATGGATCAAATAAATACTGTTTTGTGGGACTCCGCCCAGAATTAAGTGACTGATCCAATGAGAATTGTTATTAGAAATTCATTCTCATTTTGAGAATCCATCCAATATGCAAATTAACAAATTTGGTAGCTGTGCAGGTGCCTTTCACATAGCAAGGCTGTGCTCTTTCCGGGATCTGTACTCTGATTTCAGGCGTCACCCATCAAGCCACAAAGAGCCACAAATAGCAGCTTTGAGACCCGGTAGATAAAATACCGAGGTTTCCCCACTGAGAAGCCATTCAGTTTTAATCCATAATCCCCAGGGAAATGAGGGAAAGGACCTCGGCTAAATCCAAAAGGAGGCATGGTCCAGATCACACACATAATATATGTAATTCTGTGTAATCAGAGTCGCTTACTAAAGAGTCCCCAAACCCCTCATATGAAGATTAAGTTCCCTTGCAAGCTTTCAGAAAGGGCAGTTAGACTTAAGAACATAGGAAATGTTAAGACAAAAGGAGACTTGAGCAGAGTCAACTTTAGTTAGTATTTGTGCCTTTTACGCCCTTAACTCCCTTTGTAACCATTTTCTGAATTATCTTCTTGCTGAGTGTTTACCCTAGAATGTACACAGGTTGTTTCCACTAGAAAAGGTATTTTGGTCATTTCCTCTAGTTGCGTAGTTCAGCTCAATATATACTAGGGCCTTTTTCATGTTCATTCAGAATTCAATCCATTTTCTGGGTTTTGTTTGCTTTGAAAGGAGATGAACTAGGCAAAATTTTTCTAACCCCGCTTGCTTCATTTTCATCATAGGGAAATGGGTCCGTCTCTCAGGAAGCTTCTTTTTCTGCCACCTCCAAAAAAATAAGGTATTTTCTCCAGGGCCACAGGGCACCAATTCCCAGCGTCCTCTAAACTCACCTCTCAGGCCCCACCTAGGTCCCAGCACCTGCAGTCTTTCTCCCCCATAGCTGCACTTAGTATGAACTGGGATTATTAAACGATTTCAAATAGCCAGATACATGATCAGAGGTGTGTCTAAAAAATATATTCAGCAGTTTAAATAAGTTGGCTTATTTGATCCATTTAGGTAAGTTTGACTTATTCAATCAGTTTAAATAAGATGGCTTAAAGAGAAATCGGGCCTGGAGCCACGGCTTATGCCTCTAATTCCAGCACTTTGGGAGGCCACAGCGGGTGGATCACTTGAGTTCGAGGCCAGCCTGGCCAACATGGTGAAACCCCATCTCTACTAAAAATGCAAAAATTAGCCAGGTGTGGTGGCACACACCTGTAATCCCAGCTACTTGGGAGGTTGAGGCAGGAGAATAGCTTGAACCCGGGAGGCAGAGGTTGCAATGAGCTGAGATTATGCTGCTGTACTCCAGCCTGGGATACAGAGCAGACCCCGTCTAAAAAAATAAATAAATAAATGAGAGAAAGAAAAATAAATCAAACACGAAGTGATTAGTTAATGGTCCATAGCCCTGATCAAAAGGAATGATGGCCTGAATTAGGGTAATGGCAGGAGCAACGGCAGACACACTGCAGAGAGAAAATGTGCTGGGCTTTGGAAATCATCAGCATTAGGGGAAGAGAATCATGCAGAGGAGTATGTGGTCAAAAAAGATGCCAGGGTTCTGAGCCTGTGAACGGGGATGGCATCCTGTCATTAGGGAAACACCAGGAGGAAAGATGGTGAGCTTCATTGGGAATAGGTTTTGTGGCCATATACTTTAAGATGTGGAAATACAACCTCTTTCCAGTCCCTCTGGCTCCCAGTGGTGGAAATAGTGACATAGTATCGACTACTGTACCCCTAGGAGGAATCATATCAGTGACCCTGGATTAAACACTTTCCCAGATCTGCCCTTCTAGACTCATCTAGCCATCTGAGTGACACGATCCAGAGAGCCAATATATGGGTCTGTGCTTGAGGAAACTGACCCAAGGAAGCCATTCACCCTACTGCTAGTCAAGGCCACAAGACTGAGTGGAAAGAGAATCATTGCCACTCATGTGTGGTCGGCCCTTTTCACCAGAGTAGGGGAATACAGGAAGGTGTAGAGGCCGATGTTTTGATTGGAGCGTCCACTGCTCTGGCTATACTCTTCAGGAAAACGTAGTTGAAGGAGCAGCTGTTTAAGATTTCAGGGATCCTGGCCAAATCTTTCCAAAAGAGCTATAGCAAACAGAAATCCTGGCCAAGTGTCTGCCTTCAGCACTAACAGCATTGTGTTAGAGATGGAACAGAGCGTGAAAGTACGGACCATGAGGTGACTGTTGCAACTTTGGGTCTGGAGCACTTTATGTGAAGCTCAGAATGTCTCCAGCAATGCAACAATATTGCTGCTCAGTCCACGTGTCATTTACCTACCAGCTACCCTTTCCGTGTGTCACGCGAAAACCTCTTCAAATTCCTTGCCTACTTATTCCCTTTCTGAAGTAGGCCACTTACCTTTCTTTCATCTCCTTCTTTCTTTTAACTGAACACTTAGAATCTCATTAAGACTACTGTATAAAGTGGGATTGCTAGATCTAGCAAACAAATACACAAAACACCCAGTGAAATTTGAATTTCAGATAATTCTTTCATTATATATCAAATATTGCATAGGACACAGTTATACTAAAAGGTATACTTGCTATTTATCTGAAATTAAAATGTCACTAGGTAGCATGCATTTTATCTGACAACCCTAGTAGAAAGAGAAACCAATCAGAAACCAGTCATAAAGCCATCCATATCCATTCTGCAACTTACCATATTCAGATGACAATTTCTTCACTGATATCCGGGGCTACAAAGGTACTTCAACTCCCACACACAAAATGCAGCAAAAGCCTCCAGAAAATGGAAAATGGAGATTCACAATCTCTGCTAATTCAGATTCCATTTCATAACCATCACAACTCCATTTTCACTAATATAGTTTAAGGCAATTCCACTGAATTGCCAGAGCTGACAAACAATTTTAGTACAATGCCATTGACAGTGTCTGGGTAGAGCATTTGTGAAAGCTCTGAAGGAGAAGTCTCAGAAGTAAAATATAATTATGACAGAGGAAAGAGCTTTCTCCTGATGTAAAAGTATCAATGTCTGCACTGGCTATGCCTTGCTACCTCCAGAGGGGTGAAGTTTTTGTACCAATTCACACACCACATCCCATGCCAACATGGTTCCATGTTGATATGCTCATATAGATAAGATCCCGTTAAAATTAATGCCAAGAGGACCTTCAAAGGGAACATCAGGAAGATGAGAGAAAACAAGGGGAAGATATCAGGCATATGACCCAACTACCAGCCCTACTGCCTTGACTGGATGAATATGATCATTCTACATTGGACCATGAACACTACCTTGGGTTTTTTTGTTTGACACACAGATAGACAGAAACACAAATAGACAGACAGAGAGAGAGACAGACAGACAGACAGACAGATAGATAGATAGATATAGAGATTTTTTTTTTTTGAGAGAAGTCTCGCTCTTGTCCCCCAGGTTTGAGTGCAATGGCTTGATCTTGGCTCACTGCAACCTCCGCCTCCCAGGTTTAAACGATTATCCTGCCTCTGCCTCCCAAGTAGCTGGGATTAAGGCGCCTGCCACCACACCCAGCTAATTCTTGTATTTTTTAGTAGAGACAGGGTTTCATCATGTTGGCCAGCCTGGTCTCAAACTCCTGACCTCAGGTGATCCGCCCGCCTCGGCCTCCCAAAGCGCTGGGATTGCAGGTGTGAGCCACCACGCCCGGCTGAGAATTTTTTTTAAGGCAGTGTCTCCTCTGTCATCCAGGCTGGAGTGCAATAGCAGTCATGGCTCACTGAAGCCTTGAATCCCTGGGCTCAAGCAATCCTCCCACTTCAGCCTCCTGAGTAGCCCGGACTGGGCATGCATCACAATACTTGGCTAATTTTGGGGTTATTCTGTTGTTGTTTTGGTGCATTTTTTTTCCCTTTTGTGTTTGTAGACATAGAGGTCTCACTGTGTTGCCCAGACTGGTCTCAAGCTATCCTCCCACCTCAGCCTCCCAAAATGCTGGGATTACAGGTGGGAGCCACCACGTCTGGCCAGATCTTGATCTAGCTAGCTCCTTCTCCCTAGGCTGCCTCCTGAGTATTTTAAGCCACCTTGTTCTGGAAGTAGTAGGAACCTTTCCCCAGTCTGATTCCTGCTGTTTTAGCCACCACAATGTATCACTACTCGTTCTCTTCCCATCCCACCCCACACACAAAAGTGCCTGTGACTGGTGTTGTCACAGGCACTTCGTTGAGCTGCCTAAATTCATCCTTTCATTGAAATTTGGAGGAACCACTTATTCTCCACCTTAATGCCTGGGAACCCTAGAACAGGAGCCTCCCAACCATTTTCAAAATTATTTCATGATCCTAGGTGCTTTCCAGAAGGTCTTGCACTGAACACTAGATGAATTATGTTCCTTTCTCCCAACTTTGATCAGCTGAGCATGCAATTTACCAATCAAACAATCCAGTACTGAGTGCAGGTAAAAATGTGTCTTAAAGGTGTGGATTAATATTTTTATGATATTGCAATTTTAACTTATTAAAGAAGTGTGGTAATATTATAACACAATGGACTCTTGCTGACTATGAGCCAAGTAACATATATTTAACATTGAGGCTAAAATCGTGGGCCACCAAGCTGTCTTTCAGCCTCTTCATGTATGTGTGCTGGTTGTATGCCTGCCTGTACAGGTGTCTCAAAGCCCTACTTAGAGAGGCTACATGGTGTCAACAAGTACAGACAATGGCAATGACTTTAGGAAAGATCCTCAGTCAATTTGATAAGTATGTAAGAATCCTCAAGCCCCATTGTTTACTTTATTCTTAGTTTTAGAAACAGGGTCTTCAGACTGGAATGTAGTGGTGTGATCCTGCAGCCTCATACTCCTGGGCTCAAGAGATCCTTCTGCCTCTGCTAGGAATACAGGAGCATGACACCACACCGGGCTTTTTTGAGGGGGCTGGGGAGGCGTAAAGACGGGGTCTCACTGTGCTGCCCAGGCTGGTTTCCAACTCCCGGCCTCAAGTGATCCTCCTGCCTTGGCCTCCCAAAGTGCTGGGATTACATTCGTGAGCTGTACCCACTGTACCAGCCAAACCCAGTTGTTTAAAACTGTAGCCTACTGGCTGGGAGCCGTGGCTCACGCCTGTAATCCTAGCACTTTGGGAGGCTGAGGCGGGGAGATCGCCTGAGGTCAGGAGCTCAAGACCAGCCTGGCCAACATGGTGAAACCCCGTCTCTACTAAAAATATAAAAATTAGCCGGGTTTGGTGGCAGGCACCTGTAATCCCAGCTACTCAGAAGGCTGAGGCAGGAAAATCTCTTGAACCTGGGAGGCGGAGGACGCAGTGAGTTGAGATTGTGCCATTATTCTCCAGCCTGGGCTCCAAGAGCAACACTTCATCTCAAAAACAACAACAACAACAACAACAACAAACTGTAGACTACCATCATTGAGTTGCCAAGACAACAACTGCTTTCATTTCGATATTCTTCAAGTTCCAAAATGGTTTAGCTCATCTGCCAAGACCATAGAATTGTTTGCCTTTTCCTGATCTCCTCTTATGTTTCTCTTAAGTAGTCAAGCTGTTCCAAGAGCAGTGGCTATACATTGAGGCAGCCACTCTATATAGCAGTGGTTTCCAACCTTTCTGCTATAAATTCTTATGAAAGTCAAAAACTTTCATAAACCCCTACAGAAGTGCAGCTGTACTTTTATTCTGTTGATTGAAATATACCAAACGGCTGCTATGAATTTGGTACATTTTGAAATTACTTTGTGTTTTATTTATCACAAAAGCCTCTACCTATATTTTAATAACATAAAATGTGTACATATCTGAGTAAGATATTTTGTCCCTTATGTCTAAAAATACTACGAATATTGATTTATGGCCCTTTTAACAAGAAGCACAGGGCTCTGAACATGAGTTCGCATTGCACAGGTTAAGAATCAGTGTATTGTTCTCTATGTTCTGTAGCATCTCAGAAAAGACATCCACAAGGAAGCGTTCTCTCCAAGGGATGTGAGACATTTCCATAAGGAACAGAGGTACATATAAACCAGTCACCCTCAAACCAGAAGGGGCAGGGACAGGGAAAGTAGTTTAAGTTAGGATCAGAATCAAGGGCTTGTAATCCCAAGACTTTGGGAGGCTAAAGCAGGAGGGTTGTTTGAGGCCAAGAATTCAAGACCAGCGGCAACAAAGCAAGACCTGTCTCAACCAAAAAGTAAAAAATTAGCCAGGTGTGGTGGTGCGTGCCTGTAGTCCCAGCTACTCCGGGAGGCTGAGGTGGGAGGATGGCTCAAGCCATCCTCTTGATAGAGGCTGCAATGAGCTATGATCATGCCACTACACTCAGCCTGAGCAACAGAGTGAAATTCTGTCTCAAACAAAACAAAACAAAACAAAAAAAACCCACAAATGACGCTGATCACCTCCCTTTCACTGCATTCAGTGCTGCTCTTAGAATCGTCAGGTTTACTGTGGTCGCACTTACTATGCTCCTGTTGTTCCTGCACGCCTTCATCTAGGTTTCATTTCTGCTTCACGTAGACATAGGTGGTATATTTTGGGTGAGGAAAGAGATTAATTAGATTAGGTTACCTATGGGATAATCTTTTGTAGGCCTACCTCTCCCACTCCCACCTCCCTAAATCTTTTTGAGACGGAGTCTCGCTCTGTCGCCCAGGCTGGAGAGCAGTGGCGCGATCTCGGCTCACTGCAAGCTCTGCCTCCCGGGTTCGTGCCATTCTCCTGCCTCCGCCTCCCAAGTAGCTGGGAATACAGGTACCCGCCACCACACCTGGCTAATTTTTTATATTTTTAGTAGAGACGGGGTTTCACCGCCATGATGGTCTCAATCTCCTGAGACCTCGTGATCCTCCCGCCTTGGCCTCCCAAAGTGCTGGGATTACAGGCGTGAGCCACCACGCCCGGCTCCACCTTCCTAAATCTATCCTGATCCCCACCCCCTCTTTCATATGGTAGTTTCACAAAAACATTGAAGGATATTATCAATCATTACCTGCTCCCTGCCGTCCCTAATCAAAGCCCTCTCTTTTAACATAGAGCTAGGATGCATGAAGCTTTCTGCGGTTTAGAAGCCAAATCATTCTGGTGGTTTAACCTATGCCAGGTAAGAGAGAGAGAGGAAAAGAGGAAGAAAGTAAGGAGAGATTCCTAAGGCCCTTGCTCGCCTTATGGAGTGAAGTAAAGCAGAGATGGGAATGCCCAGCCTTCTAGCCACCACATCCAAGAGGACAGAGCCTGTGAAAGCCCAGTGGGGATGATGAGAAACATTACAAGTCTTTAAATCAAGCTGGAACAGGTACTGGAATATTTTCTGAGTCAAACAGCATTCAGTCCACTCATCAGAGTCATTCTTTATGACTCAAATGTTTATGGCTTCAAGTTAGCAACACAAAGTTAGTGTCTCCCCACCGCCTTTTAATTTTTTTATTTTTTTAGGCTAGTCAAGTGAAGCAGCGGGCGTGGAGAAGGAACAAAAAAATCTGTAACTGGTTGTGATCAATTCGTTGTAGATACCATTGCACTTGGACCAGCCCCCCTACTCACCTTTTTTCCAAGACGGAGTCTCACTCTGTTGCCCACACTGGAGTGCAGCGGCACAATCTCGGCTCACTGCACCCTGCACCTCTTGGGCTCAAGCGATTCTCCTGCCTCAGCCTCCTGAGTAGTTGCGATTATAGGCGTGTGCCAGGACACCCGGCTAATTTTTGTATTTTTAGTATAGACAGGGTTTCACCATATTGTCCAGGCTGGTCTCGAACTCCTGACCTCGTCATCTGCCCGCCTCAGCCTCCCAAAGTGCTGGGATTACAGACTTGAGCCTCCACACCTGGCCTCGCCTTTTTTTTTTTTTTTCAAACCAGGTTTCCACTCCATGCCTCCATCCATCCCTTACCTTCTTGCTTCTTGCCACTTGCCCTTCAGATTCACACACTCCCTGGAAGAACATCCCCAGGAACAAGCACCAACTAAGCCATCAAGGCCTACTGGGTGGAGACAGACTTTGCCCTGGATGCCGTCTGGAGAGACGGTGGACATGTGTGGGCTCTGTTCTGTAGTACCTGTGCCAGCTCACCCAGGAAAGTTATGAGATGATGGGGTATGGGGAGAGGAAAGCCCCAGTCTGGGTTTATAATTGAGGTGATACACCTAGAGGTTTCACAATAGTAAACAAAAGAGGAGGTGTTGAATGAGATGGTGCCTTCAGCAAGGGAGAGGGCACAGAGCCCGGAGAGCCCACTAAGTCCTCTCTCCACCCTTGGAAAAACCTGAACGTGAGAATGCGCAGCTGTCTCCCGATCCTTTGATAAAGTGCAGCGCCCTGGAGTCCTTCAGAGTGACCCAGTACTGAGCCTCTGGGGTGGCTGGCACCACTGCCTAACAAGGGCAATTTTACGAAATGCCCGCTTGGCATCCCGTGTGATACTCTCACTTAGGAGCTTCTGTAGCTTGGCAGAAACTGGGAACCCAAAGCTTTAGGGAGTGGACGCATGAGAATTTTCTGGCCTCAATCTCTTACAGTTTCTTGGGCTCCTGCCACCGTACTGGTATTTGATTTAGAGGCCTAAAAGGGAAATCAGTCCCACGTGGGTAGATAACAAAACACTCTCCACCTTGGGCTCATGGAGTGGAATTTGAATATGAAGCCAAAACTCCTATCTCTGCCTGCTTCACTAATTACATAAATTTCCTTGCTACATTCTGCAGCTGTTTGTATGAATACAGCGCTGGTTCCCAGAGTGGTCCATCTCAACGCAAAGGTTCAGGGGCTCAGGGCACTCATCCCTGGGCTGCAACCCAGACTCCAGTGTTAGTTGTATGTCTGTTGGGTGTACCAGGGGACCCTGGATTTGTTTCTCTCTGTCATAAAATGAAGCTAAACAAACTACCTAACCTGTCTTATGATGCAGAGGTGTCAAAGAAAAATAAGACAGAGGAAAAAAAGAGGAGAGATGTGTGGCGGGCGGGGGGGGGGGGGGAGGGTGGTGGTTGTGAACATTAACTCTAGCAATAAAGATTACTGAGGAACCTTAATGAAAAGCACTGGAAGAAAAGCAGGGCTAGATCTGGAGGGAAGTATCTGTCCCTCCCTTTAAAATGTTCCAGATTTCACTATGGGAAAGCTTCACAGATATCACAAGATACTGTTTGACCCGAGGAAGAACAAGCACATATTACTGGATGCATTTCCTCTTCTCTTACCTGTCTCAGAACCTCTCGCCAGCCTTGTCTAACAAGATTCACCTTTGTTTTCATAGGCGTCACAAAGTTAGGGTCAAGGTACAATTGAATAATCATGAATTTTCCCCAAATACACAAATGATTTCAACACAACCGTTTCTAAATTAAAATCAACTGTAGTTACTCCAAGTAGAGCAAATGCATTGTAAAATACTGTTTCTTTTGTTTATTATGTAGAAAGATGAACAAGTTTCACTGAATATGGCTCCCATAAATAAGTGTACACTTAACAAAAGTCAGACACACAATTAACCCCTCTTGATGATATGGGGTGATTGGGCGGGGACCCCAGAGATACACTATGGTTAAAAACATGGGCTTTTATATGACACACAGATGAACCAATAAAAATGTGACCTCTTGACATATATAAAAAAAGCTGTCTTGAGTTTCTCTCATTGAAATATCTGAAGGCTTTAAAACTTTAAACAAAGCCCAGCTGGTTTGTATGCACAAGTTCCAAACCCTGAAATATTCCCATGATATCTCGTTTCAAACAATTCTACTTCAAAGAATTCTACTACTGTAAACTAGTGAGTAAACTAAATGAGTAAGTTTTCCCTTTTAAAATGTGCTTTATTTTTGTTGTAAAGCATGTTGTGTGGTAAATAGAAATTGAGAGGAAAAAACGTCAATTGCCCTAGTGGAAGAGGAAAAGAAATATTATGATTCCAAGTGTAATAAAAATTATAAAAGCTAAGTTTCCATGCAGAGTGTGAAAGAATCTCCAAGGATTTACATTCAGATAGAATTTAATTATAGCCACCCTGTTAGCATTTAAATTCTAGAGCTCAGGATAGCATTTTTGAAGACATCCCTTTTTAGACCTCTGCCCCGACAATATAGTTATTTTTGTGAGGCAACAGGCTGCTTGACCCTTCTTCAGTCAGCTTAGATTAGTTCAGTTAGCCTATGATTTGGGAGCCAATAAAAAGTAGGTGTGTGGTGATTACCAAAGATTTCTTATTTTTCAAATGCTAAATTACCCTTAATCACTGCCTTTTTTTGTTCCTCACCTGCTTATTCCAATTGTCCCCTCTGAAGCTATGCATTAGCAGGCTCTCTCTTACAAAAACACATGTTCTTCCCTGTGGTAAATTTTCGTCTGTTCCCAAACTCCTTCAAGGCTCAATTTCACTTTTTGCTCCTGTACTTTCTCTAACCCCGCCTACTCAAATTGCACGTATTCTTTTTTTTCTTTTTACTGTCAAAGATTATTTGAGTCCTTAATGTCATAGAGTATTTCAGACTTGTTTGCTTATACCAAAAAAGGGAAAAAGATAGTTTCACTGGGTAACCGGTTTTCATTTGTAAGTTATGGTGCAGAGAAGTAGGTATCCTGCCTCTTATGGCTTAGGTAATTAAGTTTGCAGGGTCAGCGTGACACGCATGACAAAGTTCCAAAAAGTCCCCGGTAAATCAGTCTCAAGGTTCTGCGTGAACACCATCAGCACAATTGTTTACACTTCCTGTCTGAGAATCAGATTTCAGACGTTGCAGTTAATCCTGGAATTTTACTCTAACCTTCATACTCGGAAAAAAAAATCACAAAGGCAATAGACAGTGGCTATTCTGCCTATCCCGAATGTATTCTCGGAAAATATACATTGACTTTAACAAGGTTTCCATTTTCAAAGGGGCAAAGCATAGGGTTGCCCCTGGATAAATCTAGTAGTTATTAGGCGCTGGCTGGATCCTACTGAGGGATGCTCTGAGCTAGCCTTCCACCTAAAATCCCTGACTTTTTGAGTTGCGAACATTCTCTTTAGCCACATCAGATACAGGGACACTTGGAATTTTCATAACCTTTCATTCTAGAGTTTATAAATGTGGACACCCACCCTTTCCTCCCCCTAACCAGTATGATTACGCCCTGGAAGGAAGGGATGGGAAGTGTGTGCATGCGCAGCCCGCCAATGACTCAAGAGTCAGAATTTCCGAGAGAAAATATTTGATAGGTTTTGCCAGGCTTTGGTGGGAAGGAAAAGAAGAGTTTTCATCAGGGCAACTCACACAACAGAACAATGTAAAGCATAGTGAGAGCTAATATATAAAAAGCATCTGGTACACCCAGCGCACTCTCACCTTGTAACCTTGTAATTATTTAGCACAGCAGGAAGAAATTCAGAACAAAACAAAACTATGTACTCAGGATACTGTATGTGAATGTAACTTGGATCCTACGGGATGACATTTTGGCCATGATATTCATGGCAGAAAGTTGCTATAGGACTCAGCTTGGAGTAAGGGTTGAAACAGTTGTTAACAGTAAGCTTAATAATATATTAAGCAAGCTAACTTCCCAAAAGAAAAGAATAATAATCTATTTTAAAGATTATTAATCTTGAATACTGTCGCCACATCTTTGCTGGTTTGATGGGTTGATGTACCTTGCTGATTAAGCAACAAGAAAATAAATTGTCACATTTGTCTCCAATTTTTAAGTTGGCAAATGAGGGATATATCTAGAATAAATTTAAAGAACAGATTTTTTTCAAATGTCTAAAAAATCAAGACTCAGAATGAAAAATGAGATAGAATGAGTTTCCAGTGCATTTATTTAAAAATATTTCACTCTTATAAAATAAAAACTAGTTAGAAGGTTTCTCATTTCACTTTATGAGCTTTCGGCTCATAGCGAATATATTCAGTTAAAGTTACTACCAACCTACAGCTCTGAGTTCTTTTATTCCTCATGTGAACTATTAAATGTGATCTTTATTGCATTTTCATTAATAAGTAATATTTAGCAGGAGACCTCAGATTTGGGGGTAATTCTAAATTAGCAAAATTTTTATCAGAGTCATAATGAAGACCCTCAAATTGCAACTTAATATAGCAAACAATATTACTTTAAAATATATGGGAACTTATCAAATATTAGAATATTTAAGTTTTATTTAACTAAAAGCATGTATCTCAATATTTTATTAATTAACTTCCTGAGGCACTGAAGATACCTACTTTGGTGAACATGTTTTTTTAAAAAAATAGATTTAAATTATTGTTTTAGCCTAAAAATGTATAAACTAGAACATTTATTATAATTACAGTACTTAAGACTCTAAAACTAAGAATGTTAATGTCCAACCATATCTTTTATTTTTCATTTGCTTTTTGGTGGAGGTGGTTTTGTCATGTGCTCACCATAAAAAACCTACAGGCACCAGGATATTTACTGAAGCAATAAAAAACTGGATACATTATAAATGACCATCAACAGAAGACTAGTTAAATAATTAGGATATAGCCATATAATAGAATTCTATGCATACTTTAAAAGAAATTGAGTACATTTATACACCGATATGGAGACATTCGCTTTAAAAAAAAAAAAAAGCAGCGCAAGTTGTAGAAAGTTTGCATAGAAATTAGTGAAGAAAAAGGGTGTGTTTAAATACAAGTATATACGTTACAGAATGAGAATGCCTAGGATATGACAGTAATTGCATAGAAAATGATTTGAATGATACTACCTCATATACGAAAGTTTCACTTTTGAGTTTATTCAATTCCATATTATTTGAATTTTAAAAACATAAGTTTTTTAAATTTATAAAAAACAGTGATTGCTATAATAGGATTCCCTTATCTACCTATCAAAATTTTAATAGCGCTTATTTCTAAGTGAAAAATTGAGTCGTTTTTCTATTTTTTCTTCCTTGATCATCTATATAATCTATTGTTTACATTAAATATGAGTGTGCAATAAAGTATTGAGAGGTGACAACATGCTAGCAGCCCTCGCTCGCTCTCGGCGCCTCCTCAGGCCTCAGCGTCCACTCTGGCCCCGCTTGACCAGCCCTTCAGCCCGCTGCTGCACTGTGGGAGCCCCTCTCTGGGCTGGCTGAGACCAGAGCCAGCTCCCTCTGCTTGCCGGGAGGTGTGGAGGGAGAGGCGCCAGCAGGAACCGGGGCTGCGCACTGGCACTCGTGGGCCAGCACGAGTTCCGGATGGGCTCGGGCTCGGCAGGCCCCGCACTCGGAGCAGCTGGCCGGCACCGCCGGCCCTGGGCAGTAAGGGGCTTAGCACGCAGGCCAGCAGCTGCGGAGGGGGCGCCGGGTCCCCCAGCACTGCTGGCCCGCAGGCGCCATGCTCCAATTCTCACTGGGCCTCAGCCACCTCCCAGCAGGGCAGGGCTCCCGACCTGCAGCCGGCCATTCCTGAGCCCCCACCGCAGCGGGCTCCCGCAGGCCCGAGTCTCCCTGATGGGTGCCTCCCGCTGCTCCATGGTGACCACCCGAGGGCTGAGGAGCGCAAGCACCTGGTGCGGCCCTGGCACGGGATCCACTAGGGGAAGCCAGCTGGGCTTCTGGGTCTGCTGGGGACTTGGAGAACCTTTATGTCTAGCTAAAGGATTGTAAACACACCAATCACCACCCTGAGTCTAGCTCAGGGTTTGTAAATGCACCAATCAGCACTCTGTATCTAGCTAATCTGGTGGGGACTTGGAGAACCTTTGTGTCTAGCTAAAGGATTATAAACACACCAATCACCACCCTGTGTCTAGCTCAAGGTTTGTAAACACACCAATCAGTGCTCTTGTCTAGCTAATCTAGTGGGGACTTGGAGAACCTTTATGTCTAGCTAAAGGACTGTAAATACACCAATCAGCACTCTGTGTCTAGCTCAAGGTTTGTAAACACACCAATCAGCACTCTGTGTAGCTCAGGGATTGTAAACGCACCGATCGGCATTCTGTGTCTACCTCTAGGTTTGTAAACACACCAATCAGTGCCTTGTGTCTAGCTAATCTAGTGGGGACTTGGAGAACTTTTACCTCTAGCTAAAGGATGGTAAATGCACCAATCAGCACTCTGTGTCTAGCTCAGGGATTGTAAACGCACCAATCAGCACCCTGTCAAAACAAACCAATCAGCTCTCTGTAAAATGGACCAATCAGCAGGATGTGGGTGGGACCACATAAGGGAATAAGAGCAGGCTGCTGGAGCCAGCAGTGGCGACCTGTTTGGGTCGTTTTCCACACTGTGGAAGCTTTGGTGTTTTTAAGTTTCTGCATTAAATCTTGCTGCTGCTCGCTCTTTGGGTCCACACTGCGTTTATGAGCTGTAACAGTCACTGTGAAGGTTTGCAGCTTCACTCCTGAGGCCAGTGAGATCGCAAACTCACGGAGAGGAATGGAGAGCTCTGGCCGGGAGGAGAGAACAACTCCAGACGCGCCACCTTAAGGGCTGTAACACTCACAGCGAAGATCAGCAGCTTCACTCCAGAAGCCTGCGAGACCACGAACCCACCAGAAGGAAAAAAACCCTGAACACGTCAGAACACCAGAAGGAACAAACTCCAGACACACCATCTTTAAGATCTGTAACACTCACTGCGCGGGTCCGCGGCTTCGTTCTTGAAGTCAGTGAGACCAACAACCCACCAATTCCAGGCACAGTATGAATGTTAAAAATTTTAAGGAAGAGCATAGGGTATTTCCACAAAGCGAAAATGAAAATATGCGGAGGCAACATGCTAAGAAGAAAATATACCTTAAAGTCTGTTATGGTCAAAGTAGTTACAAAGTTTCATTAAGTCATAAACTTAAATTCTTCTAACCAACTAATTCTCTAAGGCAAAAATGGCAGCAGCTTTTCAGATAATTGACCAAGTTATGGTTGGTTGCTTTTTTTTTTTTTTTCTTCCCCAGAGACAGGGTCTCAGTCTGTCACCCAGGCTAGAGTGCAGTGGCAAGATCATGGTTTGCTTCAGCCTTGACCTCCCCAGACTCTGGTGCTGTTCCCATCTTAGCTACCAACCCACCCCCAGTAGCTGGGACTATGGGCCCAAGCCACTGTCCCTGGCTAATTTTATTATTATTATTATTATTGGTAGAGGTGGTGTTTCTCCACGTTGCCCATGCTTCCATTTGTTAAGCATAAAGAAAATACAACATTCATTTTTAAAAACTTATATTTGAATGGCATTAGCACACCTTCGGAAAGGTTGCCTCAATATTTCATGGAAATTAAAACCACTGCTTCATTAACTAAGAATAATTCATAATCCACTAAATAAAGACGCTTTAATTAAAGCTTTATTGAGATACCATTGACATTATTCAAACATATTGAGTCATTTTTTTGGGTTATATAAACTCAGAATTACAGAGTTTAATCCAAAATCTTTGCAGGTGAACCAAAAAGAATGATTTGTGTCTATCAAGAGAAGCATGCAAAGTTGTTAACCACCATTAGCAATGACTAGATGGTAACTTCTGGGTCATTTCAGAACACTTCTTACGGACTTTGGAAAACCTGGCACTGCTGCCACTTTTTGAAGGCTCTGGACTTTGTCTAAAGAACCAACCTGTGCCCCACAAAGCATGCCTAAACTTACAAGTACAGTTGTGCACTCAAAGCAACCCTGAGACTGTATTTAGTAAACATGGAGGGGAAGTTCATACTGTCCAATTAATATGAAACTATAAAAAATGGGCAATCCATAATATGACACAGCAATAGATAGAACACAACCATATTTTTCTGGGATGGAATAAATCGCAGAGATCTGTTCCTGCAGGAACAGGGTCTGAATGCAACAGCATTTATTCATAACATACATTATGCAGCCTTACCACTTTCTTTTTTTAAAAAAAATAACTTTTACCGACAATAAATGTAAATGGTATAAAATTTTAAAGGTGTAATATAGTATGGAATAAAAAGTCTTTCCCCAACCCCTGTCCTTCAGACACTCAGGTTTTCTTCACATCATTTTCATTTTGTTTTCTACTTTTAAATCTTTGATACATTTGAAAAATACTTGGGTGCAAAGAGTAGGCTGGGGTCAACTTCTTTAGTTTCTGGATGGCAATCAAGGTAGCTCAAGCTCAGATACTGATTAATCATTTCTCTTTTCTTCCGTTGATATGCAAAGCTACAGTCAATTAAATCTAAATTCTTTTTTCTTTTTCAGTCCATTTCTAGACTGACTAATTCCATTGATTTGAAAATGCAGATTACACTTAAGCACACACAGAGGCTTTAGAGCCTGAATCCCTGGGTTGGAGTCTCAGTTCTACTGTTTACCACCTGTATGACCTTAGGCAAGTTGTTCAAATTCTGCCTAAATTCCTCATCCATAAAACGGTGATATTAATAATCATAAGATTGTTGTGGGGACTAATAGTTGAAAACACTTCAAAAGTGCATACATAGTACTGAATGTGTATTATCATTATGCTGAAAATTCGCTGTTGGTGTTTTTACTGGTAATTCATTAAATTGACAGAGTGAGGAAGACTGACATCTGTAAATGCTGAGTCTTCCCATGTAAACATCATATGTTTTATGTTTTCGAGTCCACTTTCTTCAGACATCTGCCCACAGATCTTTACCCGTGTTTTATAAGGATTCACATTCTCCTCTTGTAATTCAACTTCCCCAGATATTTCATCATCATATGGTTCCAATTCCTGTAATTCCTAGTTATTACCTCCCAACTACCCTGTTCCATCTGTAGACATCTCTTATCCAAGACACTTCACTGAGGGCCTTGACTACAACCTGTCCCTAATAGAATGTAGCAAGTTGTATTTCTTTAAAACATCTGAGCTTCACTATTACTTATGAAGGCTCATGCATTTTTAAGGCCAGTATTTTCTCCAGGGAAGAAAGTTCTCTGTTGAAATATTTTTCTGGATGTGAAGTCTGTTTGTAGAAAGCATCTTGAGAAATCAGACCCCTCAGTGAGATTTTATGCTTGAAGCCTTTATCTGAGTTTTTGTTTCATGCACATTAAACTGTTACTGAAAAGCACGGGTCCTTTAGAGTTCAGGGGGAAAGTGTTTATGAAGATCTAAGACTGAGTTAAAGACAAAGCCATAGCCAGAGGCCTGGTTTCCTGCAAAGGAGGAAGTCCCCACTAATATGTCATGCTTCTGTCTAAGAGGATATTAAAGCCATCGCAGGCTTCTGTGTTTACTGCCAGTCATGTGTCTCACAATCCCTGTCTGTACCAGGGAGTCACATGATAAGGGTTACACACCATGGCTCATCCATAGCTCCTTGTTAAGGGCAATACAGTGAGTAATTACAGTATTGGCGACAAAGAAAAAAAAAGAGAGACAATGAAACCCTTATTATTAGTTACCATCTCCCAATCACTGTCTAATGTAATTTGAAGAAAAAAAATACACCTTGAAAGGAATAATGAAGCCTGCTGGGCAAGCCATTGCAATACTTAATTTTAAAAGAAAACACTCATTAAACTTTTTTCTTATAAAAAAAGGGCATTACAAATAGATGTAATGTGAGAAGCCACAGGGCCTCCCCAGACGCAACCCATAGTGCTGTCTTTCTTCTCCATTTCTTTTAAGCTGTCTAAGAGGGCTGGAGAAACATATATTCACCCGCACATACACACATATATGCATCCCAGACCACAAAAGACATTCAAGTGGTGTCGGTTTTATGGGCAATACAACACCCTTCAGAGACAAATGGCTGATGTAATACTGGCCCAGAGCTGACAGATCTTGAGAAACGCCTATTATTTCCTTGAGAAGATTTCTTTAAACAAAGTATGTGGTTACCAGCAGAATGAAGTCTCAGTTTTGGATTTTGAGAGTAATTCATTTAGGCAAGTATTCCCCAACCCAGTGCAAACAAGAGGCCTGACGCCCCCAGGAGCTGTTCATGGAGCTTTGGTCTCACAATCACCTGTTTTATTCCAGCCTTAACCAGTGGGGACTAAAGTTTGTTTATAGCTCATTCTTTCTTAGGTACAGATGTTCTTCCAACTGCTCCTAAGGCTGGCCAAGTACACAGGTTCTCTTTGCCTTTCTGAAGATAGGGGGAATGTCATCAACTATAAAAGAGAACGTGAAAAATATTAATGTTGGTCATGCTTGGGCAGGAAGAGTGAAGGTACAGATGGGTCGGGATAGAGCCAGGAAGAAGGACCCTAATCAGATTTTATAGACTGAGATGAGGAATAGACACAGAGAGGGCAAATACTATATTTTTATGACCTGACAATTAGCAGGGGATTGGCTCAATACAGGGCTAGGGAGCAACAAAAGATGTTGAGTTAAATAGTTTGTCCGAGGGAAAGACACAGACTGCTTCAGAGCAAGTTCTGGGGGTAGGAAATGAGAAGAATATTAATGCCCAGAATACAATGAGGCACCAGAGTTGCCGTTTTAAAATTTCAGAGAAATTGAAGGAAAAGAACAGAGCTCATATATGAACAAGGAGCTAGGAAAAAGAGCTTGATTCCAGGGTGGGATGTGAACTAGGAAGGGCAAATGGAGGAGTTTTGAAAGTTTACTTGAGTTAAGCTCTCTCAGGATAATAGAATTGAGATTGTGCCTTCTGTATTTTGATTGATTCTGCTGAGAGATTTCCAAACAGTATCATAAAAATATTATTGGCTGGGCGCAGTGGCTCACACCTGTAATCCCAGCACTTTGGGAGGCCGAGGTGGGCAGATCACGAGGTCAGGAGATCGAGACCGTCCTGGCTAACACGGAGAAACCCTGTCTCTACTAAAAATACAAAAAATTAGCCGGGCGTGGTGACGGGCAGCTGTAGTCCCAGCTACTCGGCAGGCTGAGGCTGGAGAATGGTGTGAACCTGGGAGGCGGAGCTTGCAGTGAGCCAAGATCGCGCCACTGCACTCCAGCCTGGGAGACAGAGCAAGACTCCATCTCATAAAAAATAAAAAAGAAAAAATTATCACCTCATTACTGGCCAGCTAGGTGTTTGCTGTCAAGTAAATGCATAGAAGAATGAGAAGGGAGAGCATAGAGCCTAAGAACTTTAGGTTAGGCTTTTAGACAGAAAACAACAACAACAACAAAAACAACCCTCTCAAGCCTGCAGATGTTACCAAGGAGGAAATGCCAGCATGCCTGTGTCCCATTTGTGTAAAAGACACACACACATACACAGGATTTAGTTGGTCAGCTTCTCCTTACAGGCCCTGCATAGCTGTTAGTGGCCACGAAATCAAAATTGTGTGTGCTCCATGGAATACTATGCAGCCACAAAAACGAACAGAACCCTGTCTTTTGCGGGAATGTGGATGGAGCTGGAGGCTATTATCCTCAGCAAACTAACAGGAACAGAAAACCAAATACTGCATGTTCTCACTTGTAAGTGGGAGCTAAATGATGAGAACTTATGGACACAAAGAAGGGAACAAGAGACACTGAGGTCTACTTGAGGGTGGAGGTAGGAGGAGGGAGAGGAGCAGAAAAGATCACTATTGGGTACTGGACTTAATTCCTGGGTGATGAAATAATCTGTACAACAAACCCCTGTGAATATGAGTTTACCTATGTAACAAGTTTACCTATGTCACCTGCACATGTACCCCAGACCTAAAATTAAAAAAAAAAATCAAACATCTTATCACACACATGCAACACACAGCACAACACAAAACAGTACATCATTTCTATAGAGAGGAAGAATACAACAATGGTTTGTTGTCAAATCTCAGGTTAGTAATAAATGCTTTTCTTCTTTTTTTGAGATGGAGTCTTGCTCTGTTGCCCAGGCTGGAGTGCAGTAGTGCGATCTCTGCCACTGCAACCTCCGCCTCCCGGGTTCAAGCCATTCTCCTGCCTCAGTCTCCCGAGTAGCTGGAACTACAGGCGCCTGCCACCACGCCCAGCTAATTTTTGTCTTTTTAGTAGAGACGGGGTTTCACCATGTTGGCCAGGATGGTCTCAATCTCTTGACCTCATGATCCGCCCGCCTAGGCCTCCCAGAGTGCTGGGATTACAAGCGTGAGCCACCATGCCCAGCCAATAAATGCTTTTCTGTGGCTAGCCAAAAAAAAAATAATAATAATAAGTATGCTGTACCTTGAGATCCCACACTCTCAAGCTCAGAGCATGCTGGACAGTACTGTTCGAACCTTGGTCCTGGTTGGAGTAGAACTGCTTCATTATACACTTAAATTCCAGATAAGAGTGCCTGCCCGCTCCAGAACTGTGAAATATGCAGATTCACATGGTCAGTATCAGCCACAGATCTGAAAATCAGTATGAAAGAACTTTCTTTTCCAGTTTTCAGATTCGAAATGAGTGAGAGAAGGAACACAAGCTACTGGGATAGAAGAATGTGACCCCAATGCTGTTAGCACAGAGAAATACTCAATTCACTTGAAAAGGGGAAAAAGAAATCCACACATACTAATTTAGGGAAGTTCACTGGTGCTTCATTCATCATTCATCTTCAGTTTTGTAGTGGAGATTTATTTAGGTCAGAGTTTTGGGTGAGATCCCTCGCTCCCCCAGGAGACTGGCAGTCTTACTTAGAAACTAGGTTCTAAGGAAGAATCTAAATGATACAGCTGATAGATTCAGTTCTATAATGGCCTAGCAAGGACAAAGAATATTTTTTTGTTACTGATGAATGGTTCCTAGGTACAGTTAGACAAACCAGGGCAAATGAAGAAAAATATATATACATTGTGAGCTGATTGATTTCATTTTCAACACGGTTTAGAGAAGCTTTTGTCTTCCACTTGCCTAAATTTAGATTGATCATCCCAGAGAGATTTAAAATTTATACTACATTAGTCAGCATTCCTTCATTCTTCCTAAATGCCATGCAGATGTCAAAGCATTATTTAGAAACAGAGCTCTATTCGGGCCCAGTCAAGTCAACACTAACCAGAAGTGTCCTTTGGTTTCTAAATTAAATTTCCTGGTTTGCTTTTCCTTGTGACTTTCTGTGAAGAATATTATAAACCTTGCCATAACTCTTATCTTGGACTTTATCCTCTCAACTTTAAGCATTCTAATAGCACAAGCAATAGTAATGATGTCAACTTTTTAAAAACACAGAACTGAAATAAATATGGAAGCTCCCTGTGTAAGATGCCATATAATAATAAAGTTGATATTAATATTGGAAAGTAGCTATTCCTTTACAGATCAAATTACTATGACTACTATTATTATTAATAATATTAATATTATTTGGCTTTGACAATACAAAGAAGAAAATAGGGCCAATTTGGTGATTATTTCTAATAACTTACAAATTTAGATATTAAAAAGTTATTATTTTTAGTATCACTAGCTCACTAGTTATGGAACTTTTCAATAATAACACTACAATAGAGGGTAACTAGTACTGATTAAAAAAAAAGAGTCCTTTTAAAACATAAGCAAAATATCAGTGTGATATTACTACAACTATTACGTATTACAGTGTATTTTTTTTTTTTTTGAGATGGAGTCTTGCTCTGTTGCCCAGGCTGCAGTGCAGTGGCACAGTCTAGTCTCACTTCGGCCTCCACCTCCCGGGTTCAAGTGATTCTCCTGCCTCAGCCTCCCGAGTAGCTGGGACTACATGCACACACGACTATGTCCGGCTAATTTTTTTGTGTTTTTGGTAGAGACGATGTTTCACAATGTTGGCCAGGCTGGTCTCGATCTACCTTGTGATCCACCCGCCTCAGCCTCCCAAAGTGCTGGGATTACAGGTATGAGCCACTGCGCCCGGCCCTACAGTATATTTTAAGAGACTATGATATATACATTATGAGGCACAATAATACAACACCATTAACCCACCACGCAATGAAGAACTAGAATATTCTTTCCTGTTAAAGTTACCCCCATGCTCTTCCCTAACCAGTTTCCTTGGCTTGCGTCAGAGGAAATCATAATCCTGAATATTGATCTTATATTCCCTTCATATTTTATTAAATTGAAAATTATGTAAGCTCTTTATTTTTAGCTTTTATATTTCATTCAACATTGTTTCAAAGATTTATCCACGTTGTTGCATGTAGCTATGCTCATTTATTTTCACTGCTGTGTAATATTCCACTGTGAAAATATACAATTTTTAAAGATCTATTCTTCAGTTGATGGACATTTGGATTATTTCCAGTTTTTCCTAATATAATGCTGCTGTAGATATTTTTAGTTGTTTGGAGTTTCTCTAAAGAAACAGTTTCCCTAGTACATCCCTTAGAGTAGAATTGCTAGATCATAGCATAATTAGTGTTTAGCTTTAATGTGAATGTAAAATTTTTCTTAAGAAGTTGTAGTAACACACCTTTCTATGAGAAATATACACGAGTTCTCATGGAGAACTTAGCATTTTAAAGTATAAACTTAGTATACGTTTATTCACTGTATGTTTTCTATGCCCAGTTATATCTTTTGTCTAATTTTATTTATGTTCTTTTATTTTTAAATTCTTTGTTTTGCTTTTTTATTCTTTTGTGCTTTTTCTGAACTGGGTGCTTAGTTTTTAGACTTTCTTCTTTGCTAATATAAGCAATTAAGCTTATATGTTTCATCAGATACTGGCTCTGCTATCTCTCATAAGTTTAAATAGGTACTACTTTCACTATCATTTGGAATTTTAAAATTTTCAGTATGATTTCTCCTCAGTTCATGAGATATTTAGTACTTTTTCAAATTATAAATGAAAGTATTTATAATTTATAAATACTTTTGTTTTTGATTTTTAATTTATTGCATTTGGTCAGAGAATGTGGCCGTTCTAATTATCTGTTGCTGCATAACAAAATACTTCAAGGCAATGGCTTAAAACAATAGCAATCAGTTATTTTGCTCATGGATCTGAGTGTTTACTGGACATGGCTAGGCAGTTCTTCCTTAGGGGTCTGTATTAGTCAAGGTTCTCCAGAAAAACAGAACCAGTAGGACAGATAAATAGATAGATGGATGAGAGAGAATTTATTTTTATTTAATTTGTTTATGAGGCAGAGTATCGCTCTGTTGCCCAGGCTGGAGTGCAGTGGTGCAATCTCGGCTCACTGCAAGCTCTGCCTCTCTGGTTCACACCATTCTCCTGCCTCAGCCTCCCGAGTAGCTGGGACTACAGGCACCCACCACCACGCCTGGCTAATTTTTTGTATTTTTAGTAGAAGCGGGATTTCACTGTGTTAGCCAGGATGTTCTCGATCTCCTGATCTCGTGATCTGCCTGCCTCGGCCTCCCAAAGTGCTGATATTACAGGCATGAGCCACTGTGCTGGGCCCGAGAGATAATTTATTAAGGGAATTGTCTCACGTGATTACGGAGGCTGAGAAGTCCCATAATACACCATCCGCAAGGTGGAGAACCAAGGAAGCTGATAGCACGGCTCAGTTCAAGTCCAGAACCTCAGAACCAAGGAATCTGACAGTGGTAACTCTCAGTCTGAGGTTGAAGGCCTAAGATCCTGCAGGGGCACTGGTTCAAGTCTGAAGGCCAGAGAAGCTGGAGTTCTGATGTCCAAGGACATGACAAGATGGTGACCCAACCCCAGAAGAGAACAAATTTGCTTTCCTCTGTCTTGTGTTCTATCTGGGTGCTCAGTTGATTGGACAGTGCCTGTCCAAATTGGGTGAGAGATCTTTCTTAGTCCACTGATTCAGTCCTAAGTCTCTTTCAGAACCACCCTCATAAAGATACCCAGAAATGATACTTTGCCAGCTATCTGTTCAGCCCTTTTTACCCAGTCAAGTTGCCACCAAAAATTAACCATCACAGGGTCTCTCCGGCCGCTGCAGTCAGATGATAGCTGGGGTCAGCCTCTCTTAAAGCCTTCTCCATTCACATGTGCCTGCCCGGGGAAAACTCAAACAGCTCTGGGCTGAAACGGCTGGAAAACCTTGGCATGTCTATGTCTCTCTCTCTCTCTCTCTCTCTCTCTCTCTCTCTCTCTCAGCTTTTCATTTGGTCTTTCAACATCAGGGCCTCAGGGCAACCAAACTTCTTACATTGTAGCCAAAGACGCCAGAATGATTATCCCAAGAAAAAGTCACTGATGCTGGGTGTGGTGGCTCAGGCCTGGAATCCCAGCACTTTAAGAGGCTAAGGTGAGAGGACACCAATTTAGCAGGAAAAAAAAAAAAAAATCAACCAGGGTGATGGTGCACACCTGTAATTCTAGCTACTTGGGAGGCGGAGGAGGAAGGATCACTTGAGCCCAGGAGTACAAGGCTGCAGTGAACCGTGATCACACCTTTGCACTTCAGCTTAGGCAACAGATTGAGACCCTGTCTCAAAAAGAAAAACTCACTGAAGTTACCTGACCTTTTCTAACCTACCTAGGAAGTAACACAAAATCACATATGTCATATTTTGTTTATTAAAAGTCAAAAAGCATCACCTGGGTTCAGGGGAAGGGGACATTGACTCCACCTTTTGATGAAAGGGTTGCCAAAGATTTTCTGCACATGTTTTCAGAGCACAACAGCGGTCAGTATCATACCACCTATTTGAAATTTGCTGAGATTTAATTGATGGTTTAGTATATGGTCAGTGCTTTTGTTTTTTGTTTGTTCTTAATATCAGTAGCTTTGAAAATGTGTATGTTCTAACTGATGGATACAGATATCTATACATGATCATTAAAACGTTTTTATTGGGCTTGCACCCACCAATATGATATTGGTTAGTTTCTCCCTCTAATTCTGCCTTTTTTTTTTTTTTTGAGACGGAGTTTCACTTTTGTTGCCCAGGCTGGAGCGCAACGGCACAATCTTGGCTCACCGCAACCTCTGGTGTTCAAGTGATTCTCCTGCCTCAGCCTCCAAAGTAGCTGGGATTACAGGAATGTGCCACCACACCCAGCTAATTTTGTATTTTTAGTACAGATGGAGTTTCTCCATGTTGGTCAGGCTGGCCTCGAACTCCCAACCTCAGGTGATCCACCTGCCTCGGCCTCCCAAAGTGCTGGGATTACAGGCGTGAGCCACCTTGCCTGGCATGCCAGTTTTACTCTGTATATTTTGAGGTTTTGTTAGGGGTACATGGGTTCAGAATAGTTTTCTTTCCCTATTTTAGTTAAATAAACTTTTTAGTGTTGTGTAATAACCCTCTTTACCACTTAAAGTCTTTTTTGAATTAAAAACTTTTATTTCTCATAAATATGTAGTTATCCTAATTTTCCTTTTACTTTTAACCTTCTTATATCATAGTGTTATGATGTAGCCTAAGTAAGCACTATATAGCTAGATTTTTATTTTTATTATTAGAGATTCAGATATCTGGAGAACTCGGTTATGAAATTTAGCAGACTTTTCTAATCCTCTGTGTTGTTTTTGCCTTAATATATTTATTTTGTTAACCGTCTAAAAGATGACAACCAGTAGAGAAATAGCTGTTTGTTCAGGAACAGAAAATCTGTATAATAGAGATCAGATCTAATCCTTTCTCTACTGATAAATCCTCAAATATTAGTCTTTCACAACTAGTAAGTTGTATTAGTCCGTTCTTCACACTGCTATAAAGAAATACCCAAGACTGGGTAATTTATAAAGGAAAGTGGTTTAATTGACTCACAGTTCGCCACCGCTGGGGAAGGCTCAGGAAACTTACAATCATGGCGGAAGCTGAAGCAGAAGCAAGTAACTTCTTCACAAGGCGGCAGGAGCGACTGTGTATGTATGAGTGTGGGAAAAAGCTACCATTTATAAAACCATCAGATCTCGTGAGAATTCACTCACTATCACGAGAACAGCATGGAGAAACCACCCCCGTAATCCAATCATTTCCCAGTAGGTGCCTCCCTAAATACCTGGGGATTACAGTTCAAGATGAGATTTGGGTGGGGACACAAAATCTAACCATATCATAAGCCTTGTTGCTAGGTCTATTTTTTAAAATGTGTAATTCGTTGCCTTGCAGTTCCCCCAAAGTCCAGCTTAATTCAACTGAATCAATAAGAGATAATTGAGTTAGTTACACATGAAAAGCCAATCTTGGAAGATAGACGGCAGCTCCATTCTCCTGCTGACTATTAAAGTAAGTTAATGATCTGGAGCTGTGTAGGGGTTTCCAGAAATAGCTCTAGAATGGCCATCATGCTGTAGTTAGCAGCGAAGAAAGGGAACTGTGCTTTATTTTCCAGGCAATTGCCCGAACCCACCCCATAGCATCTTATTTTAGGACCAATCCACCAGAAAGAAAGAGCAACATACAGTTCAAATGAGCACAAAACGTCTCCTTAGTGGAAATAAACTCATGAGTGAGTCCATTCTTTTTTACTGACAAGGTGAAAGGCTGAAAATAGCCATCTTAGCATTGTACGTAGCTCTTGAAAACCTCACAGATTTTCCAGGATTGATTTATTAGTATTAATGGATATATATCTGCACACATACATATATTGCACTTACAGAAAATGTAAGTCAAAACATTTCTTAAAAACTCGGTGCCCTTAGATCTCTGCTAGCTTTTTAGCAGCTGGCTTTTTTTTTTTTTTTTTTTTTTTTTTTTGAGACAGACTCTTGCACTGTGTCACCCAGGCTGGAGTGCAATGGCGCAATCTCGGCTCACCGCAAACTCCACCTCCCAGATTCAAGTGATTCTCCTGCCTCAGCTTCCCGAGTAGCTGGAATTACAGGCATGCGCCACCATGCCCAGCTAATTTTGTATTTTTAGTAGTGATGGGGATTCCTCCATGTTGGTCAGGCTGGTCTCGAACTCCCGACCCCACGTGATCCACACGCCTCGGCCTCCCAAAGTGCTGGGATTACAGGCGTGAGCCACCGCACCCAGCCACAGCAGGCTTTTATAGAGGCCTCACTCTAAGCAAGGCATCTATATGTGATACTAGGGGAGAGAGAAAAATAAGACAGCTAGAATATTTTTTGAGTACATAATAAAATGTATAACTAAAAATAAAGCCAAAAACCCTATCTAGTAAATGACCTGTTTTGTAAATTAAATTTGTGTCTTCGCCTTTCTGGGGTCAAGCCCTATAGGAAAAACTACTTAAGTAAACTCCTAGTTAATAATTGAAAAGAACAAATAAGTAAGACCTTTAAATTTTGTTTGAAGCTTGTTAATTTTTATCATAAATTAATAAGCTTGAAAGGCAGATGACATACTAGTAAAAATATTTGTATAAGAAATGGCACATGGTTAATATCCCTAATATACATAATACTTACAGATCAACAAGCAAAGACAAAAATGCTTCATTGAAAAAAAAAAAAGTTGGCCAGGCACTGTGGCTCAACCTGTAATCCCAGCACTTTGGAAGGCAGAGGCAGGCGAATCGCTTGAGCCCAGGAGTTCAAGAAGAGCCTGGGCAACATGACGACACTCCATCTCTACAAATAATACAAACGTTAGCCAGGCATGATGATGCCCATTTGTACTCCTAGTTACTCCAGAGGCTGAGGTGGGAGGATCACTTGAGCCCAGGAGTTTGAGGCTGCAGTGAGTTATGGTCACACCACTGCACTCTAGCCTGGGTAACAGAGCAAGATCGTGTCTGGAAAAATATATAGATAGATATAGATATAGATATAAACTTGTTAAGAAAAAGAAAGAAAGAAAATATTTAACCATTATAAGCCAGACACAAAGGGGCAACTGTTGTATGATTCTGCCTATAGGACATACCTAAAATAGTCAAATTCCTAGGGACAGCAAGTGAAATAATGGTTACCAGGGGCTGGGGGAAGGGGAGAAAGAGGAGTTTATTGTTGAGCTTCAGGTGGGGATGATGAAAAAGTTCTGGAGATGGATAACGGTGATCGTCACACAATAACGTGAATGCACTGTACTTAATGCTACTAGACTGGACATTTAAAAATGGTTAAAATGGTAAATTTTATATTATGTATATTTGACCATGCCATTTAAATTAGCTAATTCAATGGGAAAGTAGCCTAGTTGCTTTTATGAAATAAAAAGTGATCACAATGTTTTACTTTCCACTTGTTTGATTTTTGTGTAGTCAGGGGACACACGAAAGAATCAGAGCTGTCCTTGGTAAAGACCAAATGGATGTTGGGGCTGGAAGCCAGAACTTTTGGGTTCATTTTCTGGCAGGGAGGCCTTGAGCTGATGACTTTAAATAAAATAGCCTTTAAAAGGAATTCCTACTGTCAATATAGTAAGTATCTCAGGAAAGCATGCTGGTTGATTTATCAAATCAGGACTAAGAATTCAGTACGTCCAAGCCCTCCATGGAGCTCCTTACAGAGCGCTATTAACAGAGCTGTCTCCACCAAGTGCCCTCTTCATGTTTATTTTAGTTTTGCCCAATACCCTGACTTTTCTAGGGTTTAGTAAATATTTGTTGAATGATGAAAGTACTATGCTGGGCTGGTTCATAGTTGGGGTTTAAAAGATTATCTGAAAATTAGATCACATTTTCCCAGGCACAACAGAATCTCAGACTCTCATTTTTTTTCTTTTCCTTTTTTTTTTTTTTTTTTTTTTTTTTTTTTTGAGACAGGGTCTCACTCTGTGGCCCAGGCTGGAGTGCAGTGGCACATTCTCAGCTTAATCCAGCCTCGACTACCCGGCTCAAGCAATCCTCCTTCCTCAGCCTCCCAAGTAGCTGGGAACACAGGCGAGCAGCATGCCCAGCTAATTGTTTTTTTATTTTTAATGTTGTGTAGAGATGGGGTCTCCTTGTGTTGCCCAGGCTGGTCTCAAACTCGTGGGCTTGTGATTTTCCCACCTTAGCCTCTCAAAATGCTGGGATTACAGGCATGAACTACTGTGCCCAGCTTCTCTCTCTTAAAAATATCACTGGACAACTAAATTAAACTTCCCTATATTTTGAACTTGCATTATTCAAAAGTTGTAATCAATAGAAGGTCTGAGTGAAGAAGAGACACACTCCAGTTAAAATTAAATGGTGGTGAATTAATTTTGCTGCCTAAGCCCCTTATTATTCTCCTCTTTCTTCATCCTACACTCCAGCATTTGGGTTTTGACAAATTCTGAAAAGGCTAAATACCAGGTAGGGTAGAGAGTGGGGGTAGGGGGAGAACCCAGATTGGGGTCACGAAAGCTTAACAATAAATGAATGTTTTAAGGACAGCCATTCAATTTCTAACTTAGTTACTTTCCTTAATTGAATACCATTTAAAATTATTTTCAAAACATTCTATTCTTTGTCGTATGTCCTTTGAACATTACAAATAAAAATTATCCCCCCTGTAATTTTGCAATGCTGCATTGAACACAAATTATAACATTTTCCAAGTGCAGAGGAGTCTGTTATTTCCTCAGGGAGAGAAATCAATTTCCAAAGAGATTGCCTGGCTCATATCACTAGAGCAGAGGTTTAAACTGGTTGCCCTAGGGCTAAGTAAAGCCCAAAGTTAAAATTAAGTGGAATGGATTTCCATTTTTTAAAATTAGTTGCCAGCATCTAAAAATTGAGAGATTTCATATACAAATATAAAATTATAGGGGTTCTGGAAAAAATCTTTCAGCTCTTGTTAAGACAGGTCAACAAGCCACTAAGCCCTAATGATGGCTGTCTTCTCAGAGGGGTCCTGAACCCCCCAGTTCTCAACATCCCACTAGGGTCAACTTTACTCACTATCATTGCCTGCCTAAGTGCCTGTCAGTGCTTTAGTGTTTTTTAACATATTACAGTGGGAAAAATGCAAGTGAGTATCCTTGGACAGTATCAATAATAACTAATATCAATTATTAAAATAGAGTAGGAACCAAAGCCAGTAGTCACTCAGGCTTCTGTCATGCAGTTTAGGAGTTAACTACGTAATCTTTCTTTCCATGCTAATACCACAGTTGAATGGGAAAACATCCAAATACAGTGGCCACGGATACCCCTGTGAACAGTCTCCAAGAAAGTGATGTCTGGCCAGGTGCGGTGGCTCACACCTGTAATCCCAGCACTTTGGGAGGCTGAGGCGGGCAGATCAGCTGAGATCAGGAGTTCGAGACCAGTCTGGCCAATGTGGTGAAACCCCATTGCTTCTAAAAATATAAAAGGTAGCCAGGCGTGGTGGCAGGTGCCTGTAGTCCCAGCTATGTGGGAGGCTGAGGCAGAATTGCTTTAAACCAGAGGCGGAGGTTGTAGGGAGCTGAGAACCCACCACTGCACTCCAGTCTGGGTGACAAGAGTGAAACTCCATCTCAAAAAAAAAAAAAAACAAAACCAAAAACTGATGTCCAAGCTGAAGAAAGAGCAAAAGAGCATGACAGGCAGTGAACAGCACAGGTCTTGTTGCCAAATCATGTTTTAAAAATCTGCCATGGAGAACAAATAAGTAACAACACCCCCATATAACAAAATGATAGGTTTTCATTTTGATGTATTGAAACATTTTCAGAGGACCCTAAGCTGTTGGCACTGAAACAGGCTACATTGAACAGGTAATTCCTGCCTCTTAGTTTAGCATCTCAAACCAAAATCTCACTGAATGCAGCTCAGCTAAAAAATCCCTTCTAACATTATCTAACGTTATCTAACATTAACTTCTAACGTATGACAGAGACAGATGAAACCTTGAGTGATGAGTTGAAGGTTAAATGAAGAGGAAGGACACTGAGGGGCCTGGGGACCCTAAGAGGTAAAGCGCCACTGTTTGTTGACACTCTTCATGATTTTTTCACTTTCCTTCCCCCGCTTGTAAAGGTTCCTCAGATTCACAAAGGGTAATGCCAAGGTCTTATTTTGTTTTAATCATCTCTTGGATGATGATTTAAATAGGATTTCATGTTTTAGTTCTAATAATGGTGGCTAACATTAATAAATGGTTATTATGTGTTAAGCACTTATGTACATTATTTTATTCAAGCCTCGTAAAACCCTCATGAGGTATGCACTATAACAACCTTCTTTTTTAAAGATGAAACTGAAGTTTTGAGAAGCTAAATAACATATTCAACTACACAGCCATGAAAAAAGAGAATGAAATAGACCAGGTGTGGTGGCTCACACCTGTAATCCCAACACTTTGGGAGGCCAAGACTGGCGGACTACTTGAGCCCAGGAGTTCAAGAGCAGCCTGAGCAACATGGCAAAACCCTGTCTCTACAAAAAATACAAAAATTAGCCAGATGTGGTGGCACGCACCTGTAGTGCCAGCTACTTGGGAGGCTAAGGTGAGAGGATCGCTTGAGCCTGGGATCCTCTTGTCCTCAGTGGGATGCACAGACATTCGGCTGCAGTGATCTGAGATTTCACCACTGTGCTGCAGCCTCGGCAACAGGGCGAGATGATCTCAAAAACAAGAATGAAATGATGTCCTTTGCAGCAACATGAATGCAGCTGGAGGCCATTATGTTAACCATATTAACACAGGAACCGGAAACCAAATACTCCATGTTCTCACTTATAAGTGGGAGCTAAACACTGAGTACTCATGGACATAAAGATGGCAACAAGACACACTGGGAACTACTAGAGTGGGGAGAGAGGGAGGAAGGGGAGAAGGAGTTGAAAAACTGTTAGGTACTATGATTAGTACCTGGGTGACTGAACCAATCGTACCCCAAACCTCAGCATCATGCAATGTATCTGCACATGTACCCCCTGAATCTAAAATAAAAGTTTAAATTATAACATAAACAAATAACATATTAATCATAAACCTAGTAAGTGGCCTGCTCTAAAAGTCCTGCTTTCAACCACCATTCTCTTAAGCGTAGCAGCTTTCAAAATGTAGCATGTCCATTTCTAAGAAGAGTGGAATTAAAGCTATACAAATTGGGGCTTGGCCCTTGTCACAGGCTGTGTCAATAGACCAAAGACTGAAAGAAGATGAGATTCAGGGAAGGTCAAACGCAAACCAATGCATCACCAAAAGAAAGGATTTTGGAGTTATTATTAGTATTATTATACAATGAGCAAACTACATAACATAATCTCCAGAGACATGTAATGAAATTAGAAAAGATCCAGGGACAGTGGCATCCATAATCAAGGAGAGAGGAATGGGGCTTGAATAAGAAGAGAAGTTTTGCCTGTTTTACTCTGGAAAGATGAATGCTAAGTGGAATAAAAAGACTCCTGGGAACCTAATTAAATTAGAATACAACTTTAACCAGCAAACAAAAAATATTAAGAACTTATTCTGAGAATTGGTGTATTTGGAGGGGAGATATTTAGAATATATTTTTAAAGTCTGAATTTTTAATAAATAAGATAAATTAGTATGTTTCGAAGGTGCACTCTTATTTTTTAAGTTTGAATATTACACTGCAGCCTGAGCGATCTTTTCAAAATGCAAATCCAATCACGGGATGCGTTCTTCCATTAAAATGGCTTCTCGACCGGGCGCGGTGGCTCACGCCTGTTATCCCAGCACTTTGGGAGGCTGAGGTAGGCGGATCACGAGGTCAGGAGATCGAGACCATCTTGGCTAACACAGTGAAACCCTGTCTCTACTAAAAATACAAAAAAATTAGCTGGGTGTGGTGGCGGGCACCTGTAGTCCCAGCTACTCGGGAGGCTGAGGCAGGAGAATGGCGTGAACCCGAGATCGTGTCACTGCACTCCAGCCTGGGCGACACAGCGAGACTTTGTCTCAAAAAAAAAAAAAAAAAAGGCTTCTCACTGTTTATCACTCCTAAGGACTTTCCTTAACATAGTCACGCAGGGGACTGAAACTTCTTGCTTTTACTTTCCTGGCCTCCCGTTGAATCACACTCCCCCTTGCTGGTGACGGTGGGCTCTTGGGCAGCTCCTCCGGCTCCCACACTCATGAGGGCAACTGCATCATCTTGGGCCAGATCAGATCTCCATTTCCTGGGCCCTCACAGCACCGCTTTTTCATACAACCCTGTTGCTTCCTCCCACCAGGCTGTAGCCTTTGCACCCTCAGCAGTTACCAGTAGGTAAAAAGCCTGGAAACATCTGTTGAACGGAGGAGTCCCATACCCTTTAGAGCTGAATTCTGCTTTGGGTAAATTAGGGAGCCAGTAGTGGAAGTTAGCTTATTTATTTATTTATTTTTGTACAGATGGAGTCTTGCTATATTGCCAACCCTGGTCTCAAGCTCCCGGGATCAAGCAATCCTCCCACCTCGGTTCCCAAAAGCGCTAGGATTACAGGTGTGAGCCACTGCATTCACCCAGCATTTTTGTTTTATCAAAATTTATGAGGGAAATGGGAGAAGAGTCTTCTGTATGTAAACTAAGATATCGCTATGAAACCAATAAGTTTTAAACTATAATTAAGAGACTAAATTCTCCTATTTGTATTTGCCCCATTTAAAAACAAATTGTGCCCTTCCCCAGCTCCAATATTACCTCCCTGCTTTATGTATCTCCATCAGACATACTCTATATATCTCATTTATTTTGTTTGTTATGCATTTTTCCCACGAGAAAGTAACCTCCAGGAGGGAAGGGATATTTGTCTCTTTTGCTCACTTCTGTATCTCCCAGTCTACAGCTGTGTTTGGCACATAGTAAATGCTCTTTCTGTATTTGTTGAATGAATGAGTTTAGTTCAGTAGTCTTCCTTGCCCAGAGATAGCAGGCAAAAACATCAATTAACCCCGAAGTAAATTTTCATGGAATCCAGTTCTGGATTTTTTAAAGGCTCTTAATGCAACTATATTTAGCTGTGATCCCTTCACATTAGGCTTCCTAATACATCAGGGGTCCTCAAACTACAGGCCATCAGAATCATCTGAGAGCTTGTAAAAGTTGCAGATTCTCATCATCAAAGATTGGAATTATGCAGTCAGACCCCAGCTAAGGGCAGTTCCAGGAGCTGCATTCGGACTGTGGCCCAAGGGCCAGTTTGAGAAACACGGGCTGTGACCCCCAGCACGTGCCGAGTGAAAGCTCAATTCCTCTAAGGCAGTATTTATCACCTACATTGGCTCCGTACCCATGCGGGTTTTAGCAATAAATAACCAATGTCCAAGGGACAGGTACCCTTCGCTCGTTTTTACAGATCTGGAAACACTGACCATCCCTTCCTCTCCGCTTCCCCTCCGTTCCCGCAAATTTACGTGGTTCCCGCCAGGATAAAAGACAGGTAAAAAGTACGCAGAGCTACCAAGAAAAAGAAGGGACGCTCAAGGCACACTAGGGTCCAGGCCGGACACCTCCGCCAAGTAAATGCCTTGTGACCTTTGCCTTTGCACCCGGGGCCAATAGTTGGCGACTTTTCGGCGCTTCCCGCTGGGAACGTGGAGGCCCGTGGGGGAAACATTCCAGCCTTCGGCGGAGGAGGCGCGGGGCGGGGCGGGGGGGAGGAGGGAACCGAGGGGGCGGGACAGAGGAGAGGCGGGGCCTGGGCGGGGCGGGGCTAGAGGGCGGCCTGAGGCTGCGGCCACGAGGAAGAGGGGCGGGGGGCGGAGCCTGGGAATGGGGCGGGGCCGGAGAACAGCCCGTCGCTAAGGCCTGCGACCCAGACAGCGGGGAGGAGGCGGTGCCGCCCGCTCTGGCCCCGCCCCTCGGGGGGTGGGCCCAGCGGGAGGGCCCGGCTGGCGGAGCGCGCGGGAGACAGTTCGCTCCGACTGCCCGAGCGAGGGCGCTTCGCTCCCAGCCAGGACATGGCCGCACCTCTCCGCATCAGGAGCGCCGGCTCACGGACTTCTCGCCCAACTCCCTGAGCGCTCCCTCGTTTCGATCTTTAGAAAACCCCGCTTTCTTTCTGGGGCCGTGACGAGGGGCAGGGAGCGGCGAGCAAGGATGCGTTGAGGACCGCGAGGGCGCGCGTCTCGGGTGCCGCCGTGGGTCCCGACGCGGAAGCCGAGCCGCCTCCGCCTGCCTCGACTTCCCCACAGCGCTTCCGCCGCCGCCTGCCGTGCTTGATGTGCAGAAAGAAGCCGGACACCATGATCCTAACACGTAAGCTAGACTTGCGTCTTGCCGTCGGGCTGGCCGCGGGAGCGGGCTGCGGAGGGGACCCGCCGCGAGAAAGTGTCACCCCGCCTTGTCAAGTCGGTGCCTGTTCTGTGCTCTTTAAACGCTTTCTGCAGAGTCTCCGGATTTTCTTGGAGGTGGTGTGGGGATAGCAGGACTCGCAGTTTGGGGAGGGAGTTTGAATTTTGGAGGAGTGACTCTTGATTACCTTTTGCCTGGGGACCGCGGGCCAGCGCACCAGGCGGGCTCCGGATCGGTCGCAACCCGTGAAGGGAAGCCCTGGTTCACTTTCCTCCTTGAGCCGGGCGGGGGCTCGCGGCTCTGGCTCGAGGGGCGCGGCGACACCGCCTTCTACCTTCCTTTCCTCTGGGGACTGCTCTGCGCTCGTACTGATCTCCTGTCATTCACCAGCTTAGTCCAAAATCAAAGTGAACTCCGGGAGAGTTTACTGTTTGGGAACATTTTAGACCCTAGTGGCGCTTGGAAATTTTTTTTTTTCATCACTGCCTGAAAGTTCACCAAAAACTTGTTTTCCTTTTCAACCATTTTTGGGTAAGATACTTTAAGCGCTGGGAATTAACTCAGACCTGGCCAGGGAAGTCTCGGTTTGGTGGCCGCAGGTACCTGGAGAGTGTTGGGGTAGTTTAGCAAGCCCCGTGGCTTGCAAACGTGCTTCTTGCTAGGAAACACACACACACACACACACACACACACACACACACAGTTTTGGTTTTTTTCCCGGAGATGGGTCGCTGAATCGTGTCCCTGAAATGCCCCCTTGGGGATGCCCACCCCCTTGACCCGGACAAGGAGGCCGAGGAGCGAGTTCCTGGGCCGGAGAGAGGAAGGAAGCTCGCCTCCCGACCCGACTATTTTCGTAACAAGGCGACAGCTTCTTGGAAGCCTGCCCCCACTCCATGTCGCTGTCCCCACCTCCAGAGTCCTGGGGCGAGCCTTTGATCCCTCCGAAGGAGGTGCACCCCTCCTCTCTGCAGCACCCTGCTGCGTGTAGTTTGCTGCGTCCGCGAGCGTCCTTCAGCGCACAGCCCCTGGGGCGAGGAAAGTGAGAGGGGACACGGGGTCAGGCTGGTGGGGTCTCATCCTGGTCAGCAGCCTGCTAGCTGGGCGAACTTGGGCAGTGACAGGACCTCGCTGTGCCTCCTTCATCTGCACCAAAGGGGTGATAACTGTATTACCTCCGCGCGGGGAGGTTGTGAGGATCAAATGAGCTCATGCAAGTAAAGTGATTAGCAGGTTGCCTGTTCCCGATGTTCAATAAATACCCAGTGTGTGCTAATCACCGCAGAAGGAAACCCCTGCTTGCAGTCATTAATCTGCACTTAAAGAAAGCTTCGTCCCACTCCCCACCTTTTCCCATCCCCAGTCTTGTTTTGAGTGAGTCTTTTTACACCCAATATGGATGAGCAAATGGATTCATTCTCAGGATTCAGAGGTTGTTTCGGCGATTACTGGTGACATAGAGGAATGCAGCCTAGGCTGGTGGCATTGATGATGTATTTGGAAAAAACATTGCAGCTCGGGAGAAGGCAGAATACTGAGTCTCAGATTACATTTTTTTTTTCCTCCAAAATTCTGTTTGCTGAAGGGATGAGGGAAAATAATAGTCCAGCAGACTGCAGCCCTCTGAATGTAAATCTATCAGCAGCTCCAAGAGGTTGACTAATTCGCCATCCATCTGGACTACAGACTGGTCCTCGGTGGAAATAATTTGCAGACTGTAAGTGTGGAATTAATGGAGTTGCCATCTTGGCTTGCAGACGGCAGCAGATGGTCAGAGGGGTGCCCTGTAAGGCAGCAGCCCCTCTAATCGAAGAACTAAAGTCCTGGGGAACCAGTGTCAAATGGTTAGCAGATGTGTGCACAAAAGTTATTTTGAGACATTTTCTGAGAAAATGTTGGCGATTGCATGTATTCACATTTCTTGTGGCATGCCAGATTTACAGCGTGGCCTGAGCGCAGATGCATACTTTTTGCATTAGTACTACTGTTCAGAGTTTAAAATGAAGCACAGCAGACTGAGTTTCTCTCCTGGCTGTTTTGAAAAGTTTGCTTTTGACAAATACTTATTTTATTTTAATTTACACAGAGTAGCACCAGACACCAAACAGCCTGGAAGTTCAAAAAGGGGACTGGGGATAAATAGTTTCCAACTTAAATCTTTCCCTGGAGTGGGTGAGAAAAGTGGTTTTGGTGACTTATGTCATAACTTCCCAATTGCAGATTTCATGAGAAACACCACTCATTCCTTAAACAGTGAATAGATGAGCAATTAACTATTGCTAACTATGAAGGCAGTGTTTCAAATTTTAATGCACTGGAAAGATTGAAGGATTTTCTTAGGGCTCTGGAGTAAAGGTGAAAGGCAGGTTACCCTTCAACCTAAAGCCCTTGTTTGCATGTTTTTTTGTTGTTCTGTACTGTAGTTGAGAGAGCAAAGACTAAGCAAAGTTTAGAGCATTTCTACATTAAAAGAGGTGTTTGGGTGCTTCTGGAAAATATACCAGACCAGTAGAAAGACATGTTGTGATTCAACAAGCTATTACTGTGAAGTGAGTTTAAAAATGTATATAGTACTTAAACTCTTATTTGTAGAACTATTATGGGACTTAAAGGGGATATGGGAGGCCACAGTTGAGATGCCTTCCAATCAGAGGCTTGGTGAGATTCCAAGAGGTGGTTTCAAATACAGCAATAAGTACTTGGGTTTCCCTTGGTGTCCCCATGGAGATTTTAAGCCATGACGCAATGTTTAAATCAGAGTGGTATTTTTATGACTTAAGCGGGTAAATATGCAATTGGAAAATATTCAGGGAAGGGTGATTTGGTCCAGAAGAGTGGGGGCATCCAGAGTACAGTGGGTGAAATGGATCGGACTTTTTGGAAGAGAGCCTTGTGCTGGACAGGATGGTCCAGTATTGTCAACACAAGTTTCTCATGCTTCACTCTCCTTCCTAGCAACAGGAAGACGGAAATGAGGCCATGCAAAAATAAAAGACCCTGAAAGACTCCAGACAATACCTGATCCACCCTACCATTCACCCTGTATAGCCAGAAGACTTTTACAAAAGTAAAAATAACTTCAGATGTTTCCCCTTCCTCCCTGGCTATTGCCAAATCATTAAAGACCGAATTCTCAGTGCTTTACAACATCATAGCAAAACCTGGCCCCATGGTGTGACTCGCATCCAGACCCACATCATGCCAAGCCTGTTCTTGAGATTATAAAGCAGACCTGGGGAGAAAGGTGATTTTCATTTGTAATGTGTGCACAGTCCAATGATTTGAATTACATGAGTTGGGATCTAGTGGGAGAGAACTAATTTCTTTAGTGTCTAGACAGTTGTATCTCTGACTTTTCTCAGAATGCTCATTTTATCAGGATCTGCTCCTGAAATTCTTAGTTTGGAGCTGTGGGGCTCTAATGCAAAGGAGTAATCTGTACGTCATTCAAGACACTAAAAAATACGTTCCTTCATGTTGCAGTCTGGGTGAACTAATGCCCAACCATAGAGTGTAAATATCCAGTGTGTCCTAGAAAGCACAATTCCAAGATCCTCTTTTCCATGGCTATGAAATTAGAAGGAACATGCTTTTCTGGAGCACTTTCACAACTGTCTCTATTTCTGACTCTGTGGCCTTTGCATATGGATGAATGCAGAGGGAGGTGAAGGCTGTTCCTCTTTGAAGGAAGACAGTGCTGTAGGGTTGAAGTATGTTTTATAGGAATGAGTTACTGCGTTGAATGAGCGCCATCAGCGGTGTTTTCTTTCAGCTTCAAATTAGTTAGAGATCCAGTTAATGTAAAAGGGTTTAGATTCCCAGCTGAGAAGGGCTCCTTCTGTCCTCTGGCCCTTTTCCTTCTGTGGGACCTTGTGTTATTAGGGATTACCATGATCAGTGATAAGAACTGCGGAGTCCTCCTGGGGATCCTCTAATTAGGTCTACTCTGTCTTAACGTTTTGTTCACTTGCCATCATAATTAATGTTCTGCCTTGCCATCATAATTAATGGAGAACAGGAAGAAAGCCTTCACATTAAGCTTATATATTTTCTTTTTTCTCTTTTTTTTTTTTGAGACGGAGTCTCTCTCTGTCGCCCAGGCTGGAGTGCAGTGGCGCAATCTTGGCTCACTGCAAGCTCCGCCTCCCGGGTTCACGCCATTCTCCTGCCCCAGCCTCCCGAGTAGCTGGGACTACAGTAGGCGCCGCCACAATGCCCAGCTAATTTTTTGGTATTTTTAGTAGAAACAGGGTTTCATCGTGTTAGCCAGGATGGTCTGGATCTCCTGACCTCGTGATCCGCCCGCCTCGGCCTCCCAAAGTGCTGGGATTACAGGCGTGAGCCACCGCGTCCAGCAAGCCCATATGTTTTCTTAGTGTCTCCCAGGCAGCAACGAGACTTCTCTATTGTGGCCCTTACGGAGCCTTATAGTTACTTTGTAATTTCCTGGGAGGCTTGTGTGCGTAGGTAGGCAGCTGTAATGTTAGAGTGCAGGAATGACAAATTTTTTGTGAGTCCCCTCCATGGGGGGAGTCTAGTGAGAGGAGACTTGGGGCTCTGTCTTTAACATTTGGGGGAGTGTTCTGGGATACCATTTTCTAAAACTCTGGCCCGCGTTGACTGTACGAAATAATGTTTTCTTCAGTGAAAGTACTTTCAAATATTATTTCTAAAGGAAACTTTTCTCCCAAATGTGACTGAAAATATGTGAATGCCTGCCTATAAGGAAATAAAGTTTTGAGCACCAAAAAGTGAACTATTACATCCTTCTAAAGTGAAGCCAAGACACAGTGGAAATCAGTTTCTCTTAATCATTCATCAGCCTTGGGGTTTTTTGGTTGTTGTTTTTTTGGGGTTTTTTTTTTTGTTCTACTAGACTTACTTTCCTCGTGAAAAGTGTGCTTATTTTCATTTTATACATTTCTCTACTTGGTGCCTTTTGGTGTCTACCCCTTCCCCCGTCGGGGAAAAATCAAAAGCTCATTGAAGGCTGAGGTCAGTGAAGCTGAGTCCTCAGATGCCTTTGGCACCTCCCATCCACATTTTGTTCTCTGCCCTGCCCCACCTTTGAGTGTCCTGTGGAGAGGACTGGAGGTCACTTCCTGAAGCTTGTCAGAAAGGCGCCTTCCTTCTCCTCGCAGGAGTCTCTAAAGGATGTTTAAGGGACAAAAGTTTTCCACACCCTGGGGTGGTAGCATTTCCCAGGCTGGCAGCACTTTAGGAAGCCACGGAAGAAGAGACTTCAGAAGTGAAATGGCCTGTGGCCCATGCACGGTGCTGCCCCACAGCCACGCTGTGTCCCTCCTCACACTCAAGTGACAAAATAGAAGATGCTGAAACTGAAGTGATTTTTACCTCCTGATTCTGGAGAAACCATAAACTCATAAGGGATCCAATCTCCATACAGTTCTCTTTTTCAAATTGTATAGCACAGAAAGGGCATTTTATGTAATGCTTGGACATCTGTAAAAGTCATTTTCATGGGAAGTTCCAGAACTTGGCAAAGGCAGCCTGGAAAACCAGTGCCTTTTCCCGACTGAGGGGCGGCTGAGATGCAGAGAGGTTCAGTGACCAGTCCAAGATCACATGTGAGTTGACTGGAACCTCAGACCCCTTCCAGTCAACATGTCTAAACAAAATGAAGGTCTTAAGTTGTTTGTAGGAACCTGAATCACAATTTGACCATTAGATTAATTTCTGTTCATTCATTAGTGTTCATTTAGGGGGCTGGGTGTCCCAAGCAATACTGGTGAAAATAATTCCTTAGCTCACCTAGAACACAGCAAATCTTACTTTTTTCTCACACTTTTTGGCACAAAACTGAGAACGTCTAGTTGAATAGTGTTTCCTCTTTGAGGTTTGACATAGAAATGGCTGGAGGTGGCTTATACTCCTAACAAGTACCTGCCATATTTTCATTGTCATTGGTCTTTGATAAGGGAACTTGATATTTCATTCATTTTCTTTTTTCTGTTAGAATGGACGAAAATATGGGTGAGCAGTTTTTTTAATAGACGTTCCTGCTATCACCTTTATTTCTAATTTAAGGTTTTACAGTGTTGCAATTTGCACACTATTTTATTTTCTCCTGTGCTATCGCAGAACTATAAAGCAAAAGCCAATGTTGCGGGAGATGCCCCTCGTAGAATAAGCTTTGCTAACATATGTAAAAGAAAGAGTTTATTTGTATGCCAACTTTTAATAATAGAGACAGGGTTACTCTAGGTTTGTAACCAGATATTTTGCCTTGAATAATAAGTTTAAAGAGGGAATGGATTATATAATCTTAAAACACGTGCTTCATTTTACCAAAAAAAAATGAGACTCAGAAAAATAAGGACCTTTAAAACTGTATTAATTAGATACTTTTCTTTCTTGAAATTCTTAATCTATGCAGTTATCATCTTCAAAGGACTTCGTACTTTATGAGCTATTCCAAATTACTGTTGTTAGTGCATAGTTTGAACTGCATAAATATTTGACGTGGAATACTAGAAATACGTACACGTGTGTGTGTGTGTGTGTGTGTGTGTGTGTGTATGGATAGAGAGATATGTGTGTCCCTGTAGCAGCGATTTATTTTTATCCTGCCCCAGGTTGAAATGAAACAGAAAGATGTGATGATTCAGTATCCATTTCCTTCTTAGTTTATTTTGATTTCAGTTTGACCTCTTTTTGCTGGGTAATAAGTGCCAATTTTTGATTATTTGGGAGATATTTTCTGTTCCTGGAAATAACTGGATCCGCACAAGCCTAGAGGGCCTGATGGAGCCATGTCCCTCATGGGCTCAAATTCATCCAGAGCTGTTGCCTTTGCCAGGGAAGAGCACATATTTTGATGTGAGCTGCTTGCCTTTTCCTGGTTTATGTGTTAAAAGGAGTACTTTGCAAACTCTTGTACTAGATGATCCCCAAAGAGGATTTCAATTGGTTTAAATTCTACATGGCTAAAGTGTCACTTGCAGGGCTTCACCCCAGGTATAGGCTTGCAGGGCCTGTCTCCCAGTGTTTCCTCCTTTCAAGGCAAAACCATTTATTAAGTTGTCATCACATCACAGGGAAAATGGGTCCTTTTTCCCCTCCTTTCTATAATTTCTAGGAATGTTCTTTAATAGAAAGCTGTATATGTATGTCTCCAAATCTCAAGCAGAAGAATAAGAGAAAAAAAAATGAACAAAACTTAAAAAGGAAGCTCCCCAAAGCTTCCATTCCTTACTAGGACTGAAAACCAGTATGGTGATTTACAAGTGAGGGCACTGTTGAAATAGGCAAGAAGGGCCTAACCTGGGGATGAGAGCTGGGTAGCTTTAGCCCCTTCAGCAAATCACCTCAATTCTGTACCAGCTTCCTCATTTGTAAAGAGAAAAGATGAAAAGCTTCAAGAGGTATTTCAGCGCCCAAGTCACGGATTCTTTGGAAGACAACATGCTGCTGTAAACATGAAAGATCAATAAGGAAAGTAAAACTCTTAAGAGCCTTCTATGCATTGAAGTGTTTTCTTCCTCTCAAGTTGAAATTTAGAGGGCTATAGACACGCACAGAAGCAAACGTCATTGGTTTTGTGTTGTCTATGATATGAATACAGGCTTCATGGGACAAATCAAGAAGTCGATCTCTTAAAAAGCAAATTAGGCCAGGTTTGGTGGCTCATGCCTGTAATCCCAGCACTTTGGGAGGCCAAGGCGGATGGCTCACTTGAGGTCAGGAGTTTGAGACCAGCCTGGCCAACATGGCGAAACCCCGTCTCTACTAAAAATACGAAAATTACCCGGGTGTGGTCGTGAGCACCTGTAATCCCAGCTACTTGGAAGGGTGAGGAAGGAGAATGGCTTGAACCCAGGAGGCAGAGGTTGCTGTGAGTTGAGATTGTGCTACTGCACTCCAGCGTGGGTGACACAGTGAGACTCTGTCTCAAAAAAAAAAAGGAAAAAAGAAAGGCAAATTGGAAATGTTAGCTTTTAAAATAAAAGTAATTAAAACTTTCGTAAATTTACAAAACTGGGGATCTCTTGTAGCAGTTTCTAGTGGTCCAGTTTTTTGAGGGAAGAAGAATGTTTCCATGTAATTGATAAGACATCTGGAAAATTAACAGCGGGCATGGAACCCTTTCTAGAGGTGGTCTTAGAGAGAAGGTGAAATGGGCATAAAGGAAATATTAGAGTCAAAAACTTAGGGAATTTACAAAGCCACTGGCAAGCGCAGGTTTTATAGATGAAGCAACAGGGCCAGAGAAATTCTTTTCTTAAGGCCACCTATCTAGGCAGTGGATTCTTTCCTGGAGTTGTTTTCCTGACTTGTTACAGTAATGCTTTGTCCTCTGTGATAGAGTATCAGAAGGACTCCAGGGCACCCAGGTGCAAAGCTGTTTTACATCTGAGGAAATAATGTTGGTTGCTCATTGTATAACCAGGCTCAGAAGGTGCTTCCATCTGATCCATGAGATAACTTCCTTTCTGCTTCATACTCCTGCTTTTTGGTCTGTATTGTAGTAAATCCAGACTGCATTCCTCCCAACACTTCTGCTTCCCAGCTTACCTCTTACTTCATTCAGGGTCCTTTACACCGAATCCCCTCTCCTGCAATCCAGTTTCATATCCAAGATCATAATGCTTCCTTAAATAAAGGAGTACAGACTGGGCCCAGGCAGACCCCACTTGTCCACTAGCGAGAAGGGACACCCCTCCCACTCTGATGTCACACATGTCTTTCCTATGTCATATCACATTCCTCTTCCTACTGTACACAAGTTCTTCATGCTTAGAAGAAAAACTATGCATGAGAATAGTGCATTTCAAATTGGTCACATTGGTATATAACACAGCATTTAAAAATATATAAAAATATAAGACTGTATCACTTATTGTAGGTTTTATTTGAAACTTCTTTTATAATAGTTACATATACAGACACGTGTTTATATGCATGAATGTGTACTTATATTTATACACACATATATACATGTACATACATGTATATGTGTGTACCATGTTACAATGTAGAATGTATTTCCTATTGGGGATCCTGGTCAGAAAAATTAAGACCACTTACTAGAACAAAAATTGTATGAGTGGTTTATTTCTTTATGTAATATTTATTGAGCAACTACTGTGTGCTGTTGTAGGTGCTTGGGATATATCACAGAATAAAATGGACAAAGAAGCTTGCCCTTTTGGAGCTTACAAAGAGGAAAGACAGAAAGTAAACATAATAAGTTTTGTGGAAGAAGAAAAAATAAAACAGGAAAAGAGGGAGAGAGGGCCCAGGTGCCACGGCCCACGCCAGTCATCCCACACTTTGGGAGGGAGGCCGAGGCAGGCAGATCACTTGAGGTCAGGAATTCGAAACCAGCCTGACCACCACGGTGAAACCATGTGTTTACTTAAAAAAAAAAAAAAAAAAATTAGCTCATTGTGGTGGCGGGCGCCTGTAGCCCCAGCTACTCAGGAGGCTGAGGCAGGAGAATCGCTTGAACCTGGGAGACAGAGGTTGCAGTGAGCCAAGATTGTGCCACTGCATTCCGGCCTGGGAGACAGAGTTGAGACTCCTTGTCAACAACCAAAAAGGTGCGGGGGCGGGGGGTGCAGGGAGCAGGGGGACAGGGCATGAGAGGAGGCCGGTGTGGCTGGATCAGTCAGAGGCAGGCAGGGTCCTGACAGGGGCCAGGACATGTGGGACATTGTTAGGAGTTTGGCTTTCACCAATGAAAGGGGCACTCACTAACGTGACGTGTACAGGGTCACTTCGGGCTTAACAAACACGTGGACCTTGCAATAGCCCTTAGGAAACCAGTTCGTTTCTAAGTGGAGGATAGAGGGTCCTCATACGCGCTGTACTCCACTGTGAATTTCCTTTCCACTTGGCTTCCTGCTTCAAGTCAGGAGCTTGTGTCTTTGATTTTCCCTGAGAGCTGCTGGCAGTACGCCTAGTTGGATCAATAAATAGTGAAAGGGAAAATGTAGGATGATTAGCTTTAGCTAAACATAGGACTGTACTAAAATATACCTAACAGTAGATTTGAGTTAGCTATTGTTAAGCCAGATAGCCTAAGAAACTGACTTAGTGACTGACCAGTCTCCCAGAAGCTTCTTGTTTTTTTTTTTTTTTTCAGACTATGCATAGCAGATGTTTGGAATTTTTTTAGGCACCTGAGGGCAGGAATGCTGTCAGTTGCTGGTGAAAATCTTTACTGTGATTAGATAACATTAGAGTTTAATAAATATTAATATATGAAGTCTGCTGTCTGTCTTAACCTTACTAGGAATTTATTTTACATAGATAACTCCTGATAACCAGTCTTTGGCAACTGCGTATGTTTAACAGTTGGTTGTTTTTTAATTGCAAAGAGTAAGAGATTCAAGTCATCGTTTTCAGTCTGCCTTTAAAGAAAGGAAAATAGTAATAGATTTTTTTTTTTCTTTTCCTTCTTCACACCAACCTCTCTGTAATTCCTTTGTGCAAAAAGTTGTCTTTCGGGATATACAAATGAATTAAAAAGTGAGAAGTTGGTGGAGTGAAGAAGGGGTAATTCATTTGAGAGAACTCAGGGCTTAAGGTATGAGAGCTTGGTACGTCCTCAGAACTCCAAGGAGTTTGGAAAGCCTGGAGCAAGCTTACATTTGGAGGCCTTCCAAGAGTTGAGTGGATAGGCAGATGCCAAACTGTGAAGGCTGTGGTCTTTGCTGAGGAGTTTGGATTGTATTTGAAAGGCGGTGGAAAGTCACTAAAGAATTCTAAGCAGGGGAGTGACATAATGAAATATGTGTTTCATAAAACCAGCCCAGTGGCTCGGGGATCCTTGAAGGAGGACGGATTTGTTGGGGGCAGGGAGGGGTGAGGCTTATCAGAGTTCCGTGAGGAGGCTGTTAGGATAATCCAAGGGTGAAAAAGTCCAGGACGAAGGAATACAAAGAAATGTTATCTGGCTTAGTGGTCCTCAATCCTGGCTGCCTTTAAACTGAGGGAGCTTTTCTGAAATACAATGTCCAGGCCCTACCTAGACTGAGTGAATCAGAATACCTGGGGAGGGGATGGTCGGTGTTTTTAAAAAGCTCCCTGGCCAGGCACGGGTGGTTCACGCCTGTAATCCCAGCACTTTGGGAGGCCGAGGCAGGAGGATTGCCTGAGCCCAGGAGTTTGAGATCAGCCTGGGCAACATAGCGAGACTCTGTCTCTATAAAAAATAGTATAAAAACTTAGCCAGGCATGGTGGTACACACCTGTAGTCCCAGCTACTCAGGAGGCTGAGGCAGGAGGGTTTCTTGAGCCCAAGAGTTCAAGGCTACAGAGAGCTGTGATCATGCCACTAGACTCCAGCCTAGGTGACAGAGTAAAACCCTGTCTCAAAAAAGAAAAGAAAAGAAAACTCCCCAGCGCAATGCCTGCCTACATCCAGGGCTGGGAGTCACCAAGATTTCCTTACCTTACTACAAGTATTTGTGGTCGTGATTTGCTTCTCCCAGTGAACGCCCTCTGGAACCCACCCATCAGGTAAAGATGGGTTGTAATTAAAACCATCGTATCCACCTGCACAACATTCCTGCCAAATTGGTCACCTTGATGTCATCAGAATTGATAAGCAGTATCTTCCTTCCCATTTGAAGGAATCTTTGTCACCACGGGGAGGAGAATGCATCTTGGTTTGGATCAAAAAGCACCACCTGCCTGCACACAGCTGACACGGTTCTCTAGCAATAAAAGCATCAACTTTTCCATGAATCTTTGCCCATATGTCTATCAAATTTTAGGGAATCCAGGGAATCTGCAAAGTGCTTGAATTTTCTTACATTCCTTTAATTTCTTAAAATTGCATTTTTAAAAAAAATTCACTGTACCATTTGCATCGAAGCCTGATTTTGGTGGCATATTATCACAGAAGAGAGGAAATCCAAAAGTTCCCCCTGTGAAGCTAGAGCGAATGGTAGATTGAAGTAATCATATCTTGTTTAGACCCAATTACTGTTGCTCAACCAGCTAAGATAACAGAGTTCCACAGAATGATGCTGGGGGTGGGGAGTTTTTGTTCAGCTTACTGTTGAGGAGTGATGGGAAGACAGGATCATCCCGTCATGCCAGGAAATGTGCAAATATGGCCTAATGGTTCCCAGCCATACACAAAAGGGTGTCCGGGACTCATCCATCTAATGTCCAGAACTGCTTTGTGAAATGACTTTGACTAAAGCTGTTTCCAATAAAAATTTCCTGTTTCCTCCTTACGGCATTTGTCTGTTGTTTGCTTAGAGAAAACCCAGGTATAAAAGTTTCATTGTATTTCCATTGTATTTTTAGTTTCTAGTGGCATTTTTGTTCAGTGGGGAATGTTTTTTAAAAAAATCATCCTCGTAATTTTCACATCACCACCCACATACATTGAAGGGAAAATCACACATTCAGAGCTGTGTTAGAGGCCCCCCAAAACAAGCATGGGGTAGATAAACGTGTCCAAAGTAATATAATATATATGCGGTTTTCAGTAATATTTTAGATTTTGTTCATTGTTACATAATATATTATATGTATTTGTTACATAATATACATTTTATATATATATATATTTTTTTTTTTTTTTGCGACGGAGTCTCTTTCTGTCATCCAGGTTGGAGTGCAGTGACCCAATCTCAGCTCACTGCCACCTCCGCCTCCCCGGTTCACGCCATTCTCCTGCCTCAGCCTCCTGCGTAGCTGGGACTACAGGCACCCGCCACCACGCCTGGCTAATTTTTGTATTTTTAGTAGGGACGGGGTTTCACCGTGTTGGCCAGGCTGGTCTCGAACTCCTGAGCTCAGATGATCTGCCTTCCTTGGCCTCCTAAAGTGCTGGTATTACAGGCGTGAGCCACCATGCCCAAGCTGTTACATACAGTATTTTTAAAGGGAAGAACCTGTCTTGCAGGAAGAACCTTGCATTTTTGTAAGTAATTGTTCCTTCTCTCACTATGGCATTTGAATGTAGAAATCTCATTTTTAAAAATTTTTTTATAAGTTTTTTTTTTTTTTAGATAGAGTCTCACTGTATTGCCCAGGCTGGTCTTGAAGTCCTGGGCCCAAGCAATCCTCCCACCTCAGCCTCCTGAGTAGCTGCGAATACAGGCAGAAAGCTCTTTTTTCTTTTTATATTTTTTGTAGAGATGAAGTCTCGCAATTATTGCCCAGAGTGGTCTTGAACTCCTGGCCTCAAATGATACTCCCACCTAGGCCTCCCAGAATGCTGGGGTTACAGGTGTGAGCCACCTCGCTTGGCCTCAGAAAGCTCATTTTTAAGGAGAGGTGGTTACTTCTCTATCTGTTTCCTCATGTGTTTATCTCAGAGATATTAGTAATCCACATTTTAGGATCAATGTGAGGTGTAAATGAACTAATATGCACTAGCGCTTAGACAGGGCCTTATGCGTATTAAGCACTCAGTAAAGTGACCCATTGATATAGAACTGTTGAGAGGTAAATGGGAAGACTGCATGGAGGAGGTGGCATTTAGTTGGGATCTTGAAGGATGAGTGAAATTTCATCTTCAGCATTTCAGGCCAGATAATTCACTGAAGTGCAGTGTGTGTGGAGATGAGCACCAAATTTACTTTGGCTAGAGTGCTTGGGTACAGGGAGCTGAACAATTAGGTTGGATGCCAAGTGGAGAGCCTTGAAAACCTTGCCAGGGTGTTTAGACCTATTTTTTTTTTTTTTTTTTTTTAGACAGGGTCTTGCCCTGTTGCTCACGTTGGAATGCAGTAGTGTGGTCACAGCTCACTGCAGCCTCCACCTCTGGCTCAAGTAGGTCCTTCCACTTCAGCCCCTCAAGTAGCTGAGACAACAGGCATGTGCCACCATGCCTGGCTAATTTTTGTATTTTATGTAGAGATGGGGTCTCCCTATGTTCTTCAGGCTTGTCTTGAACTCCTGGGCTCAAACAGTCCACCCAACTCTCCCTCCCAAAGTGCTGAGACTACAAACGTGAGTCACCGCACAGAGCTAAGACCTCATTCTTTACACGTGGAGCTCCAGCGAAGTTTGTGAAGGAGAGAGAAGATTAATACTGTAACTCAGAAAGTTTGATGAGCCAGGATTGATGGACAGATTCTCTTAAGAGAGGGTTGTTTACAGACCCAGAGTTTTATTAATACTTAGATTAGAGAGAAAGTAATGGTGTGAATCGGGGAATGAAACTGTGTGACTCGCATGTAGATATAGGTTCATTTCACATTAAAAAAATAAAAATAATTGATTTTTAAAAATCAGTACGTACATTGGATTGTTAGTACTTTCTCTTGACCTATGAATTGGAAAGTGTAGGCGTGAGGTCAACAAGTATTCCATTTTCTAAAAAATATGTGACAACTTTTTACAGTTTTCCAATTCTGATTTCTACAAAGCAGTGGGTTAGGGTCTCATTTGAATGCAGCCTAAGTTTTCAGAGTGGACTCTTTGTGTTGGTAAAATAGTCATATGCTTGTCTATTTCCCATGGTTTCATATCAAAAGGAAAGACAAATTGTCATTTTTTTTTAGGGTGAAGAAGAGAAAGGATAAGATGACTAGATCTCTGCTGTTTGGGGAGTACTGTGTTTTAGCCATTGTATAAACTGTTAATTAAATTATCTGCTGAAGAAGCAAACCTTTGCCTGTTTACATTCTTTCTAACTAAGTGGCCCTAAGAGTGACTATTTTGACACAGCTTTTCTGATCAGTTTATGATCATTTGGAGTCATTTTATTTGTTAGACAGGGCCATTAGAAAATAAGAGAGACAGCCAGGCACAGTGGCTCCTGCCTCTATCTCAGCTACTTGGGAGGCGGAGGTGGGAGGATCATTTGAGCCCGGAAGGTCGATGCTGCAGTGAGCTAGGATCATAACACTGCCCTTTAGCCTAGGTGACTGAGCAAGACTCTGTCTCAAAAAAAAAAAAAAAAAAAAAAAGAAAGAGAACAAGAAGACAGGAATATGCATTTTTGTGTTGCTGAAATCACATGGGACCTTAAATAAATACTTTGTAAAGTTATTATATAAAAAATATAAAGATTGCTTAAAAAACTAGTATCTTACATCTTCCATGCCTCTTGGCATGAAACTATTTCTCTTAGTAAAGCAGGAGCATGCTCTGGCAGGATTGGCTAGTGAATTGGTATCTAATTAAGGCTTTTGTATGTGGGCTCACCTACTGCCGTGTCTGACTATCGTCAAAAAAGGGCGGGCACTGAGAATTTTTGGTTACTCACCACTTATTAAGTTAAATATTAAGAAAGCAAGCACATTTACTTTTTAACAATCTATTGTTCAATGTCTAACAGTCTGTTCAATGAAAATAACCTCTAAGTAGCCAAATGAAATGAGTTTTTAAAATATTTTTAAAGACAAACAGCCTTTTTTCTTTCCATATCTATGTTTTGTGGGAGGGGGCAGGCACACAGATAGGGCAAAAGTAAGTTCCTCTTTTTTTTTTAGCGGTTACAGAGTCTTACTCTGTTGCCCAGGCTGGTGTGTGGTAGTACCATTGAGGTTAACTGCAGCCTCAGCCTTCCAAGCTGAAGCAATCCTCCCACCTCAGCCTCCAGAGTAGCTGGGACTACAGGAGCACACCACCACACCTGACTAATTTTTGTAATTTTTTTCTTTGGTAGAGACAGGGTTTCGCCATGTTGCCCAGGCTGGTCTTCAACTTCTGGGCTCAAATGATCCTCCCACCTCAGCCTTTCAAATGCAGGGATTATAGGCGCAAGCCACCACACCCAGTCTAATTTCCTTGTTTTTTAAAATAAAATATTGAGCTTGTATATGTTTTTCCAGCAATATAGTTTTCTAGGAAGTGTCTATTTTATAATTTTATTTAAAACATCTTTATTTCCTTGCTGAGACAAAATGTGGATATACACATACGAAAAAAAAGTAAGCTCAAATAATTGACTTTGGACAATTCTACACTTTTATTCAGTGTAAACATCGAAGTTCTTCCACACTGATGTCACTATCATTCGCTCCCATTTCGGTCCTAAGTCTTGGGTTGAATAATGCTACTTTCACTGCTGCACTGAAAAGATTCATGAAGTTAACTTTGCCATGCTATTTATTTCCAGGCTACTGCCATAATCGTTTTTAGTTTGGGTATTAAGAACTCATCAGGAGATGGCAGGTTATTTTTTTTCTCTTTCCTGTGTTCATTGATCAAATTCCCACTTGCTTTAATGAATTTGGATTTGCTTAATTACCTTTCTTCAAAGGCCAAGGAACTCAGGAAATAATAGGTGAAAAAGTGCTTTGAAAACATAAAGTTACTAGACAAAAATAAGATGTGTTACACTTCTGATATGAACTATTAGTCTCCCACTTGCTTGAGAGAGATGCTTAATGAAGATTTGAATCTGGCATAAATTATGCAATGTTGAGACCTTTATAAATGAGTGAACAGACTTGTGTAACTGAGTACTCTCATGGCCTGAGGAAGGTGGGAGGAAGAGTTGAAAGGAATATTCTTTGTGCAAGCAGAGACACTAACTAATGTTCCCAGGACCTCCTCTGTGAGTCAGTTTTAACGGGATTGTAAATATGTGCTCCAGTGAGTTTTAACACAGTGTGTCAGTTGCTCTTGGCCTTTCTGTTTATCGATTCTATCTACAAGATGTGAAACCACAGGGAGGTAGAAGCTTTATTAGCCATTTCTGCCTGCCAAGATTGTGGGATTTACTGACTTCGTGCCCTCCATGTTCCTTGACAGCCTGGGCCTCTCCTACTGGATTAATACCTGATGAGTACCTGATCACGCAACAGTGAAACAACACAAGGTCAGGGGCTTTTGAAACACCCAACCCCTGGGTGTCAGAAAGCCTGTGACTTTACTCAGATAAATTCTATTTTAGCGTGGTGGTGGAGGTACTTTGTGGCCTTTTGTTGAAGTGAAAAGTAGTACAATAGGCCGGCCAGGCTTCAAATGAGTTATTAAATCTCTCTTCAACTTTCTCATGATGCCTTATTTTCATAACCGTTTGTAATCAGAGCACTTCAGAAGCAGCACAAAATGAGAAACTTACTCTCAGGACCCCATTTCTATTTTTTGTAAAGGGAAAATACATCCTCATGTACACGTGAAAAAACTGGAAACGATGCATACAAAATGTAAACCATTCGAATTAAGCGTGTATGTCTGTTTGCTTATCTGTATTTTCTATGGCAGTCATGTTTTGCTTGTATCATAAAACGAAAGCTTATTCAGGAAAAATAAGCATGGCGAGGTACACATGGCTAATTTTGTCTTTCTTCTGTTCTGTTCTAGAAATTGAAGCCAAGGAAGCTTGTGATTGGCTACGGGCAACTGGTTTCCCCCAGTATGCACAGCTTTATGAAGGTAAGCTGGGAATGCCACTTTTTAAAAGTTGGCATAATCATAATCCCTTGTTCGCGAGTATTACTGATCTATGACTTATTTTCAGCAGTTTTATCGTTTAAATGTTTTATTTTTAAAAAAAATGTTGTAAGCATGCAAGACCCCCACCGCTGAAAACAAAAGCTAGCACCTTGGTAACACGCCCATGCCACTCCCCCATCTGCTGCCTGCCACTCCCTACCCAAAGTAATCAGCATGCTGAAGACTATCATTTTCTTGCTTTCTTTTTGTATAATTCTACTCCATTTCCTGAAAAGTACATTTTTACAAAGTAATTTTTACGTTTATAAAAAGGGTAGTGTGTCGTATGTAATTTCATGGGGTTTTTATTTTTCACTTAATATTGTATTGTTAAGATTCTTCTATACTGTATGGGCCTGTTATGCATTTGCTTTGGCTGCTGTGTAATACACCATTGTGTATTACACAAGAAACCACTGTTTATTCATATCCACACTCTGGTTGGTGGGTATTTTGGCTTTCTCTGTTTTGCTTTTATAAGCTGTGCTGTTGTGAACATTCTTGCATCTATCTTTTGTGGTACATGCATAATGATTCATCTTGCTTCTATCCCTAGGAACAGAATTACTGGGTAATAAAGAATATGTATGTTCAATTTTAAAATGCAAGCTTTTCGAAAGTGCCCGTACCAATTTTCACTCTTACCAATCTGTGTATCCACATTCCCTCAACGCTTGATATTGTCAGACTTTAATTTTTGCCAACCAAATGGATATAAAATGATATAGAGATTTTGACTGCCATTTCCCTAATCCTTCATGGTAATGAGCATTTATTCATGTCACTCGGCCACATTTGTTTGCTCACATTATGCTTCTCTTAATGATTTATAAGGGCTCTTTTTATTCTAAATACTAATCTTTCATTGGTCACGTGTTGCAGATATCTTTCCCACCATTTGTAATTAGGCATTTCACTTTTCTCTAGGTTGTCTTTTAATGAATATTATGTTTTCTGTGGCATTCAGTTTTTCAATTGAGAAAAATGGTTCAAAAAAAAAAATAGGATCTGTGCTGAATTCTTAACATCTCATTTTCTTATCAGTGCCCTGGGGATTGCTTGGATACTGAGGTCATTCTCTCAGCTTCTGCGTACCCTGGGGAGTGCTTGTGCTCCCTGCATGTCAAGATAAATAGGCTGTTCATTTATTTATTTATTTGTTTTGAGACGGAGTCTCGCTCTGTCGCCCTGGCTGGAGTTCAGTGGTGTGATTTTGGCTCACTGCAACCTCTGCCTCCCGGGTTCAAGCGATTCACCTGCCTCAGCCTCCTGAGTAGCTGGGATTATGGGCATGTGCCACCATGCCCGGCCAATTTTTGTGTTTTTAGTAGAGCCGGGGTTTTACCATGTTGGCCAAGCTGGTCGTGAACTCCCGACCTCAGGTGATCCACCCACCTTGGCCTCCCAAAGTGCTGGGATTACAGACATGAGCAACCACGCCTGGCCTAGGCAGTTCATTTAAATGGGAGTTTCATTATACTCTATATGAAGTCAATTTAAAATAATTACAGCTATGAACTAATGCATTCCATTTTATGGGTAACTTTCAAACAGAGGTTGGGTGAATAGCAAAGTGATTCCCAAGTTAGAATACCCGGTCTTCCTTATGTAGCCTAGACTGATTGTGATATTTTTTCCAAGAAGATGGATTCTGAATTGTTTTATTGTTAGACCGTGTAAAATATCTTACTGTTTCTTCATTCCAGAGAATATCTCCAATTTCTTTTGATTAACTTGCATGCTTATTTTGGTGGAGTTACTTGTCTTTCCTTTAGAGAGAAGTTTTAACCTGTTAACATTTAGAAGGGCTTTGGGGAAAGGGGGACCAGCATTCTATTGGATTTTCAATTCATAGCTCTACTGGAGATAAGGAAAGACAACTGCATTGGCAGTAACACCAAAGTGGCTGTCCTTTTGTTCTCCTATTTAGAAACTAAGTTTTCTTCAATTATGCTCGTTTTTGGCATTGATTTGCTGCCAGGTAGCACTTTCTTGTGATATATATGTTTGCTAAGACCCAATTCCATTCCCTGTGTCTCCTCTTTCCTAATCCTAAAATGCAGGGTGCATTTGCACAAGTTACATTTGGGGTCCCTTCATGTTCCCAAGTCTTTTGAAGCATAAGACTACTTTTGGGGTACACTGCGTATTGTTCTGGGCCATTGCCTCCCCCCGTTTTTCCTGCCACTGTGTGCTGGGTGAGTACATACACTATACACCCCATACCAACCCACACATGTCCCCCTGTTAAGCTTGATTTGCGTACTTGGCAATTTATACTTCCTGCCTTTCAACCCACAGTGGAAGTTGAGTTCAGAGAACATCTTCTATACATCAGTAAACTATCATCTTTTAAAAGCCAGTCCTTTCAGAAAGGAGTCCAGGCAAATAAAAGAAAATTACTGATTTAATTCTTACACTCCTCACTTGCATTTAATACCTACCAGATTTTTTAAAAATTGTTAATTTGGATTAGAAAAGGAATCTAAAATATGGCTCTGGGTATACTAACTTAGAATTCCTAAAATAACATAGTTACTTTCTCACATATAGGTAATAGGCATATGAAAATTTCAATTTACATTTATAGATCTGATATTATACTCTGTAAATATTAAAAAATATTCCTTAATATCAGCTCTGTTATTTCATCTTGGTGTGTATTCAGAGTCAAATATTGGCCAGGAATGGTGGCTCATGCCTGTAATCCCAGGACTTTGGGAGGCTGAGGTGGGAGGATGACTTGAGGCCAGGAGTTCAAGGCCAACCTGGCCAACGTAGTGAGATCGCATCTCTATTTAAAAAATTTGAAAACAAACAAAAAAAAGCAAAATACAGTGTCACAACCTTCAAACAATGTTACAACCTGTCTTCCCTCATTTACTAGTGCTCCAGTTTCCATTGACTATAAGTCTTTCTATTTCCATTATAATGGTTCCATGAATCATTTGTCTAAGAGAGACTTGGTCTATAAATTAGTGAAGAAATGTCATTCTGTGATACTAAATTTTATGTATTCATAAATCTCTGGACTATAGCCACTTCCTTGGTCTGCTTATATTATCATTTAGGGAACAATGTCAGTAATCCAACTGTAGCCTTCAGAAAAAAAAGGATAGACTATAACTTTATACTCATTCTGATATATTATCTCTAGAAAATAGATTACTAAGAATAAGAAATTCCATATCATTCCATAAAACCAGTAATCATAAGAAACAATAAAAACATAATGAACAGTTGTGCACCCGCAGGAGCTGGAGCAGGACTAATTACCTGCGTCTCCAAAACTGCTGACAGCCATGTCTGTTCCACTGTGTGGCATTAGCCATTTTGAAGGCCAAAGGGATTTTTTTACTTTTTATTTATTTTTTTCAGATAGGGTCTCACTCTGTCATCCAGGCTGAAGTGCAATGGTATAATCAGAGTTCACTGCAGCCTCAAACTCTGGGGCTCAGGTGATCTTCCACCTCAGCATCCCATGTAGCTGAGACCACAGCCCGCATGCCACCATGCCCAGTAAAATTTTTTTAGATTTTTTTTGTAGAGACAAGGTCTCGCCATGCTGCTCAGGCTGGTCTCAAACTCCTGAGCTCAAATGATCTTCTGTCCTTGGGGCCTCCCAAACTGCTGGGATTACAGATGTGAGCCACAGTGCCCAGCCAAAGAGAATTTTTTAGCTTGTGGTGATTCTAGTTTCCTGCTGTGATGACTGATTTCACCCAGGTCTGGTCCAAAGGGTTACCCTACACCGAGACACTCCTCTTCCTGGTATTGTAGTAGCACTCTACTGAGGAGGCCCATGATTTGCCCTCATAGTTGGGACTCCAAGAGGGTGATAACTTGCCTTTATCCAGTGGCAATTTCAGAGCTGTTGTAAATTTCCACAGCGGCTACCTCCGCTCTCCTTTTCTTGGGTATATTTACTTACCAAGGGATCTTTTTATGTAGTCCAGAGAAAGGAATTCCTCCATTGAGTCGACTGTTTTCCCCCTCTCTGGTTTTCAGTTCTGATACAGCTTCTTCATTGTCTCGAGAGAACTGAATGAACTCTTCTACAGATTAAAGGATTTGAGATTCTGTTGTTCTATAGCAACTTCATAGCTAGCCCTTTCTTTTTAGGGGAGTTATATCAATTCCTGCAAGGCCATATTGCAGTGCTAATATTTGTTTTTAAAAAGCATATCTTGAATTCTCCTTAGCTCTTGATGCCATGTGAGTGGATTACATTCCATTTCCTACCACTTTTCATTGTTCTCTAGATCTTTCTGTGGCTCAGTTTTCTTTCCGTGACCTTTCCCTGATCACACGTGAGCAAAGACACACACACATACACACAGCCCAGCCACATTAAAACGGAGCATTCTTCTGACAGTCTTTGTGGCTTAAATTATAATTTCTACTGGGGACTCATTGCCTGCTGATTTGTTTAAACATATAACAATGTTCTGAACCACTTCTCCTTGACCAGAAGCAATATTTTGAGTTTCCCCCACATTAAAGCCGAAGCTCCTTTAGGACAGTGATGCCCGATTGGCTTCAATTGCCTTATAGTCCCATAGAACTTGACGGGGAATGAGGTGTCCTACAGTAGGTGCTTAGTATATTGCTGAAGAGTTTTATCCCTGCTTTGGTAAACTGGGCTATTTGGCAAATTGGGTTTTAGGCGCTCAACAAATACATCTGTTTATTTTTCTCATAGATTTCCTGTTCCCCATCGATATTTCCTTGGTCAAGAGAGAGCATGATTTTTTGGACAGAGATGCCATTGAGGCTCTATGCAGGTAAATGGACACGTTTTGAGTGTTTTCCTTTTTTATTTTTTAAGAACACAGTACTTCTCACAAAGATAGGCTTTGTTTGCTTTTGTTCTTGCTAATTGTGTTAGGTTTTTATTGGCAAACCATAGAGTGATCATAGACCTTTTAATTAAAAACTAAGTAAAATATTGTTATTTAGTATTGCCATTAAAATAGCATCCACGCTGTCCTAGGAAGTACTCACACAATAGCATTCCATATTTGATATAATTGGTGTAACAAGTAACAACTCTCAGGTGGTTTGGAAACGTGGATTAAGGTTTCCTAAAAGGGTACGATGGAAATTAAGCATGTTCAGAGGAATAAATGGGGGGTGGCATATAAAGACAGGAGCATCATTTGAATTCCAAGAACGCTCCTCTCAACCTCTTCAGTTTCCCCTCGTATAAAATAATGATAGGACGAAATAAGGCTATAAAATAACTCAGCATGGTCTTTAACATATAGGCAACAGACAGTTAAATGATGAGAAATTGAATAAAACCGTCAGAAATTCTTGATCATTGTGGTTTTGGGTCTTCAAGCTGAGAGGCAGCTTATAGGTTTTAGTGAGGTGGAAGTAATAAAACCTGTAGCAGTCGATGATGGGACACTGATAATCCTTTCAAGCTCTTCAAGACATGTCTACTCATTTTAAGTTTTTCATCCTTTCTAATTTTTCTCAAAAGCTAAAATCCCTAAAAGCTGAATTCTGGGGGAAAAAAATTATACACAGACAAAACTCACATAGGTTGATTTGATTATGAAACTAAGTATTATTTTAATTTCAGGGTTTTTTTGTTTTTGTTTTTTTTGTTTCTGTTTTTGTTTCTGTTTTTTTGAGAAGGAGTTTCGCTCTTGTTGCCCAGGCTGGAGTGCAGTGGCGTGGTCTCGGCTCACTGCAACCTCCGCCTCCCAGGTTCAAGTAAATCTCCTACCTCAGCCTCCCAAGTAGCTAGGATTACAGGCGCCCACCATCACGCCCAGCTAATTTTGTGTATTTTCAGTAGAGACTGGGTTTCACCATGTTGCCAGGATGGTCTCAAATTCCTAACCTCAGGTGATCCACCCACCTCGGCCTCCCAAAGTCCAGGGATTACAGGCGTGAGCCACCGCACCCAGCCTGTTTTTTTTTTGTTCTGTTTTTTATTTTATTTTTTTTTATTTTTAAAGACAAGGTCTCACTCTGTCGCTCAGGCTGGAGTGCAGTGGCACAATCATGGTTCACTGCAGCCTTGACCTCCCAGCTACAGGTGATCCTCCCACTTCAGCCTCTGGAGTAGCTGGGACTGCAGGTGCACACCACCATACCCAGCTAATTTTTGTATTTTTTGTAGAGATGCGGTCTTGCTGTGTTGCTCAGGCTGGTCTTGAACTCCTGGGCTCAAGCAGTCATCCATCTCGGCCTCCCAAAGTGCTGGGATTACAGGAGTGAGCCACCACACCCCATCTCAGTATTTTTTTCAACTTGGAAAAACATCATGAAGGTAGAATGACACCCAGTATTTCTTTCCTCTTTGTAGGCAAGGAAAGCAGTGGTAGTTCTGTTTTCTGCCTTTCTCATATAATACAGTGTTATATGAAGCAGCCAAAGTAAGCAGTGGTTTGGGGCAGATAGATGGGATATTTAGCATAGTGTATGGACTAGACTAGTTCTCATGGTTTAAGAGAGGAAAAAACAAACAGTCCTCTTAACCACAGAAACGCTGTCACTTTTGTAGTCCAATTAAATGACTGATAGAAACGTACAGGGTGTGTACCCATTTTCTGAAAGAAACCTAATTCCAAGAACTTCACTGTGGAGTGTAATATCATTACTATATCATCGGGAATGAAACCAGATGCAGTTTCGGGAGGGGAAGGAGTCTGCATCTGGAATATGAACTACTCCAGACATTTTTTTAATGTTTTCATGCTTAGCTGTGGAGCAGAATTAATCTGTTTTCAATCCATCACTGCTGATCATGCATATGCATGAGGTCACTTCTGAGATGCATCTTAGGAAATATTTAAGCATTACATCATTTCACGCAGTTAGAGAGTGGGCACTCTGGACAGCAGCAATAGCTTAGGAATTCTTGGGTCATAAAAATATCACTGCAGCATTTCAGGCCAAAGGGTCATGATTAAATTCTTGAATGCTTTTTCAGAATATCAGTTTGAAATGTTGTTTTCCATTTCTGGGAAAAAAAGTATCCTCTGTACTTTGCAATTTACACTGGCTCTGAGTACCTTTTGAGAAGCCACCTTTCTCTGAAGCGAATAAGTCTGTGCTGCTAGATCTTTGGTGAAAAGAAAAGCCTAGAAGAAGCAGACTCTGCCACATATGCTAGTTGGGCTTCAGTTTTCTCTCCTGCATAGAATAACATCTTATAGGAAATGCAGTGATGGATGTCAGAGCGCTTTAAAAATTAAATTATCAGGCCCCAATTTGAGTATGTGCAGAAAGGCCTAGGGTTGGATTTTCTTTTTTAAAAAAGGAAATTCTTCAGAGTTCACAGTAATAGTCATCAACTGGTTTGTAATGGAAAACCCCAGGGCTCTTGTCCACATGTCCACATAAATGGACTTTTCATGAAAATGATGCCCCTTTCGAGAGGCCTAAACAAATGTTCAGAAGAAAAGGGACCTCTATCGGGTGTATTTCAAGCAGCTTCCTTTATTTTATTTTTTTATTTTTTTGAGATGGAGTCTCACTCTGTCGCTCAGGCTGGAGTACAGTGGCGTGATCTCGGCTCACTGCAACCTCCGCCTCCCAGGTTCAAGCAATTCTCTGCCTCAGCCCCCTGAATAGCTGGGATTACAGGCACCCACCACCACGCCCAGCTAATTTTTTGTATTTTTTTAGTAGAGATGGGGTTTCACCATACTGGCCAGGCTGGTCTTGAACTCCTGATCCACCTGCCTTGGGCTCCCAAAGGGCTGGGGATTACAGGCGTGAGCCACCGCGACCAGCCAGCAACTTTCTTTAAAACGTAGTACAAGTTCTGAGCTGTCAGCTGCATAGTGTAGTTGAGATAGTTGTTGTACTGATTATGTGATAGTCACTTCATTTGCTAGACCTGCCTCTTCCAAATACCTTCTTGGCCTATGGAATTCAAGGGCCAGCAAATAACGAAGCTCCAGTATTATTTGAAATTTTGCCCTGTGATTTAGAAGTTCTCTCTAGACTGACAGACTTTTTATAGACTTTTGTCTTTGCCTTGTTGATATTTTCTGAACAGTTGATTTTAAATACATGTGGTAATATGGTTGCAGAAATTCAGCTTAAACATTTTACAAAATCTTTCCCACCTACCTCCTCCCCTTGTACTGGACCATATTTTATGCAGGGATCTTATAAGTGATCTCGTATTTACTCTAGCATTATTCTTAGTTTAGAGTGTTCATGTACCTGTGACATTTACAGATCTTACAGCTCCTTTGGTCAAGAAGTAAGTAGGAGCTTCTTTTTCTACTCAGGGCAAGAAGACTTGTAGAGTTAGTGGGTTTTATGAGAACAATGACATAGTCTTAAATATAAAGTTTGGCAATAACCAAAAGTTACAAGTGTGGGACTATAGATTTTTTGGATTTAGATTGCTAACCAGCATTTTTACATTCACACTGCAAGGGGTTCATGTGTCTGTTCCCTTGGAGAAACGGCTTTGGCCTGATCTTGCTAGCTTTACTATATAATGCAATTCCAATGATAAGGCCAATATTATGAGAGCTATACTCAATGGTAATCCTGGAGGAGTGATTCGCTTTGTCTTGAAGCATGTGCACGTAGTATTGTGAACTGTGATTCACTACGAGGATACCTCTTGTGAAATGTTCTTTCTATTGCTTGCCTTCCTACAGCTTCTGAAAACTATTCCAAATTGCTATTTTCCTTTGGAATTAAAAATGACTCCTTCTATAAACACAGCAAAGAAGTATGTACATCAAGTGACAGTTGTATAATGAAAAATAGATTTCCACACTGTCACCTGCAGTATTCACTTTGTTGTAAAGCAGTCCATCAGATGCCTGAGCCATGCAAAGCAGCCCACCTTAGAGCAGATTTTAACTTTGTCACAATTTCTGGTCTGTTAAAAGGTAAGCACGTAGCCGGGCACAGTGGCTCAACAATTTGGGAGGCCAAGATGGGAGGATCCCTTGAGCCTCCAGGAGTTGGAGACCATCCTGGGAAACATGGCAAGACCCCATTTCTATAATAAAGAACAAAAATTAGCCAGGCATGATGGTGCATACCTGTAGTCCCAGCTACTTGGGAGGCTGAGGCGGGAGGATCCTGTGAGCCCAGGAGGTCCAGGCTCCAATGTGCCATGATAGCACCATTGCATTCCAACCTGAGTGACCCTGTCTCAAAAAGAAAAGAAAAGGCTGGGAGTAGCATGTAATTTTTTAAAGCAATTGCACAGATTCCAAGAAAATATCTTTAAGAATTGTAACCATTTTTATTTGTGAGAGTCTTACTTGGAAAATTGTATCTTTCCCCCTTCTCCCTCTTCTCTTCTTTGTTTTTGGCTTGTTTTTACTTTTAATACAATGGGGCCCAGGTCCCCACCTGCTGTGCTTTTATCTGGGTTCCTGCAGCTCCATGCAGAGAAGCTCTTGAACCTCTGATAGGCCAGCCTTGCACTCCTCCCTCTTCAGAGCAGGGTAGAAGTTGCCCAGGAGATAAGAGGGACACATTCCTGTGGAGCCCAGCCTGGGAGGGTCCTTAGGGGGATGGGAAAGGCCCAGGCTTCTGGACGGATGGGTTACGCCCAGCATATCAGCCACTGTGTGAGGAATCCCTTAGGATATAAGTTGCTTTCATTTATTACTACCATTAATATTTATATTAGAAAGGAACACAGATTGCCGGGTGCAGTGGCTCATGCCTGTGATCCTAGCACTTTGGGAGGCCGAGATGAGCGGATTGCCTGAGCTCAGGAGGTCGAGACCAGCCGGGCAACATGGCAAACCCCCACTTCTACTAAAAATACAAAAAATTAGCTGGGCCTGGTGGCGGGCACCTGTAGTCCCAGCTGCTCAGGAGGCTGAGGCATGAGAATTGCTTGAAACGGGGAGGCGGAGGTTGCAGTGAGCCACTGCACTCCAGCCTGGGCAATAGAGCAAGACTGTCTCCAAAAAAAAAAAAAAAGAAGAAAAAGAAAGGAACCTAGAAGTTACTGGGTTTGAGAGCCACCATGTTTTAATCGTGTGGACTTAGACAAGATCTGTGACCTCCCTGAGCCCCATTTCCTCATCTGTAAAATCTAGGTTAATCATAATATCTGTACCATAGGGTCGTTGGGAAGATGAAGTCATATATAGGAAGTGCCTAGCATAGTGCCTGGCCCGCAGTAGGCCTCGTTTGTGTAGCTGGAACTATGATTTGATATCAGTACTGTCTCTGTAAGGAAATAAGGTCCCAGCAGAGTACATTCTTTGGGGGTCCTCCAGGACAAATGAAAACCACAGAAACCCTAGGGTATAACTCTGGGCTTTAGGTCTGTAATGCCATTAGCTGGGTGCTACCAACATAAAAAGGTAATGTTGACCTTTATAGAACTGGCCTCCTGGGTCTTTTTAGTTTGACTAAAATCTGGAGTTTGTGAGGCTAAACCCCTCTCCAGCCCCATAGGCCTCTGGCTAGTAAATTTGGTTATAAACACCATTCAACCATTAAAGCCCAAATGAAGTCAAGTGACTATTTGATTACAGGTTTGATTAATGGAACCCAGACCTAAGACTAACTGTAACCATTCCGGATTCTTTAAATCTTGAAAGCATTTGAGAACTAAAACACTGTGGGTGTAAGTCATTTAAGTAATTGATACCCCCAATAGAGGGACCTTATATCCACTCATTTTAAAGTGTGCAGACTTTTTCTTAGTTATTTGTTTTCTTTTCTTCCCCATCAACAGAGAGAACTTTTCTGAACCTAGGCGCTCTGGGCTATCTTTATTTATTCTATAAACAGGCTACCACCTAAGGTATGAAGGCAAAATCGGGCTTATCAGGCAGGCAAAAATGCTTTCTATTCTGTTGCATCAACATTGTTAGGCAAACAGCAAGAACAGGATCAGGAAGATAAAGCCCTGAGGAGGTCTCACGGTTCCCAGGAATTTGTGTGAATTAAATGATCTGATCTTATGAAAATGTAGAATTGCAATTCGTAGGAAAAACTAGAAAACTGGTGATAGCAGATGGCAAACAGACACATTACAGGTTCATTTGAGGAAGACTAAGTGATGATCATCTGGGAGATGGCAGGAAAATTGGGGCCTTGAAGGGCTGTCATTCATAGTTGTACATACCGTTTAGTTCAGCATATTTAAAGTGTTTCTTTTTTCAACTGTTGCATTATTTCTCCATGAGGTTTTGGGTTTTTTTTTTTTTTGTAAGTATTTTATTTTCAACGAAACTAAATTTCCCTAATTTTAAATTGATATTGCTGTTTGGCAGAGGTGAAAGTATTGGTATCAAAATGACAATAGGATGGCTGTTGCAAAAAGAGTCTTACCTGAGTGCTTAATTTTGAACCCGGTAAGATTTGGATCCTTGAAGTTACAGTACGCAAATTCTTTAAATGATCATTTGCCGTGACTATAGCACACATTATATTGTCCTATAACAGGAAGCTGTTCTAAATATTGGATATTAAAGAGGGCTTCAATTTCCATTCTGTGCAAGGACTCTAAAATTTTAGACAGGCTGTCCAAGATTATGATTCATCGGAGATAACTAAAACTAATTTTTTAAATTTGAGTTTTGATTTCAAATACAAGACACTGTTTATTTTGCCAAAAACTCTACTTGGTTCTTTGTTGCTGTTTTGCTGTTTCTATTTCTATGAAAGGAGACATCACAAACTTTTCTTTTCTTTCTTTCTTTTTTTTTTTTTTTTTTTTGAGATGGAGTCTGGCTCTTTTGCCCAGGCTGGAGTGCAGTGGCACAATCTCAGCTCACTACAACCTTCACCTCCCAGGTTCAAGCGATTCTTCCTGCCACAGCCTCCCGAGTAGCTGGCATTACAGGCACCCACGACCATGCCCAGCTAATTTTTGCATTTTTAGTAGAGTTGGGGTTTCGCCATGTTGGACAGGCTGGTCTCAAACTCCTGACTTCAGGTGATCTGCCTGCCTCGGCCTCCCAAAGTGCTGGGATTACAGGCATGAGCCACCGTGCCGAGTCACAAACTTTTCTTTCTTGGCTCCATGTGCGGCAGTCCATAATGGCTCAACCTAAGAGTTATTGGAAGAATGATTTTTCTTAGTAAGAACAACTCATTGAGAGTTGAAGAATCAGAGAGACTTGACAGTATCATAGCTGTGTGCCATTTCACACTAAAATATAAAAATTAAAGTGAAAAACTTACAAAACATAAAGGTATTTATTTATTTATTTATTTATTTATTTATTTATTTATTTATTTATTTTGAGAAGGAGTCTCACTCTGTCGCCCAGGCTGGAGTGCAGTGGCGCTATCTTGGCTCACTGCAATCTCCGCCTCCCGGGTTCACGCCATTCTCCTGCCTCAGCCTCCTGAGTAGCTGGGACTACAGGCGCCCACCACCAGGCCCGGCTTGTTTTTTTGTATTTTTAGTAGAGACGGGGTTTCACCGTGTTAGCCAGGATGGTCTCGCTCTCCTGACCTCGTGATCCACCCGCCTAGGCCTCCCAAAGTGCTGGGATTACAGGCGTGAGCCACCACGCCCGGCCAAGGTATTTTTAAATGACTCACTTTTTAAATAAGTTTCTAATACTCCTCTAGGTATTAGGTATTACTGAGTTTCAAGAAACTCCTTAAATATATGAATTGTTTAAAAACAGGTGTTTATCCACTCATTAGAGAGTGGTTGCCTATCTTTGCTAACGTTATTTCTTTGCTCTATAGGCGTCTAAATACTTTAAACAAATGTGCGGTGATGAAGCTAGAAATTAGTCCTCATCGGAAACGAGTGAGTATACAAATTGCATAATAGAATGAGGGGGAAAAGGGGCAAACAAAAAAGTGAATGATGTGTTTTGTAATAGGTTTTGTTTCTCCAACTCTTAGTTTGTTGTTCCGTAAGCATCTACATCTTGAATGATATCGCCTAGACTTGATAGCCTTATGTAGTTGAAGCCAATAGTTGCAACTAGTCCATTACATTATTTTATCTATTGTTTTTGACCTGATCACATCAGCTATTATTTTGCCTAATTACTAACTCAATGCCTATTACATAATAAAGGGATCATGCTTAAGGAATCCCAGTGGATTTTTGCATTGCTCATAGAGGAAATAAACTGAGGTTTATTTCCAACTCTTCTGTCTTCCCAAATATAACAATAACTGTGCTTCAAAGCTGTAGAGATGAAAGCGAAGGCCGATTTGTGCAATATTGAAGAATAATAAGAGATTTGGAGGGAGGAAAGGAATTGGAAGAGGAAGAGGAGAAGGCAGGAGATCCCACACAGTTTAGTCAAATGGTGGTACACAACCGAGCTGGATGGTATTTTCTTCTGCGTGTGAGTTGTGAAGACTTTTTATGAGATCTTAGGAGAAGAGGTGGGTGTAGTACTGGGAGTAAGTGTCACAAATTAGAGTAAACAGGAATGAGTCTGGTCAAAGAACATATTTCTGACTTCCGGGTTCAAATTTTAATTATGCCAGAATCCCTGAGCTGCAAAAAGTTGCCTTCTTGGGGAGTCAAAGCTTTTAAACAAATGAACTGGAACCTCAGCGCCCACTGAGCTATGCAGAAGAGTCCTAGAAGCCAGCGCTCCATGCTTGCCACTCATTGTCCTGTGAAACTTGGGCCACAGGATATTTTCCACACCAGTGGAAAAGACATGTATCATACCGAATTGTGCCCTTTGATATCCTGCCGAAAAGGCCAAGATGCAATAGTCCGTGTGACAGCTTATCCCTGAGTCCTGTACATAAATCGGGCATAATCAGCAAAGACGTTCCTTAGTGTTTATGAATGCCGCGAGCTGTCAGGGCTGGGTATTTGTGAAGCCTTGTTCAATTGGCTGGAGCATGACTGAGGTTGAAACTTCACAGGTCAGCTGTGGCCTGAGCGCTAGCCTTCATGTCTTGTGGGGGAGGGGAAGAAAAGGTACTGGTAAGAGTCTCCAAAGCACTGATAGTGGACTGAATCTGCTTGATGACCCACCTTGATCCAGGGCCCCTTTACTCCAGTGGGAGACCTTATACATTTTTAGTGTCTAGAGATTTAAGTTGCCACTCTTCTTAGTGTTTGAAAACTACCTTTTTAATTGCAAGAGGGAATATAAACATACACCAACAAAAGACAGCACAATGGAAGGCAGCCCAGAGGCAGTCCTGCTCATTGCTGACTTCAGTTCAAAATATTTTGCATGCCTGGAATTTTCACCATCTCAGAGGTTTCCTCTATGAGCAATTAAAGAACAGCCTATGGATCCCAGAGTTTCCATAAAATAGTTCTTATTTAACTTGCAACATTTGGTCAGGCACTCTCCTGTTAAATTCTTTAAATACATCTTTGTTATTTAAAGAACAAAACAAAACACCGGGCACTGTGGCTCATGCCTGTAATCCCAACACTTTGGGAAGCCCACGTGGGAGGATCGCTTGAGGCCAGGAGTTTGAGACCAGCCTAGGCAGCATAGTAAGACTACTGCTCTCTACAAAAAATTTAAAAAAGAAAAAGAATATGTAAGTGGGGCTGGGCACAGTAGCTTATCCCTGTCACCGCAGCACTTTGGGAGGCTCAGGTGGGAGGATCACTTGAGGTCAGCAGTTCAGAATCAGCCTGGGCAATACAGCCTGTACAACAGAGTGAGACCCTATTTTTAAAAAAAAAAAAAAAAAAACTTTAAAATTAAAATCATGAAGTACAAGGGGGAAATTGATACTACTGGCATATTATGAGCAGCCTCCTGCTCATGCCCTGCTCCCTGCTGGCTGCCAGCCCCAGTGTGTGAATGGCTCCTTTCTGTCTTTGCAGAGTGACGATTCAGACGAGGATGAGCCTTGTGCCATCAGTGGCAAATGGACTTTCCAAAGGGACAGCAAGAGGTGGTCCCGGCTTGAAGAGTTTGATGTCTTTTCTCCAAAACAAGACCTGGTCCCTGGGTCCCCAGACGACTCCCACCCGAAGGACGGCCCCAGCCCCGGAGGCACGCTGATGGACCTCAGCGAGCGCCAGGAGGTGTCTTCCGTCCGCAGCCTCAGCAGCACTGGCAGCCTCCCCAGCCACGCGCCCCCCAGCGAGGATGCTGCCACCCCCCGGACTAACTCCGTCATCAGCGTTTGCTCCTCCAGCAACTTGGCAGGCAATGACGACTCTTTCGGCAGCCTGCCCTCTCCCAAGGAACTGTCCAGCTTCAGCTTCAGCATGAAAGGCCACGAAAAAACTGCCAAGTCCAAGACGCGCAGTCTGCTGAAACGGATGGAGAGCCTGAAGCTCAAGAGCTCCCATCACAGCAAGCACAAAGCGCCCTCAAAGCTGGGGTTGATCATCAGCGGGCCCATCTTGCAAGAGGGGATGGATGAGGAGAAGCTGAAGCAGCTCAACTGCGTGGAGATCTCCGCCCTCAATGGCAACCGCATCAACGTCCCCATGGTACGAAAGAGGAGCGTTTCCAACTCCACGCAGACCAGCAGCAGCAGCAGCCAGTCGGAGACCAGCAGCGCGGTCAGCACGCCCAGCCCTGTTACGAGGACCCGGAGCCTCAGTGCGTGCAACAAGCGGGTGGGCATGTACTTAGAGGGCTTCGATCCTTTCAATCAGTCAACATTTAACAACGTGGTGGAGCAGAACTTTAAGAACCGCGAGAGCTACCCAGAGGACACGGTGTTCTACATCCCTGAAGATCACAAGCCTGGCACTTTCCCCAAAGCTCTCACCAATGGCAGTTTCTCCCCCTCGGGGAATAACGGCTCTGTGAACTGGAGGACGGGAAGCTTCCACGGCCCTGGCCACATCAGCCTCAGGAGGGAAAACAGTAGCGACAGCCCCAAGGAACTGAAGAGACGCAATTCTTCCAGCTCCATGAGCAGCCGCCTGAGCATCTACGACAACGTGCCGGGCTCCATCCTCTACTCCAGTTCAGGGGACCTGGCGGATCTGGAGAACGAGGACATCTTCCCCGAGCTGGACGACATCCTCTACCACGTGAAGGGGATGCAGCGGATAGTCAATCAGTGGTCGGAGAAGTTTTCTGATGAGGGAGATTCGGACTCAGCCCTGGACTCGGTCTCTCCCTGCCCGTCCTCTCCAAAACAGATACACCTGGATGTGGACAACGACCGAACCACACCCAGCGACCTGGACAGCACAGGCAACTCCCTGAATGAACCGGAAGAGCCCTCCGAGATCCCGGAAAGAAGGGATTCTGGGGTTGGGGCTTCCCTAACCAGGTCCAACAGGTAAGAACTTTTCTCCTGCCTCCGGGTGTGGGGCACTGGGGGTCAGAAAGACATTGCCTGTGCTTGTTCTGTGGGAAGAAATGGGATTAAGTCTGGCATTCTTAGCCATGTCCATTCCTAAGGAAGGTGTCAAACCAGGAAGCACCAAAATTCAAAGAAATCGATAGGATTGAATGGGTATAGAGTTCCGGTTGGGGAAGATGAAAAAAGTTCTGGAGATGGTTGGCAGAGATGGTCACACAATGAGAATGAACTTGGTGCCACTCAACTGCACATTTAAAAATGGTGAAAATGGTGCACTTTATATTGTGTATATTTTCCCATAATGGGGATTAAAGCATGGGATAGAAATCAAGTCCTATCAGTTCCTAAGATAAGATGCCAGCAAGCAGCCCATTGCTAATGTTGCTTCTACCTATTAAAAAGCCTTTGGGCCAGGCACAGTGGCTCACACTTGTAATCCAATACTTTGGGAGGCCGAGGTGGGAGGATCACTTGAGGCCAAGAGTTTGAGACCAAGCTGGACAACATAGGGAGACTCTATCTCTACAAAAAATTAAAAAATGAGTCAGATGTGGTGGCACAGGCCTACAGTCCTGGCTACTCAGGAGGCTGAGGCAGGAGGATCACTTGAGCTGAGGAGTTCAAGGCTGCAGTGAGCTGTGATGGCACCACTGCACTCCAGCCTGGGCAACAGAGCAAGAAAAAATAAAATAAATAAAATCAAATAAAAAGGCTTCACACTCATTTTCCTCTCCTCTTCTCTCGCAGGCACCGACTGAGATGGCACAGTTTCCAGAGCTCACATCGGCCAAGCCTCAACTCTGTATCACTACAGATTAACTGCCAGTCTGTGGCCCAGATGAACCTGCTGCAGAAATACTCACTCCTAAAGCTAACGGCCCTGCTGGAGAAATACACACCTTCTAACAAGCATGGTTTTAGCTGGTAAGAGTTTAAATGATCAGTCAACTGTCGTTGAAAATGATATTTTTGGTCAGTTCCTTGAGGTTGTCCCCACAGTAAAAAATGACACTTCTCTCCTTTATTAATATATTTCATCTGTCATCCTATGGCAATCACTCTCTGCATTTTTGTTTGTTTGTTTGTTTGTTTTGAGACAGGGTCTTGCTCTGTTACGTAGGCTGGAGTGCGGTGCAGTGGTGCGATCTCGGCTCACTGCAGCCTTGACCTTCTGGGCTCTAGCGATTCTCCCACCTGAGGCTCCAGAGTGGCTGGACTCCTGAGTAGGTGGGACTACAGTTGCTTTCCACCACACCCGGCTAGCTTTTTTTTTTTTTTTTTTTTTTTTCTTTTTTCCTTTTTGAAGAGATGGGGTTTCACCGTGTTAACTAGGCTGGTCTGGAATTCCTGGGCTCAAGAGATCCACCTGCCTCGGCCTCCCAAGTTGCTGGAATTACAGGCGTGAGCCACCACGCCAGCCACTCTCTATATTCTTGAGGCCACATTTGATATTGTTGAAGCCAGTGGAGTCTTAGGAAATTATCAGCGTGGGTGGGTTGATTGAGTTTTCAGCTCTTTGAGTGACAGATTGCCAGTTGATGGGGTGAGAATGCATTACTCTTGCATCACGTGGTATAGGCACCTCCTTCCCAATATTAAGAATAATCCACTATAAGTAAATGTATGCACAGTATCAGATCGTATTTTTGGATGGAGGAAAAGGAAAACAATAAGATTTAATGAGACCATCTTTGAAATTCTTGATTTACAGTACCTGGTCTTATAACCGTATTCATGCCTGTTTTTAGAAATCATTTTGGGGCGGGTGTGGTGGCTCATGCCTGTAATCCCAGCATTTTGGGAATCTGACATAGGTGGATCACATGACGCCAGGAGTTTGAGACCAGCCTGGCCAACATGGCGAAACCCCATCTCTACTAAAAATACAAAAATTAGCTGAGTGTGGTGGCATGCACCTGTAATCCCATCTACTCAGGAAGCTGAGGCATGAGAATCCCTTGAACCCAGAAGATGGAGGTTGCAGTGAGCCCCAAGATAAGGCTACTGCACTCCAGCCTGGGTGACAGAGTAAGACTCTATCTCAAAAAATAATAATAATAATAATAATAATAAATTTGGATGTGAATATTTGTAGCATCCACCTGTGCTAAAGAATTCAGGTTACTTTTTTTCTAGCAAAGACTGTCTAACAGTGAATAATTATTTTAAGGAATTCACTACTCTAACATATTATAGACTCAAATGTAGAGATGAAATGCATTGTACAAATTGTTCATAATTACTTTGAAAAATATAGCTCCTTAGTATATAGAATGTGAGGGGTAGGCTGTAAGGCTAGATGGGTCATGGATATCACCTAATCTGGGTACATCTTAATTTTTCTGCTATCAGTGCCAAGCAGAGAAATGTTTCTAGATTGACATCTCAGTGCATTTTTCAGTGTCATCTGGGAATCCTTAAGTCTTTTCAGTAATCTGAGTGTTTATTATCCAGTCGCACACTACCATATTTGATAAAAATGGAGAAGCCGCCCATTTCATTAGTAGCACTCTGTAGCAAACCCAAGTTGCTTGAGAAAGTCGGCAAAGCAAGGAAACTGTTCTTTTTGTCTCCAGCTCCTCCTCTCCTTAGGACTCATAGCAGATTTAACTTCAGCATCAAAGCACCTCCCGTTCAAAGGCTGTTATTATGTGAGCCTTGCTAAATACAGAAGTTGTTTGTTCTGAATGACAGAAATAAGTATTGACCGGTTTATCCTCACATGCTTCAGATTCTCGGTGGGGATCGTAATGTGTTCTTTTCACATTCCGCCGTCGGGCTTTTCTCCCCCGACAAAGCGAGTATTATGCACACTTATAGCCATGATACCACACACTTAACTGTATGGAAATACAAACTTAACTTTGCTCTTTCGTTTTACCTTTCCTGGAGCTATAAACAGTAACATGCCATGGCTGCTGGTGAGCATTCAAAAGGCAAAGCAGTCTGTCTTCTCTGGAGTTCCTCTGTGCTTAGAGTAATATTTTCCCTGCTGGCTATTTAAAACTGCATATTTTAGATTCTCATTTCGGAGTGGCCCACCCCCATCCCACCAAACCCTCAAGAATCTGAAAGTCCATAATACTTCTTGAGTTCTGGTCAGTGTTTCCAGTGACTCAAAACCAACTGTAAAAGCCTCACATGGTGGGATCTGTGGAGCAGGGAGGAATCCTACACAAGGTTCTTTTCCTGTTTGGCCTTGCCCTTTCGGGTCCTGTTCAGAGAGGTCATTTGGAGAGCTGGAATTTCTGCTTGACAGCCTGAAATGCATGACATGGGTTTCCTGCTGTTGCATATAGTGCTGGGGTGGACCTGGTTTCAGGACACCAGGGAGCCTGGGGTCGGCTCACAAAACCCCCATTGTTCCTTTTCCATCTTCCTTTAGAAACCTAAAGATGTAATGTTCTCCGGGTCATCAGCAGCAGATTTTATTTTGACTTCAGGTCATTCACTGTTGAGCTCTGGAGTTGGCTCCCATTGTGTTAGGCTCTCATTGCTGTTTTCCCATCATGTGTTATCTGCGCCTTTTGACCCTAAATGCTTTCGATCTCATCAAGAACTCAGAAGTGATTCTTACCCTTTTTTCAAGACAAAAGGGACCTTGTTTTTCACACTCTATCAGATGCACCTAATTAGGGTATTACATGTTGTTTTCTGCTTGTTCCTTCCTATACCGCCATTCTGTAAGGAAATCCATCAGCTTCCTTAAGACTGTAGACCCCAATTCTCCAGGTTCAAGGTGGAAGGACGCTCCTAACTGAGGAAACGGACCTGTCAACCCCCACTCTTAGAAGATCTAGAACAGCACTGTCCAGGAGAACTGTCTGGATGATAGGAATGTTCTTTATCTGCACAGGCCAATACAGTAGGTACTGAGCACAAAAGATGAAGGAGCACCTGAAGTGTGGCCAGTACCACTGGGGAACTGAATTTGTCATTTTGTTTAATTTAAATTTAAGTAGCCACCGTATTAGCACAGATCTGGAGCCCACAGGGTTTGCCTGCAGAATTGGACAAGTGTAGACAGACAAGTGAGCATGTCTCCGCCAACACCACCATCTCTGTGTTCTTTAACAGGGCCGTGCCCAAGTTCATGAAGAGGATCAAGGTTCCAGACTACAAGGACCGGAGTGTGTTTGGGGTCCCACTGACGGTCAACGTGCAGCGCACAGGACAACCGTTGCCTCAGAGCATCCAGCAGGCCATGCGATACCTCCGGAACCATTGTTTGGATCAGGTGAGAGCGCTGCCTGCGGGTCCACGTACTCAGGGGAGCTCGGATTACATGCAGCTTCTTCTAGTTGTGTGGTGTAAACACTGCGTCCACGTGAATGTACCCCACACTTAGTGTTGCTCTTCCGACAGGTTGGGCTCTTCAGAAAATCGGGGGTCAAGTCCCGGATTCAGGCTCTGCGCCAGATGAATGAAGGTGCCATAGACTGTGTCAACTACGAAGGACAGTCTGCTTATGACGTGGCAGACATGCTGAAGCAGTATTTTCGAGATCTTCCTGAGCCACTAATGACGAACAAACTCTCGGAAACCTTTCTACAGATCTACCAATGTGAGTGTCCTTTGATCTTAAGATTGTTGGCATTGGGGAAAAATGGGACCAACTGAAGCTTGTAGCTTCCTTGATAGCATTCTTTTTTTTTTTGAGATGGAGTCTCGCTCTGTCATCCAGGCTGGAGTGCAGTGGCGTGACCTCGGCTCACTGCAACCTCTGCCTCCCAGGTTCAAGCGATTCTCCCACCTCAGCCTCCCAAGTGGCTGGGACTACAGGAGGGCGCCACCACGTCTGGCTAATTTTTGCATTTGTAGCAGAGATAGGGTTTCACCATATTGGCCAGGATGGTCTCGAACTCCTGACCTCAAGTGATCCTCCCACCTCGGCCTCCCAGAGTGCTAGGATTACAGGTGTGAGCCACCACGCCTGGCCTTGATAGCGTTCTTTTGACAAGAGAGTCTGCATGGTGACCTCTTGGAAACCCATGTCATCACCTTCTTCCTTGCCGCCTTGTTTGTGGAACAGGTTTCTGTGTAATTATTGAATGATGTGAAAATAAATTTCCCAGTCTCTAATGACTGATGCAATTGTACGTTTTTACGTGCAAAATGAAAAGTTAGACTTTCATTAGTTTCTAGAACAGTGTTATCTGAGCTGGTCAGATAAAGATCAGGTACGAAGATCTCTTTCTGTCTCCACCTTGTCTACAGAAATTTCAGTTGCTTCACACCCCTCTTGGAGGGCCGTTGGATTTAAAATTTCACAGGTGTCTGTGTGTTTTATCTTGCTGTAAAATGAATAAATAATCTTTTTCTGTTATTCATCTCAGTCTCTGCCAGAAATACTTGGGAGAACAATACCCATGCCCTTCTTACTTTTATGTAAAGCTTAAAGAAAACAGTTGTCGAAATTAATGATCAAGATCAGGATTATGGCTTTTACAGCCTTGTGTTTTTCTTGGCTCAGTGTGGTATTACAGCAACGTAATTTAAAAGCAGCCTCTCTTAGCGCTCAAATTGTCTCTAGGATTGGCACAGTGGACTTTATTTTATGAGAAATGGAGCTGGTCTGGATTATTTCATTGGTTGTTTCATCCTTTCATATTTTATAAAAACACAGGTCACATTTTCCTCACCGAGGTATTTGTTATGTGCTGTAACCATGGAGCTGTTTAATCAGTTTGTCCTATGGAGCTACATTTGAGTGACTTGATTTTTCCACCACATGCTCTTTTAAAGAGTTATGTATTCAAGGAGACCTGAAGATCGGGATCAGCATTTTCTACCTGTAGATTGTTTATGGGTTTATTTGCATTTTTATATATTTGCATATTCATATGCATTTTTATAGCCTCTCGAGCATGCTTTCTAAAACTTAAGAAATTACTAATTCAGTGTGTTTTATTTATTAATTGAACTGAACTGAATATTTTCAGTTCAGTTCAATTCAGAACTGAATATTTTAGCAGCTTTTCCCACTTCAAGAAGGAACAAATCAGTTAAACTCATGCAAATCTCCAGAGATACTGAACATTTTGTACTCAAGGCTGAGAGATCTCTGTTCTTACGTTCTTGTACATATCTCAGATAAGATTTTTCATCAACACTAAACAAAAGTGTATAGTGTTTTCAGTAATTGAGATTGATAAATTAGGGATTTTTTTTTTTCATGCTTAGGAAAGAAAAAACTGTTCTGTAAACTAAAAGAGCAGGCATCCTCTAGAGCCGAACTCTGAGGTGGATTTAAGAGTGTTTGGGTATTGTGGGTGTTTAAAAATTTTTTCACTCCTTCATGAGGCAGGAAATACTTGAGGATAGTGACGCCGGTGGCAATTCATAACTTTTACCGTATTAACCTCTAGTGCACTTTCTACAAGTGCTTGTTCAGTACTGGGCTGAGGTATTTGATGCCGATATTTGCTCTGGGACATTTCCTTGCAATGTCCATGCAAATTCACCAAGCTGATGGAGAAAGTGCTGGTGTCGTGCAGATGTGCCCAAGGACCAGCGCCTGCAGGCCATCAAGGCTGCCATCATGCTGCTGCCTGACGAGAACCGGGAGGTTCTGCAGACCCTGCTTTATTTCCTGAGCGATGTCACAGCAGCCGTAAAAGAAAACCAGATGACCCCAACCAACCTGGCCGTGTGCTTAGCGCCTTCCCTCTTCCATCTCAACACCCTGAAGAGAGAGAATTCCTCTCCCAGGTACGGGCTGCATGGGAGGTGCATGCACACAGGGGGCAGCCTACATTCTTCCTAGGACTCTCCGTAGCTGTGGTTTTGTGGGACTCTTTCCTGAAACAAGCAAGAAGGTTAGACCGCTATATTAGTCCATTCTCACACCGCTAATAAAGACATACCTGAGACTGGTCTGTTGGCGTGCATGAGAAAATAGTCTCACTGGACTTAACCCCCACAGACAAAATCCATCGAACTGATCCTTTTCCTCAGCTCTAAAGGAACTTGAAAAGTATTTCTTAGCTAGAGGCCTGGGGCCTAGTTATGCTAGTGCAGGTTAGGTTGCTTCTGAAAGTCATATAATGTTTAAATGTATGTTTAAATAGTTCCTTTTGAGACAGAGTCTTGCTCTGTTGCCCAGGCTGGAGGGCAATGGCACGATCTCAGCTCACTGCAACCTCTGCCTTCCAGGTTCAAGCCATTCTCCTGCCTCAGCCTCCCGAGTAGCTGGGACTATAGGTGCCTGCCACCACGCCCAGCTAATTTTTATATTTTTAGTAGAGACGGGGTTTCACCATGTTGGCCAGGCTGGTCTCGAGCTCCTGACCTTATGATCCACCCGGCTTAGCCTCCCAAAGTGCTGGGATTACAGGCGTGAGCCACTGCGCCCGGCCACATTTAAATAGTTCTTAAAGTTGACTGGGGCATTCCAACTGCAATGGGATACAGAGCTAGAGATGAGTAGAGGAGAGAGATCAAATAAGATGAAGACAAAAGGTCAAGGAAACAATGGACTTAGCCCTCACCTGTGGGAGGGGGCCTGTGTATTCAGGCAGATAAAGATGATGACACCCTTTACTCCAACTCCCTGGGACTCCTTTCCCACACTCCTCAGAAGTTGCTCCCCCACCATGCAAACACAGCCCCTACAAGCTGCCCTGTTCCCAGTAGGAACCTATTTAATTAAATGGTTTGAATCACCTGGATTTCATCAAAAGCATATCTCTTTAATGTTTTTTTGTGTGTTGTTGACAAAACTCTGAGATACTCTGGTGACCAAAGTAAAAACACTCTTAATCCACTTAACAATAAACAGATTCCAGTGAAAATTTTTTTTTCTCTCTTCTTTGGGTTTCCTTGAATAATACCTTGAAGAAAAATATATAAATATTTGAACTGTTCCCCTCCTGTATTTCTTCTACCTAGGGTAATGCAAAGAAAACAAAGTTTGGGCAAACCAGATCAGAAAGATTTGAATGAAAACCTAGCTGCCACTCAAGGGCTGGCCCATATGATCGCCGAGTGCAAGAAGCTTTTCCAGGTAAGGAATTGAGAAGTTTGGCTCCTTTATTAAGGATAATGTGAATAGGTACAAAATCTTAGGCTTGACCCTTGTTCATGTCTTACCTGAAGACCTTTTCCACAGCTGGAGACGGTATAAATAGCCTGAGAATGTCTTATTTACATATATTATAATGTATCAGCTAGAGTTAATCATGTTTAATGAAATTGTCCCTTTACTTGGAAAAGCAGCCGGGCGCAGTGGCTCACGCCTGTAATTCTAACACTTTGGGAGGCTGAGGTGGGTGGATCACTTGAGCTCCGGAGTTCAAGACCAACCCGGGCAACATGGTGAGACCTCATCTCTACAAAAAAAAATTTAAAAATTAGCCGGGTGTGGTGGTGCACACCTGTAGTCTCAACTACTTGGGAGGCTGAGGTGGGAGGATCACCTGAGCCCAGGGATGTGGAGGTTGCAATGAACCAATATTTTGCCACTGCACTCCACTAGGTAACAGAATGAAACTCTCTCTCAAAAAAAAAAAAAAGAAAGAAAGAAAGAAAAAGCAACAAATTATCTGGAATTAAACTGCTGTATCCACTTCCGTATCTGAGAAACCTGCTTTGACCAATGTAATTCACTCCCCCTACTCTAACTTTCCAAAGACCTTACATGGAAATAAGATTTCAGATACATTTATGGAGGTGATCTGTTCATATCCTCGTGATAACACGTGCGGTCAGCATGATAGCCCACCTCCGGCGGGAAGATGCCTGCACTGCTTTAAGGACCAGGCCATTGTTCCTACCCAGTCTTTTCCACTGATGGGCATTGAGATTGAGTACAGGTGGACTCACCTCCTTTCTGTCTGTCATGTTCCGCACAGGTTCCCGAGGAAATGAGCCGATGTCGTAATTCCTATACCGAACAAGAGCTGAAGCCCCTCACTCTGGAAGCACTCGGGCACCTGGGTAATGATGACTCAGCTGACTACCAACACTTCCTCCAGGACTGTGTGGATGGCCTGTTTAAAGAAGTCAAAGAGAAGTTTAAAGGCTGGGTCAGCTACTCCACTTCGGAGCAGGCTGAGCTGTCCTATAAGAAGGTAAGGCTTCACCCTGTTGTCGGCTAGTTGAGTCCAGGAGTCGAAGCTTGGGTCCATCAGAGATAACACGCTTTTGCCAACTAATCTGTCTGGGGATCTGTAGCCCACAACCTCCCTTGTAGAGCTGGGCACCGGGGTGAGTAAGATCCCCGTGGTGAGAGTGGAAACCGGGCAAAGCAAGAGTAATTTTCTTCCTGTGTAACACTTGGGAGAGGATTTCAACTATTTCTAATGAACTCCTTTGGCTCTACAGAATCACACTAGACTTCCCTAGAATGTTTTGCTAATGGCATTGAGATGCGGAACATCCTATGACACGCTTCGATTTTTCCATAATTTGGTCAGAATCCCTTTGCACTCTTCTCTGTTCTTAGTTACTGTTCTCTTGGCCCTTTAATGAGCGGGGATCCCTTAGGGGGAAATTAACTCCAGTTAGGACTGGTAAACCTCTTGAGGGCAGAGGCATCTTGTAAGGCTCAGCAGGATAGGTCCATCGGAGGTATATGTTGATGCCGCCTCTACCATCTTGAAAATAAACAAACAGTGGGAGTAGGCTGGGTGGCCTTGCCGGCTTTGGAAATGAGTGCAAATGTCTGATGTTTTTGTTTTTATTTATTTATATTTTTTGAGATGGAGTCTTGCTCTGTCACCCAGGCTGGAGTGCAGTGGCATGATCTCGGCTCACTGCAACCTCTGCCTCCCGGTTTCAAGCTATTCTCTTGCCTCAGCCTCCCGAGTAGCTGGCGCTACAGGTGCCCACCACCACGCCATGCTAATTTTTGTATTTTTAGTAGAGACGGGGTTTCACCATATTGGCCAGGCTGGTCTCGAACTCCTGACCTTGTGACTGCCCACCTTGGCCTCCCAAAGTGCTGGGATTATAGGCGTGAGCCACCATGCCCTGCCAGTGACTGATATTTCTTTATTGCATGCACTCTGATATAGGTCCCAGAAAAAAAAAAACAAATGTCATCATTTTTTTCTTTTTTCTTTTGAGATGGAGTTTCATTCTCATCACCCAGGCTGGAGTGCAGTGGTGTGATCTCAGCTCACTGCAAAGTGCCTCCTAGGTTCAAGTGATTCTCCTTCCTCAGCCTCCTGAGTAGCTGGACTTACAGGTGCCTGCCACCACGCCTGGCTAATTTCCATATTTTTAGTAGAGACAGGGTTTCACCATGTTGGCCAGGCTGGTCTTGAACTCCTGACCTCAGATGATCCACCCGCCTCGGCTTCCCAAAGTGCTGGGATTACAGGAATGAGCCACTGCACCCGGCTCAAATGTCATCATTTTGACTCGAGTTGACAACAGCTTTTTTTCACTTTCTGGCTTGCTCTTAAATATGCTTGGGGACAGCAGCCTATTTAAGTCATAGATTTATTAGCCCCCAATATTTCTTTATATACTGATTATATAGTATTATTTATATCATTTAATCAATTAACGTTGATTATATGTAACTAAAATTGTTAGTCTAACTAACAATTCGACTTCAAAAACTAGGTGTGTATGGATTGCCTTGGCACTGAAAAATACATCCTCTTTCCAGGTGAGCGAAGGACCCCCTCTGAGGCTTTGGAGGTCAGTCATTGAAGTCCCTGCTGTGCCAGAGGAAATCTTAAAGCGCCTACTTAAAGAACAGCACCTCTGGGATGTAGACCTGTTGGATTCAAAAGTGATCGAAATTCTGGACAGCCAAACTGAAATTTACCAGTATGTCCAAAACAGTATGGCACCTCATCCTGCTCGAGACTACGTTGTTTTAAGGTGAGCGCTTCCCAGTTGTTTTTTTGTGACAAGGATGACTCCATATATGAACCAAGCCTATATGTCACTGATCTTACAAGATGGTATAATTATTTAAAGTAGAGGCCGGGCATATGGTGGCTCACACCTGTAATCCCAGCACTCTGGGAGGCCAAGGTGGGAGGATCACTTGAGGCCAGCAGTTCAAGACCAGCCTGGGTAATATAGCAAGACCCTATCTCTACAAAAAAATTTTAAAAATCAGCTAGATGTTGTGGTGCATGCCTGTAGTCCTAGCTACTCGGGAGGCCGAGGCAGGAGGATCCCTTGAGCCAGGAGTTTGAGGCCGCAGTGAGCTGTGAGCATGCCACTGTACCGCAGCCTGGGCAACAGAGCAAGACCTTATTTCTGAATAAACAAAACAAAACATATGCTTCCAGAAAAGTAGTGAACACCTTCAAATATGGAAAACAGATCTACATTTATTCTAGCAGTGTGTTCCTCGCTGAGAATGGTCTGAACTCTTTGGTAACTGAGCTCAGAAAGAGAGGCCCCTTCCAATGAATATGCTCATTCGTAGCAGATTTTTGCCCCTTTTAGGATAGATTTTCTTGTCAGAAACAGCTAGTGAATGAATAAGCCAGGAAATAACATTTGAGTCCCAAGGGAGATGTGGTTAAGGCTGATGTATGTGTAATTCATAAATTCTCTGGAGATATTACTGAAAGAAGAATTCCAAAAATCTTTGTGGAAATGTCACATTGGAAGTCCAGACCTTTTCAAACAGCCAGCGCTCCTTTAGGTGTCTGTGTTCCAAGACATTTGTGAAATAGAAAAATGGTTTTAAGCTACACTTCAAATGGGCTCTTTTTTCAAAGAGGAGACTGTCTGAGCACATAAACCCTCTGTAACAACGGCTCTGTACAGAGTTCCTCATTCAGCAGTCCTTGTACAGTGTCTTCGTGCATGTAATGCTGCTCTAACAGAATCTCACAGACCAGGCAATTATAATGAACAGATATTTATTTGGCTCATGGTTCTAAAGGCTGGGAAGTTCAAGATCAAGTAGTTGCATCTGGTTAGTTGGTTGGTTGTTTGATTGATTTGGGGACATGGTTTCATTCTGTCACCAAGGCTAGGGTGCAGTGGCACACTCATGGCTGCTGAAGCCTTCACCTCCCAGGCTCAAGCAATCCTCCCCCCTCAGCCTCCCAAGTAGTTGGGACTGCAGGCATGTGCCATCACACCTGGCTAATTTTTTTGTTTCTGGTAGAGACATGGTGTCACCATATTGTCCAGGCTGGTCTCAAAACTCCTGGGCTCAAGCGATCCTCCTACCTCAACCTCCCAAAGCGCCGGGATTACAGGCATGGGCCACCCACCATGCCTAATGAGGGTCTTTTTGCTGTGTCATCCCATAGTGGAAGGGCAAAGAGAGGGCAAGGGAGAGCAAAAGAGCAAATGTGCAGCCTCAAGCCATTTTTATTTTTATATTTATTTATTTTGAGATGGGGGGGTATCACTTTGTTGCCCAAGTTTGAGTACAGTGGCATGATTACAGCTTAAGCAATCCTACCATCTCAGCCCCCGGAGTAGCTGAGACTACAGGAGCACACCACCATGCCCGGCTAATATTTTTTATTTTTAGTAGAGATGAGGTATCACTATGTTGTCCAGGCTGGTCTTGAACTCCTGAGCTCAAGCAGTCCTCCCTCCCCAGCTTCCCAAAGTGCTGGGATTACAGGCGTGAGCCATGGAACCCAGCCTTAAGCTCTTTTATAATTGGCATTAATCCAGCTCCCATTAGGCCCCACCTCCCAACACTGTTGTATTGGGCATTCACTTTCCATCACATGCTTTTTGGGGAACACATGTACACCATAGCAAGTAGTTTAGAGGATGCCATTTACCTAGGCCTGGGTCACACAGCATGGCCACTGAGCCTGACCCGTCACCACACTGCAAATAGTGAAGAGTGAAGCACGATTTTAAACTTGGCTTCTATGAAATTCCATCATTTCTGCCTCTGGTTTTGTCTCTACAGAACCTGGAGGACTAATTTACCCAAAGGAGCCTGTGCCCTTTTACTAACCTCTGTGGATCACGATCGCGCACCTGTGGTGGGTGTGAGGGTTAATGTGCTCTTGTCCAGGTATTTGATTGAACCCTGTGGGCCAGGAAAATCCAAACTCACCTACATGTGCAGAGTTGACTTAAGGTATGTTCTGATTCTGATTTTTTTATATGGTGAGGGTCATGAAGGAAATTCTGACTTTTTGTCTAATGCAAAGAATGCCTTAAACAAACACGTCATTTTTTCTTGGTGACTTCATGAAGAATGGTGTTTAGAAAGTAGCATTTCATGTTTGTTGGTCTTTCAGCGACCACTTCGTAATTTGGTTCCCTTAGAAAATGTGGTTCTAAAGCAAAGCAAATATGGTAGCTCGGCCATGAATTCAAAGGCATGGGAAATGATAGATTTTATGCATTTGAACTAGCAAACAGATGTTTCTCATTTTATTTCCATGCTTTCTAACTTAAATAATTCATCAGCTTTTCTTTCTTTTCTCTGATAGGGGCCACATGCCAGAATGGTACACAAAATCTTTTGGACATTTGTGTGCAGCTGAAGTTGTAAAGATCCGGGATTCCTTCAGTAACCAGAACACTGAAACCAAAGACACCAAATCTAGGTGATCACTGAAGCAACGCAACCGCTTCCACCACCATGGTGTTTGTTTCTAGAACTTTTGCCAGTCCTTGAAGAATGGGTTCTGTGTCTAATCCTGAAACAAAGAAAACTACAAGCTGGAGTGTAGGAATTGACTATAGCAATTTGATACATTTTTAAAGCTGCTTCCTGTTTGTTGAGGGTCTGTATTCATAGACCTTGACTGGAATATGTAAGACTGTGCAAAAAAAAAAAAAAAATTTATGTGTATTCTTATTCAAATTGCTTCTGAGAAGCAAAACTCTTTAAATACATTATGGAAGATAATGAAGATACTTCATTCTCTTGTGATATCAGTGTATGCGTACCTGTGTCGCTTTATTTGCAGTGTGTTGAGGGACTGGTGTATCCACTGGAATAGTTGGTACTCTTGGATGTGTTTTCTCACCAAGATGAGCAAAGAAAGGTTTGCACAGAGGAGTGTGAATGTGTGTTTGTTGCTGGCTGAATGGCAATAGATGTCTAAGGTGGATTCAGTGTCTGGCACACTGAGACACCTCCAAGAAGGAGATTGATGCATCAGGTTCAGTTTAACCTGGAATATCTGACTACCCCTGAATCCACCCAGAAAGGGGGCCCAACACCCTTGTCCATTTATGGGTATTTTTTTTCGAAGTTATTAAGCATATTCCTTTTCCACGAACCTCTTCTGTACTTTGATTGTAATAGGTTGGCTCTTACACCCATTCCAAATGCAGTTTATTTTTAGACCCGATTGCAAATAGTGATGTAGTTTTAACCAGTATGGATTAGTTCAGGGATGAACTGCTCCCTCTAGCCTTACTGGCTCTGATCCACAGGGTTTTGTTTTGTTTTGTTTTGTTTTTTGTTTAAGTCGAGATATAAAAACTGAACACGATAACACTTACTCTTAAATCAAGCATCAACACTTTTTCCCTGTTAGAATTCTTTGCATTTTTGTGTTTGTAACAGAAACGCCTTAAGACACTATGTTTGGGAATATAGGAAACTATGTGTGTCCCAAGGAAATCCCTGTAAATTTAACTCACCTACAAAAGGCTTTTTCCCCGCCTTTGGTTGTTAACGGCATTCCTGAAAGCCACATGTGTTTATTCATTGGGCTTGTTCTTATCAGCAAATAGGTTTTCTGGTTTTATGACTTTTTGTCTTATTTTATTTTTCCTACATTTCTTTTTTTTTTTTTTTCCTTTAGAATGCCCTGGAAATATATTTAAGTGGTAATGAAAAATAGTAATCATAGTAAAACGCAACAAGAAGAAAACCAACCCAAACCAGTGAAGTTTTTTAGAACCTTTAGAAGGGTGGTCTTTATTCAGGTTTTACTGTAATGGTAAGGATTGACTCAAGAGACAGTATTAGTAAATTTATTGTGTATGGATCAAAAGTGAATAATGTATGAATGAGAGCTGTAAGAAGGATTTTTATTTTGTTATAATTTAGTTACCATTTTCAGTGTTATTTCAAAGGTTCTTTGAAGAATTTTGGGGCAGGGCATCAGATTAGAGTTTTAAAATTTGAGTATTTTGGATATCAGTGTTCCTCATGAAGATATACATGGATATTCAATTTTGATGGCTTCCAGATTTGTAAGATTGTATGTTGTATATACCATTCTATTAAGAAACATGTCCACTGTGCTTTCAAACATAGATAAAGCATGATAAAGATTATTATTTAAGATATACTTGTATTTATACCTCAGATATTCTTTTGGGTTTTGTACCTCAAGGCTTTTTTCTTCTTATTGTAAATACACTTTACGTGAATACAGTCTAAGTGAAGAAAATAAATAAAAGGAAGAGGTTTATAACTTGCTCTATATCTGTACAGATTATAATCAATAAGTGCACTATTATTAAATGTTTAAAGTAAGGGAAAAGTCTGGGCTGCCTTCCTTAATATTGCATCTCACTCCCACCCTTAAAACCACAGATTGCAAAGCATAGCATTTTAGCATCAACTACAATCAAAAGAGCGATTTGCTGAAGGAAAAATCGGACTGCAAATCATTCCAAGGCCAAACTGCAACTGAGCCACCCACTCCCAAACAGGAAACCCTGGTGAAGGTTCAGGAAGCACGGAGATTCTCTCCAACAAAGGTCCAGTTAGGAAACGACGCTGAGAGGATGACGACAACGTGCAACAGCAGAAAGATGCTTGCAAGCAGAGTCAGGGTCACCAGTGAATGCCACAAAAGTTCTCTTTCCCACTGTTTAATTTGACAAGAGAAGAATTTGAAGGATATGAACATTTTCAAGAACTCTGCTGAGGTCACTTAGAGCGCCATCACAACTTATTTGTGTGACTAATTGCCTAGATTGTAAGCTCTTTGAGGGCAGGGCTTGTCTCTTACACATCTTTATAATCCCCTGCAGCGGCTTTCAGTATTTTGTACTTGTAGGCACCTAATAAATTTATTATTTGCTATACTGAACTGATTGGATTAGCTTCTGTTACTGCAAAGGGAAGAGCATCTAGGATCCCGATCATCTTAAAGCCTCCTTTTCATTCACTGCTGATTTTCAGATGACAGAGACTGGAAATTTCCAACTTCATGGGACTTTTTTTTTTTTTTTTTTTTTTTTTTTTTTTGAGATGGAGTCTCTGTCTGTCGCCGAGGCTGGAGTGCAGTGGCGCGATCTCGGCTCACTGCAAGGTCCACCTCCCGGGTTAACGCCATTCTCCCACCTCAGCCTCCCCAGCAGCTGGGACTACAGGTGCACGCGGCCACGCCCGGCTAACTTTTGTATTTTTAGTAGAGATGGGGTTTCACTGTCTTAGCCAGAGTGGTCTCGATCTCCTGACCTTGTGATCCACCCGCCTCGGCCTCCCAAAGCACTGGGATTACAGGCGTGAGCCACCGCGCCCGGCCACTTCATGGGATCTTAAGTTTTAAACTGAAAAAGACAAATTAACCTGTTGGAGTCTTAAATTTAAACTGATGAAGGTGACATAGATACTATATATAGATACTATGGCTACTGATTTTAAACAGTTTGTGATGGCATTTTAACAAATCACATGTCTCCCAATGTGATGTCTATCCTAGAAGAGGTTGTATTTCAACAAATACTTACTTTGGGCATAGAAAAAGGTTGGTGGGGGGGGGGCCCTAACCTTATAATCCGTTTTGTTTTGTTTTTTTTGTTTTGTGATTTGTTTGTTTTCGAGACAGGGTCTCACTCTGTTGCCCAGGCTGGAGTGCAGTGGTATGATCAAGGCTCACTGCAGCCTTGACCTCCCTGGCTCAAGCGATCCTTCCAACTCAGCCTCTCAAATAGCTGGGACTGCAGGCGCATACCACCACACCCAGCTAATTATTGTATTTTTTGTAGCAATGGGGTTTCACCATGTTGCTGAAGCTGGTCTCGAACTCCTGGACTCAAGCGATCCCCCACCTCGGCCTCCCAAAGTCCTGGGATTACAGGCATGAGCCACCATGCCCAGCCTTCCCCTTATCATTTTTTAAAAGACACACACACACACACACATCAGGGACTTTTTTTTTTTTTTTTGACTCTTCAAACCTGGTTTGTTCAGAGCTGTATAAAATAAAGATCAAAATATCATAGGCCTGAATACCTAGTACTTTATTTGAAGAGACCGGGAGTCATTGGTTCCCAACAGTTTACAAGGTTACCAAGGAGGGAGTAGCCACCCTCACAAGCCCCCAGTGTGGATTTAGATTGCTCTTATCACACCACCTACTACTTGCTTAATCAACACATTTTGTCAGTTTTTCACCAACTATGTATCCGGCACGAGATCAAGCTGTGAGCAAGGCTGGTATCACCCTGCCCTTGCAGAATTAAAATCTGCCCTCACAGATTTTTAAAATAGAAATGTCAGTGCCACGTGATGAGCACTAGGACAGGTTCCTATGCACTCAGAAGGAGAAGCTAAGGGTTTAACAAAGCTCAAGGTAATTGTTTTACACACTCCAAGCATCCTATCTACCAATTTAATGGAATAAGTTGGGAAAATCTAACAACATTACATGATTCTTTAAGAGATTTGTTTTCAGGGCTGTGGAGACAACTGAAATTTCTGAAAAGTAAGATCTAAAGAAAAATGAAGGAAGACAATAATCCGATATAGGTACTTTCCAACATCACTAGATAGGGGAGTGCAGAAAGAGAGAGGTTATAGGGGTATGGGGGATTTTACAGCTGCATTCATGTGTCTTTACAGCACTTTTATCCTCTTTTCATATGCTTACTTAAGCCTCACATGCACCCCGTGAAGCCTACATGTCCTCACCATTCTATGGCTAATTTTTGTATTTTTAGTAGAGACAGGGTTTCACGATGTTGGCCAGGCTGGTCTCGAACTCCTGACCTCAAGTGATCCGCCTGCCTAGACCTCCCAAACTGCTGGGATTACAGGCATGAGCCACCATGCCCAGCCCCCTACCTGCTCCTTTTCTCTGGCGACTTGTGGATTTAGTAATACCCTCCCTCTTTCCCCCACCAACCAGCCTTTCCCCTTTAAATACTGAAGCCTCAAAATCATCTTTGCAGAAATTCACAGACCTGTCTTCCAGGCATTGTCCTTAACCTTGGCAAAATAAACATCTACATTGATTGAGACCTGTCTCAGATACTTTTTGGTTTATGCCACCTGAGTCAGCGTCCCAAGGAAATTCTGTCACCCTATTACTAAGATGACAGGAGAATTTAAATCGGTGAAGATAAGTAGGAGGAGAAAGTTTCATTTCAGGCTGATGGTTGAAAGACTTTGTAGGTCTGTCTCGTAAATCAAATATGATTTGAAGTGTAGAAAGACTCCGCTTATCCTCCTTGTGACACATAGGACCTGATTCTCCCCTTGTGCAAGAACAGAACAGTTAATTACACATGTGGTCTGATCACAGCACACCCATTCTCTCTTATCATGCATTTCTTAGTGGGTACACGGGAACATCTACTGACAGGCTTCTTAACTTGCAGCCCAGGACCAGAATACCAGTCTTGTAACTCTTCCTGCAATACCGCATAATGCCCTCACCACCACACAAGAATATCAGGAAGCGCCACAGAGATATTTGTGAAGGTGCTTTGAAAAGCAAGGGTTATTCAGCTGTGAGGGAGCACTCAGGAAAGCAAAGTGGAACTGAGCCCAGCTGCTTTCCCTCCCCTGCCTGTTGAAGCATATGTTAATGACTCTAAAGCAGAAATCCCAAACAATGAGATCATGCCATGCATGTCATCTTGGTGTTCCATCAGGATGAAATTTGCCTAAGGAATTTAAATTCCATTTGCCTAAGGAATGCAAATTATAACAGATCTCAAAGAGCCTGTGGCAGGAAAAGCTCAGGTAGGTCTGCACAGTTGCAATGAGTTTGGGCCCATTCTCTAGGGGATGATGAGACTTTTGCAGGCAGGGAGTTTGCTAAATCATGTTAGTAGCTGTAGCCCAAAGTAATTACCTTTGCTGTATATACACAGGTCCCATGAGAGCAGCTGGCTTCTCTGTCCGGACTCAAGGCTGTGTTGACACCTATAGTAATAAACACCTTTCTGCACACATTTTTCAGCCACTGGATTTTTTTTTTTAAAGGGGAGGGGAGTTCAGGGCTAAAAGTGTTACAACTCATAAGGTCTTCTCATTTCCTTTTCTCTCTCGTTTTTTTTTTTTTTTTAATTTTTTTTTTTTGAGATGGAGTCTCACTTTCTCTGTCATCCAGGCTGGAGTGCAGTGGCGTGATCTCAGCTCACTGCAACCTCCTCCTCCTGGGTTCAAGAGATTCTTCTGACTCAACCTCCCAAGTCGCTTGGATTACAGGTATGCACCACCATACCTGGCTAATTTTTGTATTTTTAGTAAAGACGAAGTTTCACCATGTTGGTCAGGCTGGTCTCAAAGTCTTGACCTCAAGTGATCCGCCCACCTTAGCATCCCAAAGTGCTGGGATTTCAGGCATGAGCCACCACGCCCAACCTCTCTTTCCTATTAAGATACAAAACAGCAGCCAGGAGTGGTGGCTCACGCCTGTAATCCCAGCACTCCAGGAGGCCGAGGCAGACAGATCACGAGGTCAAGAGATCGAGACCATCCTGGCCAACATGGTCAAACCCCGTCTCTACTAAAAATACAAAAATTAGCTGGGCGTGGTGGCGGGCGCCTGTAGTCCCAGCTGCTCGGCAGGCTGAGGCAGTAGAATCAGTTGAACCCGGGAAGGCAGAGGTTGCAGTGAGCCCAAGATCATGCCCTGCACTCCAGCCTGGCGATAGAGTGAGACTATGTCTAAAAAAAAAAAAAAAAAATTACAAAATATTGTGGAAAGGAAAAACCTTACTCTTTTTATGAATCTGAGAATGGCACTCACCAACATGATAAGTGATGTGTTTCTGCAAAAATAGTCTGATTTACAAGGAAGTCATTTCAAAAGCTTTTTGGATTACAGGCACTTTTAAAATACAAATGTGTTCGGCCCAAGTCTGAATGGACATGCTGTGAACTACCATTTATTATAATATTATAATGCACCGGGCAAGAGAATATGTGCTTTATATACAGTTAATATCTCATTTCAATTTCATAGTACCAGGCGTGGTGGCTCACACCTGTAATCTGTAATCCCAGCACTCTGGGAAGCTGAGGCAGGTGGATGGTTCCAGCCCAGGAGTTTGAGACCAGCCTGGGCAACATGGCAAAACCCCGTCTCTACAAAAAGTACAAAAATTAGCTGGTCATGGTGGCCTTCCTGCAGTCCCAGCTACTCTAGAGGCTGAAGTTGGAGGATTGCTGGAGCCCAAGAAGTGGAAGCTGCAGTGATCATGCCACTGCACTCCAGCCTGGGTGATAGAGTGAGACCCTGTCTCAAAAAATAATAGATAAGTACATTTCATAGCAGCCTTTTGAGGGAGAGAACTTATTAGCCTCATTTTACAGATGGAAAAGTTTAAAGAGATAGGAAAGCTTAAAGAAATATAGTAGCTACATAATATTTACAAATGGACTCAAGAAATTGTAGGGCAGTACTTAGAACATTCTGCCATGCTGGAGATGTTCCTTATCTGCCCTGGCTAATATGGTAGCCACTAGCACATGTGGCTGCAGCTTGTGTAACTGAGGAGTTGAATGCTTCATTTTATTTAATCTTTTATTAATTTAAACCTAAATAGCCTCATGTGGCTAGTGGGTACTGTATTTGGGTAATGCAGATGCTATTTCAAAGATCTAAGAATATTTCCAAGCAATCTAACCCCTGTCACTCTCTTGGCCTATATAATAATGCTCTTAAGAAAGAAACAGGAAGGGTGCGGTAGCTCACACCTGTATCCCAACACTTTGGGAGATGGAGGAGGGAGGATCACTTGAGCCTAAGAGATCGAGACCAGCCTGGGCAACATAGGGAGACCCCATCTCTACAGAAAAAAAAATTAAAAATTAGCTGGGCATGGTGGTTCAGATCTGTACTCCCATCTACTTGAGAGGCTGAGGTGGGAGGATCGCTTGAGCCCAGGAGTTTGAGGCTGCGGTGAGCTAGGATCCCACCACTGCACTTTGGCCTGGGCAACAGAGTAAGACCCCATGTCAAAAAAAAAAAGAAAAGAAAAAGAAAAAAAGAAAGAGAGAGGAGAGGAGAGGAGGGGAAGAAAGAAAAAAAGAAAGAATAAAGAAAGAAAGAAAGAAAGAAAGAAAGAAAGAAAGAAAGAAAGAAAGAGAGAGAGAGAGAAAGAAAGAAAAAAAGAGAAAGAAGGAAAGAAGGAAGGAGAGAAAGAAAAAGAAAGAAAGAAAGAGAAGGAAGGAAGGAAAGAAAGGAAAAGAAAGGAAGGAAAGAAAGAGAAAGAAAGAGAGAAAGAAGAGAAAGAGAGAAAGAAAAGAAATGAACAGAAATACGGTAAAAATTTGTAAAAACCTAACTGGCCATATTTCAGGTCAGATAACATCAACTCAACATTCTGCCTGCCACAAGACTAAAACGGTATCTCCACCACCTATGGCCAGCCTCCACATTCCTCAAGCCAGAGTTGGATGACCTCTTTTCTTTGCTGCTATGGAATCTACACATCTCCAAACTAGAGATAAAAACGCAGCTGATCCGAAAAGAATGCCTAGTAATTCAGACTATTCTCAGCTTGCTGTGACCCTCGCAGACATTGCTGTTCCAGCAACCACAGAGATCATTTTGTGGTCTGTTCCTGTCATTTTGCATGTCTGTTCGCTTGTCTCTGGTATCGTGGCTTCTTTTCATGTTGGTAAGACTGGCCATTCAACAGCAGCATTCAGAGCCCAGAGTCAGCTTTGATGGAAGGAGTTCCTGATCCAGGTTTGATAAGAGAGGTCTGCACCCAAAAGTCAGCAGTAACAATTCTGAGACAAAGACGCATCTTCCACAGTGGTTTCTAGACTTTCACCTCCAAAGGATTTTTGTTATATTCCTTAACCTGCTCCACCTTTTCCATAGTTTTCAAATATTTCTCATATTACACAGTATAATTGTTTGAGGAAGTAATGTATTCATTTTCTTATTTTCAGCGTATACACGTATTATTTACAACTGCTAATCAAGGCTAGAAGCCTCTCAGAAAGAAGTGTGAAATAACTTTTATTGTCACACAATTTGAGCGTTCTCAGTGAAAAGCAGTTTTCTAAGGCTTTTAAAACTGAAGGCTGTGGGATCTTAAAATCAAAACAATTGAATTCATGGATGTAGTAGGATTGTTACCAGAGGCTGGGAAGGGTAGTGGGGAAAAGTGTATATGGTTAATGGGTACAAAACAAAATAGTTAGAAGGAATGACTAAGACCTACTATTTGATAGCACAACAGGGTAACTATAATTAATAATAACATAATTGTACATTTTAAAATAACCTAAAGATTGTAATTGGATTATCTGTAACACAAAGGATAAATGCTTGAGGGGATGGACACCCCATTCACTATGATGTGATTATTTTACATGGCATGCCTGTATCAAAGCATCTCATGTACCCCATATCTATATACTCCTACTATGTACTCAGAAAAATTAAAAATTAAAAACTTTTTTTTAAAACCTCAAGACTGTCCAACGCCATTCACTTCAACGATCTCAAGTCTGTAGCCCAGTGAAGGTTCCTGGCTCTCTTAATCACTCGGCACAGGAGGTGATTAATCAAGGAAATGGAGGATTTAACATCTGTCCCAGAGAAAACAGTTTTCCTTACTTCCGGGGCCAGCAGATAGAATGTATTTTTTTTTCAATAACAAAGATAAGCGGAGCTCTATTTTGTTGCAGTGTTTCAAAACGTAAACATATAAATAGATCATTAATATCATTCCAAGAAAGCAGGAAATTCTTAGTCACACGGTCTGTAATGATTATTAAAGCAAGGAGGAAACGCTGAAATATCTCAAAGAGCTAGAGAATATTTCACCCCAAGATGCAGAATACTGAAAATAGAATATGTTTCTGAGCTACCTTATGGAAAGGAAAGAAGATACTAAAATTCTGGAAGAAAGCAGACCTGGCTGGTAAGGCAGGATGAGGGTAAAGCTCTTGGTTTGGTGGGGGGATTTGATTGCTTTTTATTTTGTTTTAGCCAACTTAATCCCACAAACATTTTTGGGTCAGATTAATATTTGCCACCATAGGCATATCCCATAGCCCAGTGGCCTTCTACTCTGAGAGACCCAACAGTTCCATCCCTTTTGGATGAATGACTTCAGTGGCTCATTCAGCCTAAGGTCAAGCTGCCTTTCAGACGACCCATGGGCATTTACATTTCAGAATTGCATTTTTTGGCGATTTTTGAACAGAGTCATTTCATGACATAGGAGACCTAACAGAATAAGAAAACCATTTCAAAGACTAACTCCTTTTGTTTGCTTTCATTCACTTCCTAGTTTCCTCTGATTCTAAGCCCATTGAATCCCAAGAAAAGAACAAATAGAGATAAAATCAGGAAATATAAAAAACAGCATCCTCCAAATAAAACCAGACTCTCATTTAAGCAACAGTAAAAGGAAGAACCAGTCTCTGAAGGAAGCAAACAAAAGAAGGACCAGGATAAGGTTTCTTTTTCTTTTTCTTTCTTTTTTTTTTTTTTTGGACAGGTATTGCCATGTTGGCCAGGCTGATCTCGAACTCCCGGGCTTAAAGAGATCCACCCACCTCGACCTTCCAAAGTGCTGGGATCACAGGCTTGAGCCACAGTCCACGGCCCAAGGCAAGGTTTCTCATGATCAAAATAGACTTGCAAAAATTCCTGAGTCTACATCACACCTCTGTGCTTGGAGACACCAAAAGAGCCAGACTCCCTTTCTTAGGCTGCCTGAGAGAATGCGATTTCTTATTTCAATTCTTACACTGACTCTAGGCCTTCTTTTCTCATCTTCTTGGTATTCAGGCTTTCATTATCTGGCCCATGTTCCTTCACCCAAATGCCTTCTCTCTCTCCGTGACTTTTTCTCTCTTGCCTCCTTCAAGCCAACATTAGGACTCCAGGGCCCTCCCGGGGCCTCAAGTGGTCCCTGCTCGCTGTGTCTTCCCTCCATCCTTTCCTTGTTTTTCTCTCTCTTCATCTTTCACACCTCCATACACCTTCCCTTCCTATCCCATGATCTCTTAAAAAAAAAAAAAAAAGATTTTTAGTTTCAGCAGATTGCAGTGGCTCACACTTGTAGTCCCAGCACTCTGGGATGCTGAGGCCAAGGCTGGCAAATCACCCGAGTTCAGGAGCTCGAGACCAGCCTGGCCAACATGGTGAAACCCCGTCTCTACTAAAGGTACAAAAATTAGTCTGGCGTGGTGGCATGTGCCTGTAATCCCAGCTACTCAGGAGGCCAAGTCACGAAAATCACTTGAACCTGGGCGGCAGAAGTTGCAGTGAGCCAAGATTATGTTTCTTATGTTTCTATTAATTTAAAAATATTCATAATCCCAGCACTGTGGGAGGCCAGTGTGGTTGGATCACTTGAGCTCAAGAGTTCAAGACCAGCCTGGATAAAGATGGTGAAACCCCATCTCTACTAAAAATATAAAAATTAGCCAGACTTGGTGGTTAGCACCTGTAGTCCCAGCTACTCGGGAGGCTGAAGAATGCGAATCGCTTGAACGTGGGAGGCGGAGGTTGCAGTGAGCCGAGATTGCACCACTGCACTCCAGCCTGGGCGACAGAGCAAGACTCGTCTCAAAATAAATGAATATATAAATAAATAAAAGTACTCAGACTATCTCTGCTAGATAGGCTGAGGATTTATTTATCTTTTGTCCCCTTTAAAAAGGGAGAACTGGCAGGGTGCAATGTTTCATATCTGTAATCCTAGTGCTTTTGGAGACTGAGACAGGAGGATTGCTTGAGAAGAGGAGCTGGAGACCACTCTGGGCAACATAGCAAGATCCCTTCTCTACAAAATATTTTTTAGAAGTTAGCCAAGAGTGGTGGCATGCAGCTGTAATCCCAGCTACTCAGGAGGCTGAGGCAGGCGGATCACTTGAGCCCAGGAGTTTGAGGCTGCAGTGAGCTATGATTGCACCCCTGCACTTCAGCCTGGGTGACAGAGCAAGATCCCATCTTTAAAGAAATGAAAATAAAATAAAACAAAAGTATTCAGACTATCTCTGCTAGATAGGCTGAGAAATTCCTTATCCTTTGCCCCCTTTAGGAAGAGAGAGCTATCTAAAGTCATTATAGAGGGAATACGGCAGGAGGCAGTTGGGTGATAGGTAGAGAGCCAATGGGCCTCAATAAATTAGACAGATGAAGACACAGCTATAGGGTGGTGGTTAGAGAAAGTAGATTTGGGCAAAATTTTCTTAAGTTCAGGGGCCTATATGCAGTTTTAAAAACAAAGGACATTTGCCAATGGAGAGAGAAATAGCAAAGACGCCATGAGGAAAGAAATACACAGAGCATCAAAGTCACGAAAGATGCCTTCCTTTGGAACAGTAGAGAAAGACAGGGTAAGAAAGTATCTTCCTATGCAAGAGACTTGGGGGCCACGGAATCAGAGAATGTTGACTTGGATGGCATTTTCAAGATGGCCAAATCTAAGCACCTAATTTTCTAGAAGTGGAAACAGGCTTAGAGAGGCTAAGATTTTCTTTATTTTTGTTGTTTTGTTTTGTTGTTTTCAGAGATGGGATCTGGCTATGCTGGCCAGGCTAGAATGCAGTGGTTGTTCATAGGCACAGTCACAACACACTGCAGCCTAGAGCTCTTAGCCTCAAGCAATCCTCCCACCACAGCCTTCAGAGTAGCTGAGACTACAGACAGGAGCCACCACACTGCTTTGCCCAAAGGATTTTTTTTTTTTTGAGATGAAGTCTCGCTCTCTTGCCCAGGCTGGAGTGCAGTGGCACGATCTCAGCTCACTGCAACCTCCGCCCGCAAGGTTCAAGAGATTCTCCTGCCTCAGCCTCCCGAGTGTCACCTGGGATTACAGGCAGGTGACACCTCGCCTGGCTAATTTTTGTATTTTTAGAAGAGATGGGGTTTTGCCATGATGGCCAGGCTGGTCTTGAACTCCTGACCTCAGGTGATCTGCCTGCTTCAGCCTCCCAAAGTGCTGGGATTACAGGCGTGAACCACCGTGCCCAGAACCCTTGCCCGAAGGTTTTAAATGACAGCAGTAAATGGGCTAGAAGTCAGGTTTGGATGACAACAGTTATTCTGGAGGAACTTTAGGTTGGTTCCCCGCTGCCCAGCAACATAGTAGATGAGTGTTTCAGTTGTAGTCATTTTTCTCAGGGTTTACCTCCACCAAGGTGCCCGGGTCTGACTTTCATTCAAAACTCAGATTCTCCTAGCGCAGGGCCCTACTTCCTACCAGCCAGCGATGTGTCCTCTTTCTCTACTTTTACTCCCCTAAAGCTATGACTATCCATTGGGTTGCATGAATAATGTTCATTTAAGCAGGTAGGTCTGCACAGTTCTAATTTTTCCAGGCATTATCTTATTTAACCCTCACCACAAAAGAAACAATGAGATTGGAGGTCGTATTATTCTATGTTACAAATGGAGAAAGCAAAGTACAGCTAGGCTAAGTTCTCCAGGGTTCCCTGTGAAATTCATCACACAAAGCCTTAGGAACAGCCCCTGGCACATGCTAAGCCCCGGTATCTGTTAGGTATTATCTTTATGGTTGTACTAGAGGCCATGTCATGTAGCAGGTGGGAGCCTGGACTCTGGAGCCAGATTCTCTGGGGTCAAACCACCATTTATACTAGCTATGTGCTCTCGAGGAGACAGAGGTAATAACAATAAAGAAATTAGTACTCAGCCAGGCGCGGCGGCTCACGCCTCTAATCCCAGCACTTTGGGAGGCCAAGGTGCGCAGATCACGAGGTCAAGAGATGAGACTATCTTGGCCAACATGGTGAAACTCTGTCTCTACTTAAAATACAAACAATTAGCTGGGTGTGGTGGCGCGTGCCTGTAGTCCCAGCTACTCGGGAGGCTGAGAATCACTTGAACCCGGGAGGCAGAGATTGCAGTGAGCCAACACTGCACCACTGCACTCCAGCCTGGCGACAGAGTGAGACTCCACCTCAAAAAAAAAAAAAAAGAAAGAAATTAGTACTCATAGTAACTAACACATAAGGATCGCTATGTATTATTACTTCTAAATGTGTTTCTTATTCTTTCTTAGTTTAAGCACATGCCTAAAACAAACTATACACACCCATAAGATTCATATCAATCAAGGTTATTACCATTCAAGCTTGCGTGGCTATCCCTGTGGGTGAGGTGGGAAAGGCCTGACAGCTTCCTCTCCTTATGGAGTCTCTGGAATTTAGCAGCACTGGATTTCTAGATTTTTTACTGAGTTAGGCATTCAACAAACAAGTATCCACTATGACCAACAGAGGAAAGCCACAGAAATGTAAGTCAACCCTCCTGACTTGGAGGTGCTGATAGTCTTTCCAAGGAGACAGAGAAATAATTTCAATACAATGTGTTTTAGTGGAGACTCTACCCAGTGGCCCAGAAAAAGAGAGGACACTTAAACCAGGTGCTGAAGGATGGTGGAGGAAGGGGCAGGAGGCATTCCAAGCAGGGGCAAGCTGGGGACATAGGCAGCCTGAAGAAGTCTAGGCTGGCAACAAAGCAGGGAGGGTCCTGCGTGCCTGGAGGAGGCTGTTCTGGAGGCTCAGCAGGAGAAGCGCCTGCAGAAGGAGGCAGGGGAGATGGGAAGATTGAGAACAGCTTTATATAACATTCTAAGGAATTTGATTGTCACGCACCAGGCAAATGGGAAGCTTTGAGAAGCTTTTAAGGAGGGAAGCATGGAGATAGAGTTAGAGCTGTATTATGAACCCAAGACAATTAAAAATTTTAAAATTAAACTGCAAAGAGGCCGGGTGCAGTGGCTCACTCCTGTAATACCAGCACTTTGGGAGGCTGAGGCGGGAGGATTACCTGAGGTCAGGAGTTCAAGACTAGCCTGGCCAACATAGTGAAACCCCTCTCTACTAAAATACAAAAATTAGCTGGATGTGGTGGTGCACGCCTGTAATCCCAGCTATTGAAGAGGCTGAGGCAGGAAAATTGGTTGAACCTGGAAGGCGGAGGTTGCAGTGAGCCAAGGTGGCACCACTATACTCCAGCCTGGGCAACAGAGCGAGACTCCATCTCAAAATACAAACAGACAGGTCGGGCGCAGTGGCTCACGCCTGTAATCCCAGCACTTTGGGAGGCCGAGGCAGGTAGATCACGAGGTCAGGAGATCGAGACCATCCTGGCTAACATGGTGAAACCCCGTCTCTACTAAAAATACAAAAATTTAGCCGGGCATGGTGGCAGATGCCTGTGGTTCCAGCTACTCGGGAGGCTGAGGCAGGAGAATGGCGTGAACCCAGGAGGCGGAGCTTGCAGTGAGCTGAAATCGCGCCCCTGCACTCAAGGCAGGGCGACAGAGCGAGACTCCATCTCAAACAAACAAACAAACAAACAAATGAACAAACAACAAAAAAAACTGCAATGAAAAAAAGTCAAAAAAAAATTCAAGTTAAAATGAGGTCACACTGGATGGGGTAGGCTCTAAACCCAATCACTGGTCTCCATCTAAGAAGTGACACAGACGCATGGAGTCATAGGCACGTGGGAGAAGTCTATGTGATGAGGAAGCAGAGATTGGAAGGACGCATCTGCAAACCAAGGAGAGCCCGCAATTGCCAGCAACCACCAGAAGCTACAAGAGGCAAGGAAGGGTTCTCCCAGAGCCTTTGGAGGGAGCATGCCCAGGTGACATCTTTTTTTTTGAGACGGGGTCTTGCTCTGGCTCTGTCATCCAGGCTCAGGGCAGTGGCACAATCTTGGCTCGCTGCAGCCTCCTCCTCCCGGGTTCAAGCAATTCTCTTGCATCAGCTTCCCAGATAGCTGGGAATACAGGTGCCCATCACCACGCCTGGCTAATTTTTGTATTTTTAGTAGAGACGGGGTTTTGCCATGTCGGCCAGGTTGGTCTCCAACTCCTCGCCTCAAGTGATCCGCCTGCCTTGGCCTCCCAAAGTGCCGGGATTACAGGTGTGAAACACTGAGGCCGGGTGCAGTGGCTCACTCCTGTAATCCCAGCACTTTTGGAGGCCACAGCCCAGCCCCAGGTGACATCTTAATTTTGGACTGTAGCCTCTAGACTGTGAGAATAAATTTTTATTTTTTTAAGTCCAACCACAAAGAATTGGATCTGATTTTTTAAAAGAAAAGTCTGGCCGAGTCACACTTGTAATCCCAGAGCTTTGGATGGCTGAGGCATGCAGATTCTTTGAGGCCAGGAGTTCAAGATCAGGATGGGCAATACAGTGATACCCTATCTCTACAAAAAAATAAAGAAAATTAGCAAGGAATGATGGCACATGCCTATAAGTCCCAGCTGCTCCAGCCACTTGGGAGGCTGAGGCAGGAAGTAGTTTGATCATGCCACTGAACTCCAACCTGGGCAGCAGAGTACGATCCTGCCTCCAAAAAAATAAAGAAAATAAAAATAAACAAACAAAAGCCTGCAAGGGTTGTGGAGGCTGGATTCACTGGAAAGGATTTAGTCAAGGAGAGCCTTACATAATTCCCACAAAAGATCATAAGTGCCCAAACCGAGAGAGTGCTGTGGGGAAGAAATAGCAGGAGGCGAGGAGGAACAGAGAGAATGAGGAGGGAGAATCCTTGGCACGCAGCGGCAGCCCTTTTAGAATGAGAGATGGGAGATAAGGATTGCACTCTAGATCATAGCTGCACTGCCCATGTGAAGAGAGATGCTGCTGTCTGAGATAAGCAGTGCAGGAGGAGAAACAGGTTTGAGATGAAGGAAAAGGGTGGTGAGTTCAAGTGGGAGTCTACTGAGACTTCTGCAGGAGTTCTAAATGGAGTTCTGGCCCGGCCCATGGAAACAGGGGACAAGAGTTCCTGGGAGCAGATGACTGGCCAAGGCAAGGATTTGGAAGAGTAAAGAGTAGCTGAAGCCCTGGATGATGCAGAGATGTCCTGGTCTAGGCAGAGAACAGAGAGGTGGGTACCAGTCTGCCTGGGATCAGAGTGCTAGCTACCTGCCTGGAAGTCACCTCATGAAAGATTCTAGGGTCACAAGACAGGGACATGAGTTTCTTCGTAATTATCAGGAACCTAAGTTTGCTTGTTTTTTTCTTAGCTTGATGTTTTAGGTTCCTGAATTTCCTAGCATATTGGAGACGATGAATGCCGTTTGGATCTCTTCCACGAAGAAGCTGGAGGTGTCGTGGAGAAGTGGAATGGCTCACGCTTGTAATCCCAGCACTTTGGGAGGCCAAGGCCGGAGGACTGCTTGAGCCCAGGAGTTTATGACAAGCTGGGGCAACAGAGCAAGACCTTATCTCTACAGAAAATTTAAAAATTAACAGGGTGTGGTGGTACATGCCTGTAGCCCTAGCTACTTGGAAGGCTGAGGTGGGAGGGTCACTTCAGTCCAGGAGTTTGAGCCTGCGGTGAGCTGTGATCATGCCATTGAACTCCAGCCTAGACAACAAAGGGAACCCCTGTCTTCAAAAAGGAGAAGAAAAAGAAAAACAAGAGAAAAGAGAATGGCTGGTGTCAACCAAATAATTAAATGGAGTAAGTGTGCTCGCTCATGAATAAAAAGTCACAAATTATCCTAGGCTATCTAATATTCAGGCACAGTCCCTAATAAGTGAAGTTAGAGTTGACCAGCATAAAAGAGCTGGTTGCTTTCTTCAGTATCTTTAAAATACAAACAACAAAAACAAGAAAGACAAGCGCAGGCTCGTGCAAATCTTGTCCCAGCACAAAAGGGCTGCATGCAGGAATCAGAACATTTTGTTGATTTCATAAGGCATCACATTCTCCCTTGGGTATCCTGTAATAATCAAAAGCTTTGGCAGTTGTATGTGTTTTTTATAAACTCTGAGAAAGCAAATTAGGTTGGTTTAGTCAATGCACTTTAATTGCCAGACATCAAATTTTGAAAACCTGAAGTTTCTAGAGATTAAAAAATAAAATAAAATTAAATGTTATCCAGAGAGGGCCGGGCGCAGTGGCTCATGCCTGTAATCCCAGCACTTTGGGAGGCTGAGGCAGGCAGATCACGAGGTCAGGAGATCAAGACCATACTGGCTAACATGGTGAAACCCCGTCTTTACTAAAAATACAAAAAATTAGCCGGGCGTGGTGGCGGGCGCCTGTAGTCCCGGCTACTCGGGAGGCTGAGGCAGGAGAATGGTGTGAACCCGGCAGGCAGAGCTTGCAGTGAGCCGATATCGCGCCACTGCACTCCAGCCTGGGCGATACAGCGAGACTCATCTCAAAAAAAAAAAAATGTTATCCAGAGAGGTGACAAGTTTGGGACCTTACGGCAAGTGCTCAGCCCTTACTCACTGTCCTTGTTAGTGAGTTGGCATCCCCAGCAGCGCCACCAGCATCCTCTGTGGTGAGCCAGAGCCCTGTCAGCTGAAACTTCCAAACACTTCTGTCAAAGAGGTGAGTGGAAAATTGTAAACCTCCCTAGCTAATTCCAAGGGACTCTTCAAGTGATGGTTCCTCTAAGATATCCCCCAGGGTAGGGACTAAGTGTCCTTCCCCTGGGCTCGCTCTGTTTGGCCACATTATTTTGTATTGTCTGAGTCTGCCTTTTGTTTTGTGTTACTTTGTTTTGGTTTGGGTCTAGGTCTGCTCCTAGACAATAGCGTCTTTGAAGGCAAACATCGCCTTCTTCCCTTCTCTGTCCCGAACACTAACATAGTACCTGGCATATTTCCAGGGCTCCAAAATCATATGGACCAGAAGACAATCTGCTTTACAATCAGACGTGCTTCTGAAGACAAGAGGATGAAGAGAAAGCAGTGGGGAAGGAGGGCCACCCCATGATCTGGGGCAGCTGAATAAAGAAACCTCTGGGCCGGGCGCAGTGGCTCATGCCTGTAATCCCAGCACTTTGGGAGGCTGAGGCGGGTGGATCACCTGAGGTCAGGAGTTCAAGACCAGCCTGGCCAACATTGGGAAACCCCGTCTCTACTAAAAATACAAAAGATTAGCTGGGCATGGCGGCGGGCGCCTGTAATCCCAGCTACTTGGGAGGCTGAGGCAGGAGAATTGCTTGAACTCGGGAGGCGGAGGTTGCAGTGAGCCAAGATCGCGCCATTGTATTCCAGCCTGGGCAACAAGAGCGAAACTCTGTCTCAAGGAAAATAAATAAATAAATAAATAAAAATTAAAAACCTCTTTCCTACCTTGAAGGACCATCCCTGCAGCACCCAGCAAACACAGACACATACTACCTTCAGGGCTCTAGGGTGACATGTGGCCTTTGGTGACTTGAAACCTCCATCTAGTTAGAAAACAAAATCCAGCAACCCATAGAGTAAATTTTTTTTTTATTTCAGTAGGTTTTGAGGGAACAGGTGGTGTCGTGGTGATTTCTGAGATTCTGATGCACCCATCACCCAAGCAGTGTACAGTGTGCCCAATCTGTAGTCTTTTATTCCTCACCCCCTTCCCACCCTTTCCCCTGACTCCCAAAGTACATTATATTATTCTTATGACTGCATCCTCATAGCTTAGCTCCCACTTATGAGTGGGAACATATAATGTTTGGTTTTCCATTCCCGAGTTACTTCACTCAGAATAATAGTCTCCAATTCTATCCAGGTTGCTGCGAATGCTATTATTTCGTGTTTTTATTTTTTTATTTTTTTGGCAGAGTAGTATTCCATGATACATATACAGCACATTTTCTTTATCCACTCATTGCCTGATGGCCATTTGGGTTGGTTCCATCATTTTTGCAATTGCAAATTGTGCTACTATAAACATGCGTATGCCACTATCTTTTTCGTATCATGATTTCTTTTCCTCTGAGTAGATACCAGTAGTGGGATTGCTGGATCAAATGGTAGTTCTACTTTTAGTTCTTTAAGGAACCGCCACACTGTTTTCCATAGCGGTTGTACAAGTTTACATTCCCACCAGCAGTGTAAAAGTGTTCCCCTTTCACCACATCCATGTCAACATCTATTATTTTTTGATTTTTTGATTATGGCCATACCATGAGCGTGAATCTTGAGAGCCCAACAAGTTCTTCCTTTATGAGAGATGCAGGAAGTGGAGAAGGAGCTGAACTCTGAGTATCTTTCTTCTCCTTATCTACTTAGACCCTCTTAGACAATTGAACTAAATACCCATTTGTCTCAGAGCTAAGTCTAGTGAGCCCTGGAGGAAATTTAAATCAGGTCAGGTGTGGACAGAAGTATTTGCTGTCTCTTCTCCTTTCTTTTACTTTTTTTATTCTTCCTATTGGCAAAGGGCAAGAGGAAGATTCAACTCCAAATGCTCACAAAGTATGTTTCTCCTTCATTGTAATTAAGGTTTCAGTCACCCATGGCTTTACTAGAACTGTATGTAATTGCATTCCAGGTCTCTTCTTCAAATGACTCTGGCAATCTTCCCGGGGGACTCCGCTGTAGGTATGTCTTGGTAGGTGCAAGAACTGACTTCTCAAACCATTTGCAAGAACTGACTTCTCAAACCATTTATCTACTTACTTACCCAAGCTCTCCTCCTTTAAAAAATAACAAGTAACAGAGTCTTAAGATATTTATTTCACCTAGCGCTAATGGCTGACAAATAGAAATCCAGACTTTGAGGGGGTGATTTCAAAAGGCAACCTTTGATCTCTTTAAACTGTCAGCCTTCAGTCTGTAAGAACAGGAAATGTGCTGTATGTAATTGAATCACCACCCTGTTTTCCATCCTCCATTTCTCTTCCCCGATAAAGGGTCTCTCCTCACATTCCTTTATCTTCACCTAATGCCTCACCTCTGAGAGAAGGAGCTAGGAGCAGTGAAGAGAATTAATTTGGTTGCAACAATCTGGGGGAAAAAAGCATGCAAATGAGGTTCAAAGCAGGAGGTTTTACTTTCAGAATCCAGTTGCTATTCACACTTCCTTGTGCTTTGTAAGTGCTTCTAAATGTCAACCTTCAGGGTGAAGGGAGGCAGCTGCATCTGGATTCAAAAATGTGGTTTCACACTTGGATTCTCCAGTCTGCTCCACAGGGGAATCTGGGATTCCACCAAGCCAGGATGAGACCTCCAGACTTGACAAACCCCTTCAAATGAATCCTGGGCGTGGACGTGCTCACAGTCTACTGTCTGGTCATTTTCAGCATTATCTTTTAGCACGTGGTTGATCGCAGGCATAACACGCTGCTTAGAAATCAGCAGAGGCTCTCTGCCGAGTGTAAGGATGGGAGGGAGATAGGGGAGGACTGCATTTCTTGGTAGAGATACCCAATTCAGTGATTTGTTTTATGACACTCCTCAGATGAAATCCACATCGTGAGAGTAAAGGCTAAGAAGGAACCTTAGCTCTTTGGGGTCACCCCAAGCTCTGACCCCCTACACGGATTGTCATGGCCACACGGCAGCGCTTGAGAGTTTCCATTTCTGTGGAGGCCGAGCTCACAGTTCTGCAGATTGTGCTTTTTGTAAGGTGGAGGGGGAACAGCGTGATACTGCTGTTACCCAGTTAATATTCCACATATGGCTGCACTTTTGATATCTCTAAGCATGGGGAGTTGGGAGTAGCAGGACATGATTAATAGAAAAAATGAAGTGGAATCAGAATTCTTGGATTCTAGTGCTTTTAGGTATTTGAAACTCGGTCTCCATGTCAGGAAATATGAAGGAGAAATGTCACCTAGACTAGACTAAGAGTCAAGTGAGCATAAAAGGGCTTCAGGTCCATCAGTCTCCACAAGGGGCTTAGGAGACACATGACTTTTTGTCCATAAAAATGTGGGCATTGATGGATTTTTTCGTGGGGTGGTGGACGCGAGCTTTGAAAATCTTCCAGGATGAAATCACCTCTAGCCCTCTCTGGATAATAAAGCTCTGACTTGTTCATGGGATAGGGTGGACCCCGAACTGTTTCCTGAGAAATTCCTGGCTTTGACTTCAGGTCCTCCCTGCCTTCCATCACAACATAATAAGGTTTCAAGTCTACAGATCATTCTTCAAATAAGGACACAAAATAACGTCTCTCTAAGCCCTTGAACTGATGCCTTCCAACTCTTACCCAAAAGCTGCGTGAGAGAAAGTTCCCTAGGAAGGACTATTTAAAAATTATTTAGTTCATTCACTTTTCTTAGTACTTTAGGATTTTTCTTTGGATACAGCTGGACATCAGTAAAGTAAACTCCTAGGTACTTAATACTTGGGTTCCAAACAAAACTACAGACTTATATTTTCACCAGGGAAGCTCCAAAAAACAGGGCAGAAAGCATGAAGCATTTGATTTGGACCTGCTTACGTTGTGGAGCTGGGGCCCCTGTACCTCCTACGTCTATTCTAAGAAACCTCACATCCAAGGTCATATGCAGTGGCTCATGCCTCGGCCTTTGGGAGGTCAAAGTGGGTGGATCGCTGGAGCCCAGGAATTTGAGACCAAGCTAGGCAACATAGTGAGACCATGTCTCTAAATAAAATACAAAAAAAAATTAGCCAGGCTTGGTGGTGCACACCTGTGGTCCCAGATACTTGGGAGGTTGAGGTGGCAGAATGGCTTGACCCCGGGAGGTGGAGGTTGCAGTGAGCCAAGATCACACCACTGCTCTCCAACCTGGGTGACAGAGTGAGACCCTGTCTCAAAAAAGAAAAAAAAAAAAAAAAACTTCTCTTCCAAAAAGCCTTTTATTTGTAACGACTTCAGAAAACTTTCTCTCCCCTGAGTTTACTCTCATTACTGATTTTATCTTCCCTACCCTACCACCCTCCCCTCTACCCTGGGATTTTTTTGAGATGGGAGTCTCAGAATCCAAATGGAAATGCAATATAATTCCGTGGCCCCTTGTGTGTCCTGCCTGCTTCTGCCACATTACTTTTCAGACCTTGCTGTCTATCCTGCTTGCCTCCCTCCTGAGTTTTGCATGTGCTTTGGTTTAAATTGTCTCAAGTCCTTTTTGAAAATTAAGTCATCATGCCGGGCGCAGTGGCTCATGCCTGTAATCTCAACACTTTGGCAGGCCGAGGCGGGCGGATCACAAAGTGAGGAGATCGAGACCATCCTGGCTAACATGGTGAAACCCCGTCTCTACTAAAAATAGAAAAATTAGCTGGTCGTGGTGGCGGGCACCTGTGGTCCCAGCTACTCGGGAGGCTGAGGCAGGAGAATGGAATGAACCCAGGATGTGGAGCTTGCAGTGAGCCAAGATCGCACCACTGCACTCCAGCCTGGGCGACAGAGCAAGACTCCGTCTCAAAAAAAAAAAAAAAAGAAAGAAAGAAAATTAAGTCATCACAAGCAAACGTGTTTGTAATGGTCTGTTCTCATGCTGCTAATAAAGACATACCCAAGATTGGGTGATTTATAAAGGAAAGAGGTTTAATTGACTCACAGTTCAGCATAGCTGGGGAGGCCTCAGGAAACTTAACAATCATGGTAGATGGGGAAGCAAACACGTCCTTCTTCACATGACAGCAGCAAGGAGAAATGCAGAGTGAAAGGGGGCCCGGGGGAAGCCCCTTATAAACCATCAGATCTCCTGAGAACTTACTCACTACTAGAAGAACAGCATGGAGGTCCCTCCCATGACACATGGGGATTATGGAAACTGTAACACAATTCAAGAAGATATTTGGGTGGGGACACAGCCAAATCATCTCATTGTTTAAAATATGTTTAACAAAACACCTGTTTAAAATAATAAATTTCACATTATATACATGTTACAAAATCTCTCATGTACTCCATAAATTTGCACAAATAATAACTTTTTTTAATTAAAATAATCAGTTTGAGAGACTGATGATCCAAGTCATAAATTGGCCAATCCATTTTTGTCTTCTTTCCTTCCAACTATCCTTCCTCTAAACAACTTCAGTTCTCAATAACACTGATCAAGTAACAATGTTACAGTTTAAAATAGTAACTCTAAATGACTTACAACTCTCAGCACAGAGTCATGCCAGTTAGAGGGTATTGGATACATGTTTGTGAATGAACAACAGAAAATCTGCAAAGATCAGACACTCGGTTTTGCTCTAGAGCTTGAAAATTCTTTCCACATTAATTACTTGAGTTTCTACCCCATAATTGAAGTTGTTTTGCTTTTCCTTATGAGCTCCCTCTGGTTCGTACATTGTTCATGACTTCCAGTGCCTGTTTCATTCTCCTTGGAGGAAAGGTTGAACAAACTGGAGAGCAAGGGCTGGCAAACATTTTTTTTTTTAAGGGGCACAACGCATATACTTTAGACTTTGTGATCTGTATAGACTCTGCTGCAACTACAGCCGATCCTCATTATTTGTGGATTCTGTATTTCCAAATTCACCTACTCACTAAAATTTATTTGTAGCCTCAACATGAATACTCATGGTGCCTTTGCACTTATTCCTGGAAAAACATATGTCACCTGACACCCACGTTTCCAGCCAATGCTGAACAGAGCAATGTTCTATCTTTTTGTTTCAACTCTCACACTGTAAATAAGTTGCCTGTTCAGGATCTACTTAGTCCCATGTGTTTTGCACTTTTGTGCTTTTGGTTAGTGATTTTGCATTTCAGTGACTCGCAAGTATAGTGCTGAGGTGCTGCCTAAAGTTCCTAAGCACAAGAAGCTGTGAGGTGCGTCAAGGAGAAAACCCATGTGTTGGATGAGCTTCGTTCAGGCCTGAGTTCTAGTGCTGTTTCCGTGAGTTCCATGTTCACAAGCCAGCATTATATATTAAACAGAGTCCCTTTAAACAGAAGCACATATAAAATATAATTACTTATTGATCAGTAGACAAAAATGTGACCGGAGGCCTACAGCAAACTAACCCTATATTTCCCCTAGGAGCAATGGTTCAGTATTCACTAATTCAGTATTAATGGTAACTTTATGTAACATAAATGTTGCCAATAACAAGAATAGATTGTACTCAGTTCCCCAGATGCCGTGCCAAAGCAGCCACAGACAATATGCAAACAATGAGCCTATGTTCCAATAAAATGTTATTTATGGACTCTCAAACTTGAAATTCATATAATTTGTATAAGTAACAAAAGACTGTGCTTCTTTTGAGCTTTCCCCCAACCATTTAAAAATATAAAACTAGTTTAAACCCACTGGCCATACACGAACTTGTGATGGGCTGGATTTGACCCATGGGCTTCTGTTTGTCTGCTCCTGCTGTAAAACCTTGTTTTCAATGAATCTCACTGCTTTGGAGCCAGATCATGGTCAATTTGGGAGGCCCATAATCTTATTCCCCTCTGATATGGTTTGGCTCTGCCTCCCCACCTAAATCTCATCACAAAGTGTAATCCCCATGTGTTGAGTGAGGTGATTGGATCATGAGTGCGGTTTTCCCCATGCTGTTCTCATGACAGTGAGTGAATTCTCATGAGATCTGATGGTTTTATTTTATTTTATTTTATTTTATTTTTTGAGATGGAGTCTTGCTCTGCTGCCCAGGCTGGAGTGCAGTGGTGCAATCTCAGCTCACTGCAACCTCCACCTCCCAGGTTCACGCCACTCTCCTGCCCCAGCCTCCCGAGTAGCTGGGACTACAGGCACCCACCATCACGCCTGGCTAATTTCTTATATCTTTAGTAGAGATGGGGTTTCACCGTGTTAGCCGGGATGGTCTCGATCTGCTGACCTTGTGATCCACTCGCCTCGGCCTCCCAAAGTGCTGGGATTACAGGCGTGAGCCACCGCACCCAGTGATCTGATGGTTTTATAAGGGGCTCTTCCCTTTCTCTCACCTGCCACCATGTGAGATGTGACTGCTTCGCCTTCTGCCATGATTGTAAGTTTCCTGAGGCCTATCTAGTAGTGCGGAACTGTTAGTTAATTAAACCTCTTTCTCTTATAAATTACCCAGTCTTGAGTATTTCTTCATAGCAGTGTGAAAACAGATTAATACACCCTGGAAGTCTCTGCCACCTCAGTGTCATCACTCTGATGGGGCCTAAGAACATTCATGATGTTTGGGTCTGTTTAACAGAAGGAAAGACTACTGAAGTTGGACTCCAGATCGCTGGTTTTGAAAGCCAGGGATCTCATTCTGTCACCCAGGCTGGAGTGCAGTGACACGATCATAGCTCACTACAGCCTCAAACTCCTGGGCTCAAGGGATCAATCCTCCCACCTCAGCTTTCTGAGTAGCTGCGACTACATGCGCACCTAATTTTTTTAAGTTTAAACAAACTGATCACACCTGGCTAATCTGTGTAAACTTTTTTTTTTTTTTTTTTTTTTGGTAGAGACAGGCTCTCCCTATGTTGCCTAGGCTGGTCTTGAATCGGCCACAAGTGATCCTCCCACCTCAGCGTTCCAAAGTGCTGGGATTACAGGTGTGAGGCACCTTGCAGGGCCAGGTATCACTTCTTAAATGTTTGACTTGAGGCAACTTTACTGAGCCTCCTACAGAAGGCAGAGAAAGACACCTGTGAATCTCCCAGGGCCATAATGCAGGTTAAACCACACAGCAAGAGTAGGCTTTGCAGATGGGACTGCTGATTGCGCCTTCGCCAGTCCCACCCCTTTGCAGTTAAGAAATTTGACCCCTGAGGTTCCTTGGAAATCATCCAAGTCATGCGGAAAGCAAGCGGATACCGACAAATCTCATCCTTTTCTACTCTTCTCAACATTTTCAGGGGTCAGGGATACGATGCAATGTCATCAAAAAATGAGCAGGAAGATTTTTCCCTAAAAACTGTAGCCTTCATTTCCATCCGCTCACAACATGCTGTTTAGAGCACCAGGGAGGCGTCCTCAGATTGTCCCCACTCTTGTTTAGGCTCATGTCAGTCAGATAATTCTCAGGCTTGGGCAGAAACCTGCTGGTGAGAAACTTCTCAAGTGTCACTGCTTACAAAAGAGGGAAGAAAACAGAAAAGTCTGTTTATTTTTCTGACCTAAAAGATAACATTGGTTTGCCCTTTCCTTTTGTTTAAGGTTAGATCGGGAGCATTCCTTGAAAGTTGCCCAAGAAGAGATTGTCTCAGCCATTTTTTCCTGGCAATTTGTGTTTTCATTCAAAATGGATTACTTGCGGTAATAACGAGGATTCATATTATAAGAAACAACGCTAATTTCCTCATCTGTAAAATTGAAACAGTGGCTCAGATCCCTGCCTATCCGATCACTTAAAGTGATCTGTAAACTATGTAGGAATTTTTTTTTTTTTTTTTTTTTTTTTTTTTTGAGACGGAGTCTCGCTCTGTCGCCCAGGCTGGAGTGCAGTGGCGTGATCTCGGCTCACTGCAAGCTCCGCCTCCTAGGTTCATGCCATTCTCCTGCCTCAGCCTCCCGAGTAGCTGGGAGTACAGGCGCCTGCCACCATGCCTGGCTAATTTTTTGTGTTTTTTAGTAGAGACGGGGTTTCACCATGTTAGCCAGGATGGTCTCGATCTCCTGACCCAGTGATCCACCTGCCTCAACCTCCCAAAGTGCTGGGATTACAGGCGTGAGCCACCGCGCCTGGCCTATGCCCAGCTAAGATTTTAAATTTTTGCAGAGACGGGGTCTCACTATGTTGCCCAGGCTAGAGTACAGTGGTGCAGTCATAGCTCACTGCAGCCTCGAACTCCTGAGCTCAAGCAATCTGCCTGCCTCCGTCTCCCAAAATACTGGGACTACAGGCATGAGCCACCAAGCCCAGCCTGAGTATTGCCATGTTATTGGATTACAGAAACCATGGGTGACAAAATTAACTCATCACCTCTATCCCAAGGAATTCATGGCACTTTTCAGACATGGTATCATTAATTTTTTTTTGCAGAGTGAAATGCAATATTCATAAAGCCATAGCCTCAGACCTGAGAGCTGGAGGGGACCTCAGAGGGCTCATCCAAATCCTTTGTCTATGATGGGGAACCCGAGGCTCTTAGGAGCCTGTGGGGCGCTGGAGGCGGGGGACTCGCGCTGCCCAGTGGCTGGGCCAATCCAGCCCAGCAGGGGCACATCCCAGGACAGCAAGGGGCATCGTGAGTGGGCAGTCACGTAGCCGCGAGTCTCCACAAGCCAGGCCAGGTCGTTCTGCTCCACCTGAGGACTGCATGACTCCCGAGGTCAGCATTTTATTACCTAGGTGTGACCCAGGTTTCTCATAACCTTAGTTGCAACTTTATAGAAATTGATAGAAAATGGGAATCTGGCACACTTGTATGCGTTACACTTTTCAAAGACAAAGAAATGTCACAGTGAGAGGTAACAGGGTGCCCAGAGAGCATAGTTTCTCTCTTGTTTTGCAGATTAGAAAATAGATTTGGCAGGCCGGGTGCGGTGGCTCACGCCTGTAATCCCAGCACTTTGGGAGGCCGAGGCGGGTGGATCACAATGTCAGGAGATCGAGACCATCCTGGCTAACATGGAGAAACCCTGTCTCTACTAAAAATAGAAAAATTAGCTGGGCGTGGTGGTGGGCGCCTGTAATCCCAGCTACTCAGGAAGCTGAGGCAGGAGAATTGCGTGAACCCGGGAGGCGGAGCTTGCAGTGAGCCGAGATCGCGCCACTGCACTCCAGCCTGGGCGACAGAGCGAGACTGCGTCTCAAAAAAAAAAAAAAAAAAAAAAAAAAAAAAAAAAGAAAGAAAAGAAAAAGAAAGTAGATTTGGCCAAAATCCAATGGTCTAGGAGTCCTCCACGAGCTTCCCTGCCACATGCCCCTCCCTGCCCTCTCCTTTTACCCCTCCACCCAGGTTGCAGGTTCTGTACCCTTGCTTCTGCAGTTCTACATTTTTTGTTTGTTTTGAGACAGCGTCTCACTCTGTTGCCCAGGTTGGAGTGCAGTGGCACGATCATGGCTCACTACAACCTCGAACTCCTGGGCTCAAATGATCCTCCCACCTCAGCCTCACTTCCACTATTTTCATCTTAGTGGGTTTTTTAGGACTTTAAACAACCCATCAAAAGCGTCAGAGTTGGAAAGCTGACGTCACCTGTTCTGCTAACTGAGTGTGTGTTTTTAGTGAATTGCTTTACCTCTTGGGACACAGGGATTGCAACAGGAGCTGATCTCAGGTGTGCTGCCGGGAAGGGTGACTTGCTATCATGTGGAAGGCAGCAGTGTTCTCTCTTGCCGAGCCTTGACAAGGTTTGAGCCCTCCCCAAAGCCCAAGGTTGGTTTCTATACCCACTGCAATTCAATCTTTTCCAGAAAACCTACACACTTTTACAGGTTGTAAAAGGGCCCTGCCCTCCTGCGAGGAGAAAGGAGAAGATTCCACTTGGTTATTATTATTATTATTAATTATTATTATTATTTTGAGACAGGTTCTTGCTCTGTTACCCAGGCTGGAGTTTAGGGTGCAATCATGGTTCACTGCAGCCCTGACCTCCTTGGCATCAAGTGACCCTCCCACTTCAATCTCACTAGCTGGGATTATGGACACCAGCCACGACACCAGACTAATTTTGTTTGTTTATTTTATAGAGACAAGGTCTCTCTATGTTGCCCAGGCTGGTCTCAAACTGCTGGTTTCAAATCATCCCCCCATCTCAGCCTCCCAAAGTGCTGGCCTTGGTCATTCTATAAGGCAGCAGCTTTCATTGCCAGCAGAGATGGTTTTCAAAATTCCAGCCATTGAGCACAGCCTTCCAAGGAAGGACCCATCAGAAGCACAGTGTGTAAGCCAGCTCATGCTGGGCTGCCCTGTCTCAAACAGGGGTGTGCTGGAATGGAGATTAGAGCCCAATTTAATCTTCTTGTGCACCTTGCCATCATCAGGTGGCCTGGCAGTGATGAAGCCCTAGGGGACAGTTTGATTGTGACAGGTTGAAATTTAATGTGAATGTTACAGGTTAAAATTAAGGCTCTTCCAGGAGTTTGAGGCTGCAGTGAGCTATGATCCCACCACTGCATTCCAGCCTGGATGACAGAGACAGAGCCTCTCTCAAAAAAAAAAAAAAAAAAAAGAATGAAAAAAAAAGCTAAAACTCTTTCAGATGCCCCTCAACACTCAACACTATTTACAATCTGGCCACAACCGTTGCCCACCCTCCACCCCAGCCCATGATCCACACACATCAAAATGTGCCCCTGTAGGGTTACTGCCTCTCTCCTGTTCCCAGATTGACCCATCAGGGCTCTGCTCAGATGTCACCTCCTCTGTCATTGCTTCCTCGATGCTTTCTCCAGCGCCTTGTGCATATCTGGAATATAGCATTATTTACTCTGTTGTCTGAGTTCGGTTTCCCCCAGTGGATCATGAATTCCTTCAAAACAGGAACTGGGTCCTACTGTTGGAATGTTTAAGGGATGCTTGAAGAATACTTGAGTGCTGGGGGATGGGGATGGAGTCGAAAGAGGAAGCCTGACCCTCATGGAGCTGACGTCCTGGAGAGGAGGAAGACAGACAGTAAACACGATAAACAAGAAGTGGGGGTAGCTTATTATAGAATGATCAGTGCTGTGGAGAACAAGCAGAGATGGGGACAGCGAGTGTGTGTTGGGTGGGAGGAGAGCATTTCAGTTGCAAAGGGTGGTCAGGGAAGGCCACCCATCATGACCATGGGTATCAGCCTGTAGGTAGCAAGTGGGAGAGCAGTGTGGCTATTTGGGGGCAGGGGCATCGCAAGGTAGATTATAAAAAGTGGTCAGATTCTGGACGTATTTGACCTAGCATTTCCCATCTAGGAATTGATTCTAAGGAAATGGTTGCACAGTTGGCAAAGCTGTAGCTCGCAGCAATGTTAATTACAGCTTCTTCATGATATTAGCTTTGTAGAAAATGTAAATTTACAAAAATTGCAATCTCATTGAATAAGTTATGCAATAATGAAATAGAACATTATGTATCCACTAAAATAATAATGTAGAAATATGTTCATTGATGTGAAAAGGTGTTCACTTGATATTATTAGATGAAGCAAAATGAAAATATAAAATATTTTTAATTTTATTTTTAATTGTAAAATACACATAATATCAAATTTACCATCTTAATCATTTTTTTTTTTTTGGACGGAGGCTTGCTCTGTTGCGCAGGCTGGAGTGCAGTGGCACTACCTCGGCTCACTGCAAGCTCTCCCTCTCGGGTTCACGCCATTCTCCTGCCTCAGCCTCCCGAGTAGCTGGGACTATAGGCAACCGCCACCACGACCGGCTAACTTTTTGTATTTTTTAGTAGGGACGGGTTTTCACTGTGTTAGCCAGGATGGTCTCGATCTCCTGACCTCATGATCCACCTGCCTCGGCCTCCCAAACTGCTGGGATTACAGGCGTGAGCCACTGCACTGGGCCCATCTTAATCATTTTTAAGGGCAAAGTTCAGTAGTGTTAGGTACATTCAGACTGTTGAGCAACAAGTCTCTAGAACTCTTTTCATCTTGCAAAACTAACTCCCCATTTCTTCCTCCCGAATTATCTGGGGAACACTATTCTGCTTTTGTCTCTGTAAGTTACTCTACACTAGCTATCTCATATAAAGAGGATTATGCCATATTTGCCTTTTTGTGACTAGCACATTTTACTTAGCATAATGTCCTCAAGGTTCATTCGTGTTGTATCATGTGTCTGAAGCTCCTTCCTTTTTAAGACTGAATCATATTCCATTGTATGGATATACCACATTGTGTTTATCCATTCATCCATTAATGGACATTCAGGTTGTTTCTTCCTTCTAGCCACTGTGAATAATATTTCTATGAACAGGGGTGTACAAATATCTATTTGAGACTCTTGTTTCAGTTTCTTTGGATATATACCCCAAAGTGGAATTGCTGGATGGTATGTTAATTCTGTTTTTAATATTTTTTTTAAGACGTAGTCTTGCTCTATCACCAGGCTGGAGTGTAGTGGCACAATCGCGGCTCACTGCAACCTCTGTCTTCCTGGATTCAAGCGATTCTCCTGCCTCAGCTGCCCGAGTAACTGGGACTACAGGTGCACGCCATCACGCCAAGCTAATTTTTGTATTTTTAGTAAAGACAGGGTTTCACCATGTTGGCCAGGATGGTCTCGATCTCTTGACCTCATGATCCACCCGCCTCAGCCTCCCAAAGTGCTGGGATTACAGGCGTGAGCCACCATGCACGGCCTATCTTTAATTTTTTGAGTAACCATCAACCTGTTTTCTAGAAAGTCTGCATTGTTTTACATTGCTATCAATAGTGCACAAGGGGCTGGGTGTGGTGGCTCACACCTGTAATCCCAGCACTTTGGGAGGCTGAGGTGGGTGGATCACGAGGTCAGGAGATCGAGACCATCCTGGCTAACATGGTGAAACCCCATCTCTACTAAAACAATACAAAAAATTAGCCGGCTGTGGTGGCAGGTGCCTGTAGTCCCAGCTACACGGGAGGCTGAGGCAGGAGAATGGCTCAAACCCGAGAGGCGGAGCTTGCAGTGAGCCGAGATAGCGCCACTGCACTCCAGCCTTGGGTGACAGAGCAAGACTCTGTCTCAAAAAAAAAAAAAAAAAAAGTGTACAAGGGTTCCTGTTTCTCCCCATCATCACCAACAATTGTTATTTTCCGGTTTTTGATAGTAGCCGTCCTAATGGGTGTGAGGTAGTATCCCATTGTAGGTTTGATTTGCTAGAAATGCATTTTTATTGTAGAAATTATTGGCATTCAGTATACGTGGACTGGCTAAAATATTTTATAGAGACATTCCCGAAGATAAAAATAATATTCAAAGATTCCTTTAAAAGTAAGCAAAGGACACAGAGACATTCCTCCAAAGAAGATATTCAAATAGGTGATAAACACAAGAAAAGACGCTTAACATAACTAATTATTAGGTAATGCAAATCAAAACCACAATGAGATGCAACTTCACACTCATTAGGATGGCCATTCTAAAAAACTAAAAAAAAAAAAAAGAAACAAGTATTAGTGAGGATGTGGAGAAATCAGAACCCTTGTGTACTGCTGATGGTAATGTAAAGTGTTGCAGCCATTGTGGAAAACAGTATGGTGGTTTCTCAAAAAATTAAACATAGAGTTACCATATAATCCAGCAGTTGTACTTCTGGTCATATACTCCAAAGAACTGAAAGCAGAGACTCCAACAGATATTTGTATACTCATATTTATAATGTCTTTATTCTCAGTAACCAAACAACCCAATTGAATTGAATTGAATTGAATTGAATTGAATTGAATTGAATTGAATTGAATTATTCTAAATTTAAAACAACTCAAGTGTCCACTGACAGATGAATGAACAAAAAAAGTGGTATGTACATACAATGATATATTATTGAGGCTTAGAAATGAGTGAAATTCGGACACATGCAGCAACATAGATGAATCTTGAAGGCATTACGTTAAATGAAATATGCAGGATGCAAAATGACAGATATTGTATGATTTTTCTTATATGAGCTACCTAGTAGTCAAATTCATAGAGTCAGAAAGTAGAATGGTCGTTGCCAAAGCTAAGGGAAAGGGAGGATAGAGAGTTACTGTTTAATGATTTCAGAGTTGGTTTGGCTTGGGTTGTTGAAAAAGTTCTGGAGGTAGATTGTGGTGATGGTTGCACAACAATGGAAATGTACTTAATGTCACTGAACTTTATGGTTAAAATGTTACATTATACGTTATGCATATTTTACCACTATTTTAAGAAAATCTGTTTAAAAAAGGAACCTCTTCAACTCATCTGAGGAGACCAGAAGTTGCAGTGTCTCTCATATTCTCAGGACTTAAATTTTGCCCTTTGACTGTCAGAGTTAGAATAATAAAGTCTAATCTCTACATTGTTCAGCTGAAGAAATAGTGTCTCAGAAATATGTCTGTCTTGGGATATCAAATCACATCAATTTCTTGAGCACTTAATTATGTGTGATGGTTAATTTTATGTGTCAACGTGGCCAGGTTATAGCACCCAGTAGTTTGGTCAAACATCAGTCTAGATGTTGCTGTAAAGATATTTTAAAAGATATGATTAACATATAAGCCAGTAGGCTTTGAATAAAACAGATTACCCTTTATAATCTGTGTGGGACTCGTTCAATCATTTGAGGGCTGTAAGAAAAATAACTGAGCTCCCCTAAAGAGGAAGGCATTCTGCCTCCAGGCTGCATTCAGACTCAAGACTGCGATAGCGGCTTCTTCTGGAATTTCCATTCTGCTGGCCTGCCTTGCAGATTTTGGACTTGCCAACCTCCACAATCGCATGAGCAGATTCTTCCGAATAAATCTCTTTCATTAGCTCTCTTTATGTGGGGAGGCTTCACTAATCACCGTAGAAAGGGCCACGTGGGAAGTACAAGTGATTCAGACCTGGCCTTCAGGCCTTTTGACGGGTTCAACGTCCACTTACCAGACTCTAAACCAGAGCAATTGTTTGGTTCACAGCCATGTAATTCATAACATTGCTTGGGAATGAGCGGTTTTCCTGACACATTCGGCTTCTGGTGTGACAATTTCAAAGCACCATAAGCCAAAACCAAAATTAAACCCTTTGAATTTACTATTCTTCCCACTGTGCCACACTGCTCCTCTTAGGAAATAGCCTCACCAAACTTAGGCAGTTTATTGCTGACACGTCCCATCTGTTGTCCTCACAGTGTGAATGCCATGTGTTCGTCAAGTTCACTTGGATTTCTCCCACACACTCACACTCTGTATTCTGGGAATTAAGCTGAGGAAAGTATCCTCTTCCTCACCAGCAACTGCTACAGTCAGCTTCCTTTAGTAAACAATGTCGGTGCAGTGAATGTTCTCAGTAAAGCCCTCTGGATGCGTTCTTTGCCTGTGTAGAGCCAAAGAAAAATAGCTGAAATGTGCAATCTCAGCATTTTTCTGTCTAATATTATCAGTGCTTAGTCTCTTCCATGGAGATCCTGTGTGGATGGCTACGAAACATGATAAATTTTTTGTCTTAAAAAATGAGCTGATATTACATAATGGAAATTATATATTGGTTAGGATTTCAGCTCTTATTCCCTTCTCCATGAGCTCCATTTTAAGAAACCAAACAAAATAAAAAGGAAACATTGAAGGAAAATATTTGAACAATTAAGGTTTGGGACACACACACAACTTTCTTTGAGTTCACTTCATGTTGCCTTTAAACAAGAACAGCTTTTTGATTACATCTTCCTGATTGCAGTCCTCTTTCCCTCTTCCATCATGACCACTAGCTCCTGGTTCAGCCATGGGTGATGGAGCCAGTGGCTTAACAGGGTTCTCTAAGGATAAAAGGAGATGCTCAAACTACGGGGTTGAGAAGACTCGATGAGCCAAAAAGCAAGCTCTGTTTCAAGTAGCTAAGAGGTGAATCACATTTGCAGAAAGCAAAGAGAACTGGAAGTAGGAATTGAAAACCTGGGACACAAAGCTAGAATTTAGGATGAATCAGATAAAGCCACCAGCTAGAATGCACCCTCGTTTTCCTAGCTTTACTTTGTGGTACGTGCGTTTACTGTAGAGTAGAGGGCTTTTTGAAGAATGAACAAAGGAAAACTATTCTGCTTTCCTTATCTTCTCTGTAATTTCCTGCTAGTGCCCCCACCCTTAGCTACCACCCGCCACCATACTAATTCAATCAGCAGACTGGCAAGGCTGATTCCTCATGCATTATTTAGAGCGCATGCTGGTGGTGTTAGAACTAGGTTAGGCAGCTGTGAAAACCTAGAGGCTCTCTTGCGATTCTGATTTGCATTTTTCTGATTCAACTGTGTTGTTCCCTTGTGATATTCCCCAGAGTCCAAAGTGAAGGCTTGAGATGATTCCTGTAATTTCTTTTTTAAGGTGAAAAATGTTCCTGTGATAGAGATGCAGGACCAACTGTTAAAGTTTATGAGAGAATCTGTTTTTAGGAGACAAAATGTATCCAAGATACATGTAAAAGTTGAAGAGCGAAGACAAAACAACAATGATGAAGGTGTGGAAGACAGGACAAAAAGATATTGAAGCTGGGAAAAATATGATGAAGCCCTTCAGGCTTTTATTCCCAAGATACTTGTGATGAGATCCCACAGCTGCTATGCGGGGATTATAAATTTGGCTTTAAACACTTTAGAAGCCAGGCTAAAATGGGACCATATAATAAATTATGTGACTGGGGGAGGGGTGGTTAGAAGAGAAGTACTATTGCTCTTGAAATAGAGATTAGAGAAAAATCCATTCTCCCACCACCCTTATCACCCACTCACAACTCTCTCTGGGGACAACATGAAGACCACAGAGGCTGACTGTAGCGGCTTTTGCCTATAATCTCAGGACTTTGGGAGGCTGATGCAGGAGGATTGCTTGAGTCCCAACCTGGACACCAGAGCCAAATTATCCAGGGGTGGTGGTACATGCCTGTAGTCCCAGCTATTTGGGAGGCTGAGGCAGGAGGATCACTTGAGCCCAGGAGGTTGAGATGTAGTGAGCTGTGGTCATGCCACTGCACTCCAACCTGGGTCACAGAGTGAGCCCGTCTCTAAAAATAAAAATTAAAACAAACAAACAAACAAACAAATAACACTACTGTGCAGTAGTCTTTCTAAGCAAATTTTCTAATGTTCTTGCAACATAAGCATCAACCTTCTCCAAAGGCTGGGACTGTAGGGATACGAGACGAAACAATGGGCTTGCCTTCAAGAATTTTCTGATTTAATGAGAAGGGGGAGTATGTCATTAACTAATTGATGGAGGGGATTGAATGGATGCCTTTGGGTGCGCATTTCTGTAGCAGGGAGATTTTTCCACGTTTGAAGTAGGGTGCACATGATCTGTCTACAGTGCAGTTCTGCACAGAGACCTGCAGCCACTCCAGGACATGTCTTCTGGAAAACACGAAGTGGCTAAGAGAGAAATGACCTGTGAAAGGGATCAAATGTGCCTCTGTTGGGGTTACAATAATTCATACTTATGAGAAAAGGGTGAAATCCATGAAACCAGATCGTGGCTCCTCAGTGAAGCATGGAGAAGAGCATTAACTCCCAGAGAAAAGATCACAGGGAAAGGCGGAGTGAAAGGCTCATAGCCCATGTCCCAGGACTGGAGAGAGCAGCTGCATCACAGAAAAACACCAGAAGCTTGCCCGGGAGATGCCGCCCTACTGCAGAAGACACATTCCTTCAGCATGAACAACAGCAGCATCTTGCTGGGATAAAGGAGAGAGGAAAACAAGGAAGGAATTAATTCCAGGGAAACTTTCTCGAGTGAGTAGCATCATATTTATTTCCTCAATGGCAAAGTGCTTTTCAAATTAGCCACCACACCTGGCTAATTTTTCTTTTTTTTTTTTTTGAGATGGAGTCTCTCTGTCGCCCAGGCTGGAGTGCAGTGGCGCAATCTCGGCTCACTGCAAGCTCCGCCTCCCGGATTCACGCCATTCTCCTGCCTCAGCCTCCCGAGTAGCTAGGATTACAGGCGCCCGCCACCACACCCAGCTAATTTTTTGTATTTTTAGTAGAGATGGGGTTTCACCTTGTTAGCCAGGATGGTCTGGATCTCCTGACCTCGTGATCCGCCCTCCTCGGCCTCCCAAACTGCTGGGATTACAGGTGTGAGCCACCACGCCTGGCCCACACCTGGCTAATTTTTATTTATTTTATTTTATTTTTTGATATGAAGTCTCGCTCTGTCACCCAGGCTGGAGTACAGTGGCGCAGTCTCACCTCACTGCAACCTCCACCTCCTAGATTCAAGCAATTCTCCTGCATCAGCCTCCTGAGTAGCTGAGACTACAGGTATGTGCCACCAGGCTTGGCTAATTTTTATTTTTATTTTTATTTATTTTTTTTAGAGACAGGGTTTCATTCACCATGTTGACCAAGCTGGTCCTGACTCCTGACCTCAAGTGATCTGCCCACCTCGGCCTCCCAAAGTGCTGGGATTACAGGCGTGAGCCACTGCGCCTGGCCTTATCTGGCTAATTTAAAAAATGTTTTTAATAGAGATGGGGTCTCACTATGTTTCCCAGGCTGGTCTCAAACTCCTGGCCTTAAGCGGTCTTCCTGTCTTGGTCTCCCAAAGTGCTGGGATTACAGGCATGAGCCACCATGCCCAGCCTATTTTTTACTGTCTTATGTCTGGTTTTGCCCTAGATACCCAGGTTAGGTGAATACTGGTACAGATGAAAAATATTGGTATGTCCTAGAAGCAGCTCTGGAATGCCCCAAAGCAGGAATAATAGCCAGCTCCTGAGTGTCAGTGAAGTTGGGTATTTCCATCAGGATAATGGAAACTTCACATTACAAACAACCCAGTTCCATCCTTGCCCCCTTCTGCCACCATCCTCAGGCAGAACAAGTAGCAGCTAGGAGCATCAGCATCCCACGTTGGCCCCCAGCAGGACAGAGTGGCTTCTTGTCCTGGACTCAGCTTTTCTTAAGTGATTTCCTCCCAGTAACTTGCTCTTCCCCCTGGGAGACTGGCCAGGCTTCATTCTACCCAGAGCCCTTTCTTTTTTCTTTTCTTTTCTTTTTTTTTGAGATGGAATCTCTCACACTGTCTCCCAGGCTGGAGTGCAGTGACACTATCTCGGCTCAGTGCAACATCTGCCTCTTGGGTTCAAGCGATTCTTCTGCCTCAGCCTCCTGAGTAGCTGGGATTGCAGGCACCTACCACCACGCCTGGCTAATTTTTGTATTTTTAGTAGAGACAGGATTTCACCATGTTGGCCAGGCTGGCCTCAAACTCCTGACCTCAAGTGATTCGCCCGCCTCAGCCTCCCAAAGTGCTGGGATTACAGGTATGAGCCACTGCCCCTGGCCAGGAGCACCCCTTTCAAATACAAGCAACCTTGCTTTTTGTCCTCTTCCTCTTCCCCAGCTTTCCAGGGCTATTGCAATTCTATGGTAGACAGATTCTCACTGGAATCTTCAGTCATCCCACTTATGATGTACTGTTATGCACGGCCGGATACACAAACGTGACACCTATTGGGTTGGGGCCGCCTGGCTACTGGCTCATCCCGTCATGCTCAGTGGCATCGGTTTGTTTGTATGGTTATCACAGCACTTAACATTGTTGGAAGTTACCAATTACCTTGTATGTTAATTCACTTACAAGTTTACTGTCTATTTTCTCCCTCTAGAATAGAAAGTCCACAAGACCAGTGACCGTGCTTATCTCGTTGACTTCTGTATTTTCAATGCTTTGAACAGTCTTTGGCACATATTAGGTACTCAATAAATTTTTTTGTTTTTGTGAATAGAGGATATAGTACATTCTATTTTATTTTTTGTTCATTTATTTATTTTTGAGACAAGATCTCAGTCTGTCACCTAGACTGGAATGCAGTGGCGCATTCATGGCTCACTGCAGCCTCCATCTCCCGGACTCAGGTGATCCTCCCATCTCACCCACCAGAGTAGCTGGGATTACAGTCTCACACTACCATGCCCGGTTAATTCTCATTTTTGTTTCTATTTTGTAGAGACAGGGCTTGCTATGTTTCCCAGGCTGGTCTCTAACTCCTGAGCTCATGCAATCCTCCCACCTCTGCCTTCCAAAGTGCTCGGATTATAGGCGTGAGCCACCACACCCTGCCAGGATATAGTAAATTTTAAATCAGAGAACTTAAAGAAATACAACCCTACTGAATGCTGCAGTAGGGGAACTTAGAGTGGACAGAGGCCACCAGGAGCTGCAGAGCTGATGAAACAGACGTGCAAAGGTATAAAAAGGAGCTGAGAGCAGTGGTTCTCAAAGTGTGCCTCGGACGACTGTGGGGTGGTATCCCTGAGGCCATTCCAGGGAGTTTGTAAGGTCAAAACTACTTTTATAATAATATTAGGATACTATTTGCCTTTTTCACTATCTTTACATTTCCACTGATGGCACAAAAGCAAAGACTGTACTTTCAGGGGTCATTTCTGTAGTTCATTAATATAGTTTTCTGAGCATGTAGAGCACCAAAAAAATAAAAACATATATATTTTACAAAGCAAAAAGGGGTAAAACTGCTGTCATTTTAGCGTGGCACCAAATTATTACCACATACTTATAGTAAAATGAATGGCAGTTTCACTTACGAATGTCCTTGATACACCAGTACTAATTAATTTCATTAAGCCTTGACCTTTATGTTCATACCCATTTAATATTGTGTGTGACCACACGGGAAAGGCACAAAAGCAGTTCTGCTGAACAGTGAAGTTTGTATATTAGTTTTCTTGAGAAAAAAAACACTTGGTAATTGAACTGTGAGTTAACCTAAACTTTTTTTTTTTTTCATGGAACACTGCTTTTACTTTAAATTAAGTAAGACAAACTATGGTTATTTTAGACTTAAATATTTCATAAATGCTTCCTCAAAAATGAATAAAGTGAGATTGTCACCTCAAGTAAAATAACAGAGTATTTGGTGCCAAAGGTAAAATTTGAACTAAGAGAAAATAAGAACTATAGAAAACTTAGGTCTATCCCAGTGAGCTTGACAGCTTCCTTATAGAGACTGTTCTGATGAGATTGGTGGTAATATTGTTAAAAATATTTTAATGTTGTATAATAAAATATACTGAAATTGGAAGATCTGTATAACTCAGTGAACCAATATCTTCCAAATGTTACAAAATCATGCAGATATAAAATGTATTCAAAGTGCAAAATAAGTCAATGTATTTCCTATAACAGAGGAAAAACTCCATTGTTAAGGTTGCAGAAAACTCCATTGTTAAGGTTGCAGATTCCATCCTGAAATTAACTTCTAAGAAACTAGTACTTACTGAACTTAGGTACAGTATCACACCGTAAGCACCAATACCTGAAAAAGCTATTAAAATATTTCTCCCATACACAGAGGTTGATTTGTCTTCACAAACTTCCACTAAAACAAGTTATTACAACAGGCTGAGTGTAGAAGCAGAGTGGATATGAGAATCCAGCTGTTTTCTATTAAGCTAAACATTAAAGAGATCTGTAAACTGTAAATGACATCACTCTCCTCACTACATTTTTGTTTTGTTTTGGAAAATACATTTTTCATAAACTGTGTTATTTATATTAACATGTAATACATTACTTTTACTTTTATATGAATAAATAATTTAAGACTTTCTCAGTATTGTTATTTTATTTATTTTATTTTGAGGTGGAGTCTCACTGTCACCCAGGCTAGAGTGTGGTGGCATGATGTCAGCTCACTGCAACCTCACCTCCCAGGTTTAAGCGATTCTCCTGCCTCAGCCTCCCAACTAGGTGGGATTACAAACGTGTACCACCATGCCCAGCTAATTTTTTTAGTTTTAGTAGAGATAGAGTTTCTCCATGTTGGCCAGGCTGGTCTCGAACTCCTGACCTCAAGTGATCTGCCCACCTCGGCTTCCCATAGTGCTGGGGTTACAGGCGTGAGCTACCACGCCCAACCCTGAGTATTATTTGTGAATATAGTAAATATCAATAACCCAGACTTAAAAAGCCATTTGGAATCCTCAATTTTTAAGAAAGTAGGTGGGTTCTGAGACCAAAATATTTGAGAACCTCAGATGTAGATTAGGTCTAAGAGAACTCACCAGTGGCTCCACTGTAAATGAGGCATTTTCTTCTCACTTTTCTCTTTGAGGCCCAAGTCCGCCCAAATTAAACAAAATAGAACAATTAAATGGGGCCGGGCGCGGCGGCTCATGCCTGTAATCCCAACACTTTGGGAGACCGAGACAGATGGATTGTTCGACTCCAGGGGTTCAAGATCAGCCTGGGCAACATGGTGAAACCTCATCTCTACAAAAAATACAAAAATTAGCCATGTGTGGTGGCGTGCCTGTAGTCCCAGCTACTTGGGAGGCTGAGGTGGGAGGACCACCTGAGCCCAGGGAGACTGAGGCTCCTGTGAGCCATGATTCTGCCACTGCATTCCAGCCAGGGTGACAGAAGGAGACCCTGTCTCAGGAAAAAAAAATCTATCTATCTATCTATCTATCTATCTATCTATCTATCTATCTATCTATATCTGAAAGAAATGGCTGATATTTACTGGTGTGTCTTCGTGCCATAGAACATTGACTCTCTTTTTTTTTTCATATGTAGAAAAGAGGCTTTATTAAGAAAAAAATATGGAACGCTTCATGAATTTGCATGTCATTCTTGCACAGGGGCCATGCTGATCTTCTCTGTATCGTTCCAATTTTAGTGTATGTGCTGCTGAAGCGAGCACAGAACTTGACTCTCATTTTCACCTCAGAACTATTCTGGAAGGCAATAGTAATCAATCTCATTTTTATAGAAGAAGGAAGAGGCTCAGAACAGTTAAGTTGCCCAAGTTTACAGAGCTAGTAAGTGGATAATAGCCCCATAGGTTTTCTCAGCACTTCCCATGAGATCAGGATGCATCTGATGATTATTAGAAATAATTAGGTCCAGAATACTTTCACCTAAAGTATAAGCACAATTGAGGTAAAATATGGCTTTGATTTGTTTGAATATCCCCATAACTGCCTTGGTACGGCTACTTGCCTGGGCCAGTGAAGACAATGGCATTACAGAGGTCCCCAAATTTCCTGCAGAATTCTATAAACCAGCTGGGCCTCTCTTTAAACTTCGTGGTATAAGTCCTCCTCCAAAGGAAAAGGATGGTTGGATTTATTTTTTTTTTCTTTTCCGTCTGTTTTTGTTCTGGCATTCTTTTGTGAGTATGGAACTGATTACTAAATACGGTCAAACAGCTTGAGTCGGGCTTCCTGTGTGAATGTGAACAGTGCTGATTTCCAGCCTTGCATTTGATATGTTATCTGTGGCGGCTGTGCCCGACGTTGAAGTTTCAGATGGTTTCCTTCAATTTCCTGTATTGTTATAATGGTGGCTGTGTGTGTACATGTGCACGTGTGGACAGAGAAAGCAGTGGAGACAGAAGAGAGGATGTTTCTCTGTGTTTACTTGGATTTTGTGAAAGGTTTTTAGTTAGATATTGAGAGGGCCACATGTTTCAGTGGAAAGAGCCCTGTTTAGCAAAAATGAAGGTCCTCTCTTGTCTGCCACTAATTGCCTGCGTGGTTTTTGGCAAATATTTAGGCCTTGGGCCCAATTCTGCTTCCTTATAAGGCCGCTTTCAGCTCTGAAATTTTGTAACTCTGGTTTCTACTCAAAGCTTCACTTTCCAACTCCCCACACTTGGCTGTTCTAAAACGTTTGTTTTTCCTCCTGGTTTTACTTTCCAGGCCTTTTTTGTTCTCCTCCACTTTCCATTACTATCCCATAGCCTTTTGGATTTAAGTTCTTATAGAAAAGTTCTTCCTTTCTCAGCTCTTATTTTTCAGCTTCCGTTGTCTCTGAAAAAAATATTACGAATGGTCGACTTTATCTTGGAAAGAAGATCCAGAATGTGTTGGCTTCCTGTTTTGTTGGTGAGATGTCTAGAGCTTGGAGATTGGAGTGTGGGTCAGGATTCCCTACTAAGCCTTATATGAGATAGCTCAGAGCTGCTGGGCTGGCAATCACTTCTCTATCTCTGCTCTATTTTTATTAAACACAATTAACTTTAAATATGCAGGATAGGCTACGCGCGGTGGCTCACGCATGCAATCCCAGCACTTTGGGAGGCCAAGGCGGGCGGATCACAAGGTCAGGAGTTCGAGACTAGCCTGACCAAAGTAAAACCCCGTCTCTACTAAAAATACAAAATTTAGCCGCGTGTGGTGGCACGCTCCTGTAATCCCAGCCACTCAGGAGGCTGAGGCAGGAGAATCGATTGAACCTGGAGGCAGAGGTTGCAGTGAGTTGAGATCCTGCCAGTGCACTCCAGCCTGGGTGACGGAGTGAGACTCCGTCTCTCTCTCTCTCTCTCTCTCTCTCTCTCTCTCTATATATATATATATATATATATTTATATATATATACAATAAAATATAAATGTATATATGCAGGATAATGGCATATCTAATTCATCTGCTTTTATGGCCCAGTATGAACGTTTAAATGGAACCGGGAAATGAAACTTCTCGTTTTTCATCAGCTTCTAGTCCCACGCTGATGGCGCCCCCAGAGCCTCCACAAGTGGGTCTAGTGCCATCTGGTGGTAGGATGCGCTGATGCTTTGCTGCCTGATGGACAGACAACACCGTGCTTAATGAAGAAAACCTGTTGAGTGAAATACACGCAGAAACTTAAACAACGGACTGGTGACATTTGCAGCAGATGACTTAGTAGTCCCAAAATTCAAATTTGTTATTAAACATGCAAATCTGTGAAAGTTACAGAGTCTTTGGGACCATGCAAAGCTAAGATTGATAGGTGTGTGCACTTTAGGCATGAGGCATGTTCAGTTTGTAACTCTGTAGTGAGATGTTTGTGTTCTTAGTATGGAATCCAGATGTTGTCTGCTGGTAATTTATGCTCCTGTGCAAAACATGGGCAAATTGATTAATTTTTATCAATCTCACTTCATCTTGTTCTCATCTGTAAAAGATCATGTCTAAGGACCCTTAAAACGCTTTAAAAACTTTCAAAGAACCTCAAACATTGCAGTATTCTGATTTCCTCTAGTGACTGTATGTGCTTTATGTCCATGCTTTCTTCCACCCTCCAAGAGTTTAATGTTAACAGGAGGTGTGGAAGAAATAGTAAAAATTGTCATTTATTGGATGCTGCTATGTGTTTTGTATTCTCTTAGGTAGTTTAACATTTTTAAAATTCTGGTTTACAAAACTCTGCAAGATAAGTATCACTGAGCTCATTTTACAGATAAGGGGTGTAAAGCTTATCGCACTCTGCTTTCCATGTTTACAAACGAAAAGATAAACGAGAAACAAGGAAGAAATGTGCTAATTGTCTTTATAATTCAACACAACACCACTTACAGTGCATTTACAGCTCAGTGCAATTTGCCACTTTCCAACAATACAAAATGTCAAGTATCTAAGCCACATCATTGTTCTGTCTTCACACACTGATAAAGCAGCTGCCATACTGCAATTGTAGGAACAGTTTTAAAAATGCATTTTCCAGGGAGCCAGGGGGAAACAAATATTTGCCGAGACCAGAGCTGGTGTTTCACAGATCTCTTTTCTGTGAGCTGAGGAATGAGGAGAGGTGGAGTGACAGGCCGTCGAGTGTAATTACCATGTCCCAGATGCTGATGCAAGGATGGCGAGTGGCAGAGGACTATTGGCAGGTGTCTCGGGCATGGCACCACAGCAGCACTCTGTTTCTGTTGACCGGTTTGTTTGGGTCTTCCTTTTAAAAGTTGGGCATCCTTTCCCAAAGAGTGCTCCGTAAGGTGTTCATACATTTTATATGGAAAATAAAGATTTTGAGTGAAATATTATGAGAAACAAGGGGCTGATTACTGTTAAATGGGTTTCTTTGCTCTAGTATAGGACTTCTTGAAACCTTTCAGGTTTCAATGTGTACTTTTAACATAATTTATAGATTAAATGTATTTTATTATATAAATTAAATACAGGTGATATGGTTTGGCTGTGTCCCCACCTAAATTTCATCTTAAATTGTAGTTCTCATAATCCCCATGTGAATCGGGAGGGACCCGGTGGGAAGTAGTTGAACCATGGGGGTGGTTAACCCCATGCTATTCTCATGATAGTGAGTTCTCATGAGATCTGGTGGTTTTATAAGGGGCTTTCCTGTTCTCTCAGCTTTCATTCTTCTCCTTGCTGCTGCCACGTGAAGAAGGATGTGTTTGCTTCCCCTTCCATCATAATTGTAAGTTTCCTGAGGCCTCCCCAGCCATGCAGAACTGTGAGTCAATTAAACCTTTTTCCTTTATAAATTACCCAGTCTCAGGTATGTCTTTATTAGTAGTGTGGGAATGGACTAATACAACAGGTCAAGGTTAAATAATTCAAATAACCCCAATAGCTGGAGATAAGGCAGAAAATGTAACCCTTCTCCCAGAGCTAGGAATCCTTAGACCTAACTATTTTAGCAGACTTGTGTGTGTGTAAATTTCCAAAAAATATCCTAGTAGCATCACCTCGCTTATGTGGCATAGTGCATTAAACCTGATGAATGTTGAAATAATGCACTGTAGATGTCAAACAGCAAGCCTGGTCCACACTTACATAGGGCAATAACGAAGTCAGTAACAGATTCTCTTTTGAGGAGGGCTTGTGCTCTCTAGGTGGTACACCCCTCCTGCCATCCCACCCTTAGGTCACCCACCTGGCTTCTGGAGGCATTGGGGTTTGTTTCCAATGGTTGAAATAAATGATCAAACCCACACTGACTTGATATCCAGACAGGCTTTACTATATCATAGATATTAGTCATCAAAATTTTAGGGCATAAATTATATGTTTCAGAAGTCTACTGAGAATTCCTAGGCTGCTAAACGCTTGAGAAAATCCTAGACCCGGATGCATTGCATCTTACCATTTTTTGGTTTTGTTTTTTGTTTTTTGAGACAGAGTCTCACTCTGTTGCCCAGGCTGGAGTGCAGTGGCATTATCTCAGCTCACCGCAACCTCTGCCTCCCGGGCTCACACAACCCTCCTGCCCCAGCCTCCCGAGTAGCGCCCGCCACCACGCCTGGCTAATTTTGTCTTTTTAGTAGAGATGGGGTGTCACCATCTTAGCCAGGCTTATCTTGAACTCCTGACCTCGTGATCCACCCGCCTCGGCTTCCCAAAGTGCTGGGATTACAGGCATGAGCCACCGCGCCCAGCCACATCTTACCATTTTAATAGCAACATCTTTACTTTGTGCCTGGAACTTTACCTGCAGAAACTTGATGAATCCTCCCAGCAGCCCTATAAAGGTAGGGGCATGTAACATCTTTGATGTATAGAAGATGAACTGAGTCAGACAGTAGTTAAGCAACTTTCATCCCTACACAACTTCCGGAATCTCTTAGTGACTCCTACTGTTTCCCCTAGTTAGCCTTTGATTCTCTCCGTGAGATCTGCTGTCAGAAATTCAGCTGATCCTGATGCAGCCTTACTGACCTATGGAATTTCCCTTCCTTCTCCAATGCTCACCTCCCATTAGAACCCGTGGGTCATTGCTCTGAGCATGACACACTGGGGCAAGTGTCTGTGTCAAACTTTGTAAGACATTTCTATATTAAGATATAAAGAGAAAGAAGCAAAAAGCAAACTTTTATATACACTCTGACTTCAGTTATGGGAAATGCATGGAGAAGAAGGCTGGAAGGAAAGGCGGTGATGACATTACATTAGAGTTGTAGGGCAATGGATTTTTTTTCTATTTTCTTAGTTTTATGAAATATGGTATACCAGGTATTAAATGAGAAAGGTTTACCCTTTTACTAATTTAAATATTTCTTTCCAAAAACTGAAATACATCTATCAACTCAGATGGTTACCATGCAATATCACAAAACATGCAATAGTCTTTTTTTTTTTTTTTTTTTTTTGAGATGGAGTCTTGCACTGTCGCCCAGGCTGGAGTGCAGTGGCGGGATCTTGGCTGACTGCAAGCTCCGCCTCCTGGGTTCACACCATTCTCCTGCCTCAGCCTCCCAAGTAGCTGGGACTACAGGTGCGTGCCACCATGATTGGCTAATTTTTTGTGTTTTTAGTAGAGATGGGGTTTCACCGTGTTAGCCAGGATGGTCTCGATCTCCTGACCTCATGATCTGCCCTTCTCTGCCTCCCAAAATGCTGGGATTATAGGCATGAGCCACCGCGCCCAGCCTATATGCAATATTCTTTAAAATAGTTACCATTTATCAATTGCTTAATAATTGCTAGGTATCTTACATATGTAATCTTGAACCCCTATAAGAACTGACCAAAGCAGCTATTATTATTATTATTTTTAAGACAGAGTCTCACTCTGTCGCCCAGGCTGGAGTGCAGTGGCACAATCTCAGCTCATGGCAACTTCTGCCTCCTGGGTTCAAGTGATTCTTATGCCTCAGCCTCCTGAGTAGCTGGGACTACAGGTGCACGCCATCACGGCTGGCAAATTTTTGTATTTTTAGTAGAGATGGGGTTTCACCATATTGGCCAGGCTGGTCTAGAACTCCTGACCTTGTGATCTGCCCACCTCGGCCTCCCAAAGTGCCGGGATTCAGGCGTGAGCCACTGCGCCTGGCCCAAAGCAGCTATTACTATACACTTTTTGAAGCTGAGGCAACCAAGGCCTAGAGAAGGGCAGTGATTTTTTCCAAGAACACGTTGCTGGATTTACATGGCCAGGCTCATCTTACTTCAAAGTGATCATCATCAACTAATCATTCATCTGGTAGAAACTTATTATTTCCATTTTCAGGGTACCCAGAAATTTTGTTACTGTATCAAGATCACAGGAAAAGTGTTTGAGACATCACCAGAATCTACAGCTTCTGTTGGTGCTCCTGGGTTCAGCTTCTAGCTTTACGAGTATGCTAGCTTGTCTCCAAGATGGTGCCCGTGAGCCCTAAATTCCTGGATTGACGCTCTTGCCTAGTCCTCTATTGTATCATATCAGGGTTGTTCTGAGTAACCAATAGAACACAGCAGAGGTGAAGCCATGTGACAAAGTTAGGTCATAAATTACATCATGGCTTCCATGTTGCTGGCTTCCTCTTGGATCACTTCCTCTGGAGGAAACCAACTGTGTGTTGTGAGAAGATTTAAGCAATCCAGGGAGAGGTCCACATGGTAAGGATCAGAGACCACCAGCCAACAACCATGCTGGTGAGGGATTTTTAGAAGCAGATCCTCCAGCCCCAATCAGGCCTTCAGATGACTGCATCCCACATTGACTCCAACACTGTGAAATAACACTGAGTCAGACACACTCAGCAAAACCACCAAACTCCTGACCCACAGAAACTGAGATAAATGTTGTTTTAAACCACAGAGTTTTCGGGGTAGTTAGTTACACGGTGATAGATAATTGATAGACATTGCAGATAACTTGTCTTTTTAGTCCGCAAGACTTCAGACAGAGAGGAACTCTACTTGAAGATGGATTCTTAAAGAACTACACCCGGTCAGGCAAGGTGGCTTATGCCTATAATCCCAACACTTTAATAGGCCGAGGCAGGATGACTGCTTGAGCCCAAAAGTTTGAGAACAACCTGGGAAACATGGTGAAACCCCATCACCACAAAAAAAAATTTTTTAAATTAGCCAGTCATTGTGGTGTGTGTCTGTAGTCCCAGCTACTTGGGAGGCTGAAGCAGGAGGATTGCTTGAGTCCAGGGGTCAAGGCTACAAGTAAGCTGAGATTGCACCACTGCACTCCAGCCTGGGCTACAGAGTGAGACACTGTCTCAACTCAAAAAAAAAAAAAAAAAAAAAACTGCAGAACTACACCTGAGAAGACTTCTCTGTATTGGGATCTGATTTAAATAATTACATCCTGGACTTCAAACCTGGACATCTTGTACAAGTTTGAGACTTTTGGGAGGAGTTGAGAGGAATGAGAGTATTTCACATGTAGGAGAAATAGAAATAATTTGTGGCCAGGTGGTGGACTGTGATGATTTAAAATACGTCCACAGATTATTTAACATTCCTTTCAAAAGATGGTACCTAATTCCCCTCCACCTCAATTTGGGCTGGTCTTAGTGACTCGTTTGTAGTGATAGAATGTAGAAGTGATTGTGTGTGATGTCAGAGAGTAGGACATAAAAGTGATGGTGTCTGCCGGCTTACTCTTTCTCTTGGGTGATCTGCTCTGGGGAGAGTTGTGAGTAGGCCTCCAGCCCACAGCCATGTGAGTGACCCTTTTGAAGAGTGGATCTTCCAGGCCCAGTCAAGCCTTCAGATGACTGCAGCCCCAGCCAACATCTTGGGAGACCCCGAGTCAGAAACCCCCGCTAAGTCACTTCCAGATCCCTAAGTCTCAGAAACTGAAGAAAAAAAAAATGTATGTGGTTTTAAGCCCTAAGTTTGGGGGGTAATTTGTTATGTTGCAATAGATAATATGTCTGATATGGTTTAACTGTGGCCCCACCCAAATCTCACCTTGAATGGTAGCTCCCATAATTCCTTCATGTTGTGGGAGGGGCCCAGTGGGAGATAATTCAATCATAGGGTGGTTTCCCCCATACTGTTCTCATGGTAGTGGATAAGTCTCACAAGATCTGATGGTTTTATAAAGAGAAACCCCTTTCACTTTGTTCTCATTCTCTTCTCTTGTCTGCTGCCATGTGAGACGTGCCTTTCACCTACCGTCATGATTGTGAGGCCTCCCCAGGCATGTAGAACTGTGAGTCCATTAAACCTCTTTTTTTTTTTTGTAAATGGTCATGTCTTGGGTATGCCTCTATCAGCAGCATGAAAATGGACTAATACAATGTCATTGCTGAAAATTTACCTCATTATATTTTCACATTTGGATGAGAAAAAAGATTTTGGATAAATCCAAGCAAATTCTTTTCATCCTAAGGTAACAGAAACAGAGTAATTTGCCTCTATTCTTGCTGCTATTTTGTCCAATATAAGCCCAGAAATGCCTTTTGTCTTTATTGTCTAATTTGTTATTGTAGAAATTTACTTATTCAGTCACTATATTTAGTTTAGAGAACTGTGCTATAAACAGAACGTTGAAAATTTTTTTAAATACATATTTTCTGAATAGCTACTTTATCATGTACACTGGGCATCCAGAGGCTATAAAGATGAATGAGGTGCAGTTCTTATCTTCATGGAATTTAATCGTTTCATGGACTATTAAATAATTAAAAAACAATAATATATATTAAAGTATCAAACGACATATATCCATATATTCTAAATTGTCTATTACCCTTTTACTCCTGTCTTTTCAACTTAGCCCTTGCAAGTGAATTCTTTGCTAAATTTTAAGTACATTTTATTTAAAAAAAATCTTTTAGAGATGGAGTCTCACTATGTTACCCAGACTGGTCTTGAACTCTTCGCTTCAAGCAATCCTCCAGCCTCAGCCTTTCAAAGTCCTGGGATTACAAGTATGAGCCACCGCACCCAGCCACTTCACTTATTTAAAGTTGAATATACTACCAGGTTTGGTGGTGTATGCCTATAGTCCCACCTACTCCAGCTACTCAGAAGGCTTTGGTGGGAGAATCCCTTGAGCCTAGGAGTTCTGGGCTGCATTACAGCCTGGGAGACAGAGCAAGACCCCATCTCTTAAAAAAAAAAAAAAAAAAATATATATATATATATATATATATATAATATATATTATACAAACACAAAAGCTCACATATCAAAGTCTGTACTCCTGAATTCACACAGTGACACAATGATGTATCCACACAGTGACCCCCACCCCGTATCCACAATTAGATTTGGGAGCAGAACATTACCCAGCCCATATCCTGAGGAGCTGGTATTCTGCCTTCCATCGCCATACAAAAATTTTGCCAGTTTTTGAAATTTGTGAATGGAATGATATATGTGATTTTTGGTTTGGCTTCTTTCACTTAAGTTATGCTTGTGACATGTACGTTTGCTGTTCAGAGTAGCAGTAAATTCCCATAGCTGTATTATATTAAGTTATATGAATACACTTATATAAATACACTTGTCCATTCTACTATTGATGGATAATTCGACAATTTCCAGGTTTGGGCTATAATGAAAAGTACTGCTAGGAATATACATGTACATATCTTTTGGTAACATAGAACTCTTTTTATGTGGTCTACACTGGCAGTGGAATTGCTGGGTCTTGGCGTACTGTCTTACTTTGGACTTTTAGCTCAGCTCTGTCTCCCTCTCTCTGTCCTTGCTGTCAGGCTTTGCGATATCTCCTATTAGTGGAGTTTCAAGTTTTTCCACATCTTGTTCCACATCTGCAACAACATTTGATATTATAACACTTTTTTTTATTTGAGATATTCTTGAGTGTTTTATTATCTATTTTTTACCTAGGTTTTCTCCTGTGCTTGATAAGTCTGTAGGAATTACAGAGAGAGAGACTGTGTAAAATATAAACTGCTTCTGAGTCTGAAATAGGATGCATTAGAAAATGTAACAACTTGTTTGACAGACGCTTGTTCTCCCCAAACAACCAGATTTGTCCGAATTCCTACCTGGTTATTAGTTACCAGTTGTTTGTTAGTTGACTAGTTAGTATCAACTCAGCATCAGTCGGTCCTGTATGGAGGTATATGTATATATACAAGATATATATTTAAATATATAAAAGGATATATAGTTAAACGTGCTGATGGCCGGGTGTGATGGCTTACACCTGTAATCCCAGCACTTTGGGAGGCCAAGTTGGGAGCATCGCTTGAAGCCAGGACTTTGAGACCAGCCTAGGTGACCTTGTGAGAACTCCTCTCTACAAACAAACAAAATAGCTGGGTGCAGTGGCACACACATGTAGTCCCAACTACTCAGGAGGCTGAGGCAGGAGGATCGCTTGAGCCCAGGAGATCGATGTTACAGTGAGCTATGATTTCATCATTGCATGCCAGCCTGGGCAACACAGCAAGACCCTGTCTCTGAAAATAATAATAATAATAATAATAATATATTGTCCTGGGCAGATGAGGACTTTGATTCAGCTTCCGGCTTTTATTCTCCAGAAGAGGGCAGCCTCGTTCCACGTTTTGTCTGTAGGCCTCCCTGCAGACACCTCCCCGCTCCTGTGTTTGTTAAAGGGCATGCTTTATTTGTTAAGCACATGACAGCCTCCTGGGCAGCCAGGTGGGAACTTGGGAGGTATTTTTTCTCTTTGTTCTTTCTGGCTCTCTAACCAGATTCTAGTTAATTCCACCTGAGGTCTGGACGTGTCCTAGTTTCATTTCTAGACCTGCTGTCCTAGCTCCGTACTGTGTCTCCCAACCTCCTGCTGCAGACTCCTCAACTCTCAGACCCTGCCCTCCCCTCCCTCACCTTCTCTCTTTTCCGGAGGAATTTTTCCAACGCATGGGCTCAAAAACGTTCAAAGGCTCGCTAGCCTTTGAAGAAATAAATACGTGTGATTAGGTTGAAGTCTAAATCCCCCGGTGGCATTCTTGGCCCCTAAGAATCAAACTGCAATCCGCTTCTCCACTTTCCTCTACTTGTACTGCCCTCAGAAAACCCACTTTTCCGTGGAGTGAGCAGAACTAGGGTTTGAACAACTCTAGGTCTAAGTCCAAATGCAAAGCTCAGTGTCTTTACTTTCCATCCATAGGACTGTGGCAAGGAACTTATCTCTATGAACCCTGGTTTTCCTATCAGCAGATGGGGCTCGGTGGTACCTACCCCTCATGGTTGGTGTAATAAATAAACGATGCTACGAATATGAGAGTTCCTGGCATAAAGTGACTACATGATAAATGGTGCTGTCATTGTCATCATCATCATCAATTTACTTAATTTATTCTGAGCTTCGCTTCTTCTCATTGTCCAAATTCCCTGCCCTCCTGCCCTACTGAGATTTCATCTTGTGAGGTCCAGCCTTGTGTCACCTCCTTTACGATAACCGTCTTCCTTTCCCAGGGTCCCAGCGTTCACTGCTACTTCTGAGCACCCTCTTTCAGAGCCAGGTAAAAATTCATTCACACAAGTTTACCGGGCACCCTGAACAGCGCCAGCACTATGCCGGGTACTGTGGGTACTTCAGTGAAAGAGAAAGAGGCAGACAAATCCCTGCCATGGTGACAGGTATACTCTGATAGAGAAATATGCTTAAATAAATAAATAAATAAATAAATAAATAAATATGCATGATGAATTTCAAAAGGAAATTCACATAACTCTGGGACCACAGAGCAGGAAAATAAATTAGTGTCTCTTCTGTATTAGGGGCAGGGGCCACAAAGGCTTACCTCGGAAAGGCACATCGAAGCTGAGATGGAAGCATGATTAAGTCAGGCCAACTGAGGAGTGGAATAATATTCTAGAAAGAGAGTCAGGCCAACTGAGGAGTGGGATAATATTCTAGAAAGAGAGAACTGTGCCCATCTTATCTGTCCTGCCAATTTTAAATTCTCCAAGATCAGACACTGAATTTTTTTCCCATAAAATCTCCAACAGCACCTGGAAAGTCCCTTGCCTGTAGGAATTGTTCAGAAATTGTTGAACAAAAAATGCAAAGAAATGGCAGTTTTTAAAATTGAAGTCTTTAAAACGATAGGGAAGCAAGCTCTTTCTCTTCTGTGTTTTCTGTTCCTTTCTCAGGCTGGTTACATAGTTTGAGTCCCAAGATGATATGTTAGTGAAAAACTTTAGTTCTTCACAGATCGCCTCCTTTGAGGGCCAAGAGCTCACAAGATGGCCTGGGTGAGGGTTACTTCAGGACAGCTTCTTACCCCCTGAAGCAGGAGAGTTCTTCCTGTGTGAGGTGTGCAGGTGACTTTATCCATCACACTGAAGTTCCCTTCTTAGCCAAACAAAGGAGTATAGGGTTGAGTTAGACCCCCTAACAATCAACTTCTCCTGGAGTCATCCTATTTCATGGAACTTTGGGGTCCAACTACATTTCTTTTAACGAGAAACTTTTAGTTGCCTCTGGGGTGGGGACAGTGATCTCCCAAGCAGCAAGAACCAGGTCTGTGGAAGTGACCCCCCATGCAGTTTGAAGGTGGCAGCTCCACTCACTCCATGCCAAGCATTGAACACAGGAATCTTCGCCAAGCTTCCCAGACAGGCAGGCCAGTGCTCAGGCTCGGCGCCACATCTGGGGCTATTCCAAGTCAGGTTTCTTCCACTCCTGGGCAGTGTCTGGGGGGCTCAAGTTCACTGCTGCAAACAGTTGCTGGCTAGTGGGGCTGTTCCCACCCTCCCCTCAATGCAGCATCCTCCCTGGGCAAACACTTTGAGGGCTCTGGCCTCTCAAAGATGGATGGCGTTCACTTCAAAGTGGCTGTGAGTTCTCTTCTGGAGCAAAACAGCTCTAACAGAGGCCTGCCTTCCCTGATTTTTCAGGGGTGGGGTGTTGGGAAGCAAGGGATATCTCTATCTCAGCTTACCATGCCCTTCATTTTCAGTCATTATGAGCTGTTTCTTTGCAAGAGAAAGAAAAACTTGTAGCTGATGGTCAGATATCGTTCAGTGGTGGTTTCCGTTTTTACACTTGGACGATTAATCCTGAGGACCAAGCCCACATGATTAGTTTTCATCAGTATTCAAACAAAAATCCAGCAAATAAATAAAAACATATTCTTCACACCTGAGGTCTCAGAGAAAGCTGAGAGAGGGGACTTGGACCTAAGGGCCTGAGAGGAAAGGTTGTCTCATAAGAGGAGCCTTACGATGCAAGAAGTCAATGAAGCCGAGACATGACCCTCCATTGCCACCTGATCCCAGGAGCTGAGAGCCATCAGCCAGGGCCGGGACTCTTCCTCCCTACAATGCTGAAAACAGGCATGGAGTCGGTGGTGGGTGGGAGAGCTCTTCTGTTGCTCATTTAGTGTAGGTCCTTTAAAATGGCAAATGATTGTTTGTTTCTGGAGGTCAGGGATGGGGTGACATGGAGGATAAAAATACTGTGGTCCCTCAATATCCGTGGGGGGTTGGTTCCAGGACGCCCTCGGATACCAAATCCATGGATGCTCAAGTCCCTGAAATGAAAATGATGCATAGCATTTGCATATTACTGACAGACATCCTCCCTTATACATTATATCATTTTCAGGTTCCTTATAATACATCACACAGTGTAAATGGTTGTTGTACTCTATTGTTTAAGGAATAATGACAAGAGAAAATGTCTGTACGTGTTAGCCCAGACATAATCTCCTTTTTTCAAATATTGCTTGAATCTACAGAGGTGGATCCCAGGTGGTGGAGGGATGACTGTGGTAGGTGGAAAAGTGACCGGAGCTGGAATGGCCTTAGTCAACTGTCTCTCTTAACAAAAAATTGGTACACACATAAGGGAAAAATTGTGGATGATGCAGAATGGTTTTTTAATTGCTAAATTGTAAAGGTGTAAAAGGAGTAGTGCTGTAAAACACCCTAAATGCAAAGGGCGTATGGTGAAGGAGGAGAAGATCAACATGGAGCTGTGGGATCGGGGCATTTCTTTGACGATGGGACCTGAGTGGGCTGCAGTGTGACAAAGATCTGGATGGATGCATAGGACAGCTACCTGGAGGAATGCAAACACAGGTGTGTGTGGAGGAATGCAGAAAGAAGCATATGGATCTGGTTCTTGGCTTTGCAAGTCACTCCTTCTCGGAGTCAGTGGCTCCCAAGGTTTCTGGTATCCCAAGCATCTGCTGCTTTTCCTTGCACACACGTGCACTTGCACGGGGATTATCTTCTGTGCCCTGCATCCGGGATGGGGTGGGGAGTGAAGTGTTCTGACGTTGACACTTTCCTTCTGATTTCACCCATTGAGAAAACTGTAAAACCCACTATACATCTGTTAAGTATATCATTTTAAAGCTAAATTTATGCTTAGATATTTCAAAAATAGAAAAGGAGCATGAAGATGGAAGAAGGGATGGCTTCTAAAGACAATAATTAGCAATGTTTTTAAACTGGGAGGTTTCTGGCAGAGTACGAAGCACAGGACTGAGGTCTCACTGATTCTTGTCAAAAGGTCAGCACAGAGTGTATTTTATTTGTCATCATTTTTGTCTTTCAAGCAGCCACCTGAGGGCCAATCTGATGCTCGGGGAGATGGAGTATCTTCTTCCATCACAGGTGAGGAGCCGTCAAGCTGCCCCATGCCAGGGCACCATCTGCTGCAAGATTGCATCCCCTCTGAGTGGCATGAGAGCCACAGCAGGGTGGGCACAAATCCTCCCTTGCTTCACACCCCCATGCTGGTAATGAGCTGACAAGCTGCAGATGGAGCAGGTCAGGAAAGAGAACAAACTTCCCTACCTCCCAAGCAACATACAAAAATGACATCATTTCTAGATTAGGACCACATTTGCACACATCCACTTTTGGATAATCTAATACATCTTTATTAATCTCAAAATATGTCTTTTTGGTCAATAACATTCTTTTAATAACCATTAAAGATAATCTATTATTAAAAGGTTAATTTTGCTTCCCTTAGATAAATATAACAGAATTCAAATACGAACTTGCCCCGTTCTGTTGAAGTGTAGTGAGAGCTGACTATGTGAACTGAATAATGCTTGTCCTGTACAGAATGGTGAAGAAAAGCAAACTTTTGTTCACCTGGGAACACTTTTTAAAAATACACTGATACTTAACTTAAATAATTGAATACATATCATAAACACACAAATTACACCATTTAAAATATACTTACTACAAAAAGATCCTGAACATTATTGATTAATGCAAATAAAACTACTTCGCATTATTATAAAAGTCAAAATATTTTACATCACTTTGTGCTTTTAAAACTATTGCTAGCTTCCCCTGGGAAAAGTCAAAATAACTGTACATTGTAGAAAAAAGTTTTTGCACTTTTGACCCAAATACACGTATCAACACGAGAAGAGGCACTATAACATCTAATAATTGTTCTAAATTTCCCTGAAACAAACAAACAAACAAACAAAAGCTATTTATTCAATGAAATACATTTCTATGGTAATTGCTAATTTGATGTATTCACGCGTGCACAAAAGAACTACTTTTTCTTGGTCACTAATGACAGCAAACACTAGATGTCTAGGAATATATATATATGTGTGTTATATATATATTTACAGACATACATATTTAAGAGAGCATATAAAGAAAATAGGACAGTTTGCACATACATATTCAAAGCCTCTCAGATACTCACTTAGGTCCACATTAGTGAGCCTTAATGTATTGCCAGCGTTTTGTGTAAATAACCAGAGAAGTAAAACAAACTTTAGTAGTGGAGTCCCTCCTTGTACATTAATAGAAAATCTAGTTAGAAGTGGTATGATTAGCTCGTAAGAGGTCAGGAGTTCAAGACCAGCCTGGCCAACATGGTGAAAGTTTGTCTTTACTTAAAAAAAAATACAAAAATTAGCCAGGAGTGGTGGCATGTTCCTGTAATCCCAGCTATTCAGGAGGCTGAGGCACGAGAATTGCTTAAACCTGGGAGGCAGAGGTTGCAATGAGCTGAGACTGCACTACTGCCCTCCAGCCTGGGTGACAGAGTGAGACACTGTCTCAAAAAAAAAAAAAAAAAAAGAAAAGAAAAGAGAAAAGTGCTTATCACTTAGCCAAATTCTTGCTAAGGGAATGTAAATATAATTGTACCTTCTTCAGGGAATTCAACATCAAGGTACACTGGCTTAACTGCAGTGACTCACTCGTTTTTCAATGTGGAGGTAATATTCATAGAAAAATCAATATTCCATGTGGAGAAAATGTATTTTTCCTGTGGATGTATTAATGATTAATTGGGTTGGAGTAAACTTTACTTTCTGCAGCTCTAGTATTTATTTGTCAAATGAAGATCCAATTTGACAAACAGCTCTTACAAATGGTCCATCAGATTGGTAAGATAGATTATTCTATAGCTCCAATCCCTCCCAAATAAAGTCATTGATTATCTGTGTATAATCAACTGGGGAAGACCCGCACCACAAGAGGACAGAGTATGTGATGTAACTGAAATGATTCACACCCCTGTTAATGTGTCATAGACCGTAGGATCCCTGGGGAATTAAAAATAGAACAATTCAGCTAGAATCTTCTCTTTGATCAACTCTCTTCAGTTTCTGATTGTGCTCTCATGCTGAGCTCTTTCATTTGCAATACAATTTCAATCCTTGTTTGGTGAGAGATCTTTTTAAATGTTTGCACCTCAGTGTTGTAGATAACTGAGGTTGCAGATATGGAGTTTATACTATCAAAACAATCATTAAATAATCAAAATAATCATAATTTTGAGTTAAGATTGGAACAAGAGGAGTTAAGCATTACGGTTGGTGGAGGGTCTGTTAATGCTTCTTGATTCCCTCCCACTTCCGTGGTTTTCCCATCTGCTGGACGGGTGTATAATAACGCTTACCTCATATGCCTCTTGATAGAATGAAGCCTGTATCGTGCATTTTTCTTTGGAGAAAGATTACAATTATGGCATTTGAAATCCAAGTATATATCTAGGGAATGTGGGAATTACTTGTCATTATGTAATTTCTTATGAAAGCTTTGTCTAAAATAGCAGATTGCAGAACAGAAAAAATCGGGTGCAACTGCAGGAAATGAGACTGAAAAATAATTCAGAGTTACTTTATGAAGGGCCTGAATGCCATCCAAAGGAGTCTGCATTTATTCTGTAAGACATATTATTTTCTGAAATATATCCCACAGAACACGTGCGCTATAGGATGTTAATACGTCTAGGGTAAGCTAGATTAAGTCCAAGCTTTAGGGTACTCCTTAAATATGCTAATATGCATCATGATTCTCTAAGGGAGGGTTGTTTGTTGTTTTCCTCAAACTAAACAATATAACTTGGTAATAGGCACACAGGGAATACGAAGAATGTTTCAGCTTGGCACCTGTGGGTCAGTTAATTCTAATATTCTGGGTACCTTCAAGATGCCAGATAGTCATTACCTTGTATCATATGTATCCAGCACACAGCAGACTGTGTATCCAGCACACAGCAGGGCTTAGTAAACAAATGGAGTGAATGAAATATCTGAATAGTCCTCAGTTGCCTTACTTATAAAATGGGAAAACAATAATATAATTGTTGAAAGGTTGAAGAGTTGGAGAAAAGTGGTCCCAGAATATTTTGCAACCAAGAACTATTTTTTAATTCAAATCAAATCGAAACAGATTTACAAATGAAAAAAAGATAAAAGGGAAAATATGTAAGAGACTACTATTGAATTATTGTCTAGCTGTGTAATCTTTGCTTAAACTTTTCCAAAGCTCATTTGGAAAGGGGATAATCACACTTACCTTGAAAGGCTCTAATACTCCGCCAAGCACATGAGCTGGGCCCAGGGGTGGGAGTATATGGTGTTGTGGTTAAGAGCAGAGACTAGGAGCCAGACCTGGGTTTGAATCCCAGCTCTGCCTCTAACTAAATGTGTGATACCTACTATGTGTGTAACCTTAAGCAATTTAATTTCTTTCTGCCTCAGTTTTCCTCATCTGCAAAATGGGAACAATAAGTATAGTTATCTTGGAGGGCTGTGGTGAGGACTGCATATAAATTAATGAACGTTGCTTTTTTTAAAAACAAAAATCCTTTATTACTCTTTTTTAACAAACAGCCCCTGGGACAGGGGACCAGGAGAAGGGGAAGGAGGGGAAGTGAGGCCCCAGCCGCACAACCCCTCCCCCCCACCCCTTTCCCCCTTATATATTTATAATCTATATACAAGCCCCGGGGGTAGAGGGCAAGAGGAACTCCCTCAGCGGGGTCACAACAGGTCCCAGTGTGTGATGTTCCCCTTACTGTGTCCATGTGTTCTCATTGTTCAATTCCCACCTATGAGTGAGAACATGCGGTGTTTGGTTTTTTGTCCTTGCGATAGTTGAATGTTGCATATTTAGAAAAGTTCACAGCTATTCTCATTTCAGATTTTCTATGTAATAGGAAAGAGATGCTGAGGCCTGCCCTAATTTGTTTTTCTTAGACTGCAGCTGCTTGTCTGGTGGTTGGTTCCCATTTCCTCCTTCCTCCAAAACTGGGGGCTCACAGCTCATATTTAACCTGTGCCCTCCCCCACCAAGTTCAAGTACTGAGTTAGAACTTCTGTTCTCCTCCAAACTCGTATATATGTATTAATTTAATTTAAAATCCACCAGTGCTTTTTTTTTGGCCATTAATAATCAGGGGCATTCATGTTCCTAGCTGGTTTATATTTGGATGGTTTTTTCTCTGGATTACTCCAAATTTTTGCCTATTGAATTGATGGTCACTTAAAAGACAGAGGAATTACTGGCATGTAGAATTTGGAAGGAAATAGAAAGGCAAACGAGAAATAAGAATTAGCACTATTCTGCACGGAGATCTATGATGAGAAAAGAGAACGAAACCAAACTCCAAGACGTTTGTGTAGCTAGTTTGTTAGTTACTTTGATATGCTGGTGTCATATCATCACTATACTGGCAATTGGAAAAAATTTAAATAGGTGCTTGAATGATTCTCACTATAACATTATTTTGATTCCATCCTTTGTCCATGTTAATGCGCTTTCCCCCAAATCCTTTGAAGATTCTGTGGAATTCCTCAAATAGACAGTGAGGCATCAGGAAGCCAGCAAAGTTTTGTTTTGTTGGAGATGGAGTTTCACTCTTGTTGCCCAGGTTGGAGTGCAATGGCACAATCTCGGCTCACTGCAACCTCCGCCTCCCAGGTTCAAGCGATTCTCCTGCCTCAGCCTCCCAAGTAGCTGGGATTACAGGCATGCGCCACCAACCTGGCTAATTTTTTGTATTTAATAAAGACGGGGTTTCACCATGTTGGTCAGGCTGGTCTCAAACTCCTGACCTCAGCTGATCCACCCACCTCAGCTTCCTGAAGTGCTGGGAGTACAGGTGTGAGTCATCGTACCCAGCTGCCAACCAAGTTTTTAAGACTCCTCCAATAAACCCCCAAACTCTCCCTTCTATTTCAGATAGTGGGACTCTGTGCTGATGCCAGTAAGTAAAGAAGAAGGAATAAGAAAGACACTGTGTGATCTAGTATTAATAAGGAAGTAAGTGATCAGATTACTCCAGCTAGGTCAGTAGAATCTATCATCAAGCAAGTTGAGGCCGACAGCATTCACAAATCAACTGTCTACGTTTATACTCACTGATGACCTGTGTTTCCTTTCGAGGACAAGCAAGCTTTTTAAATGATCAAGACGTTTACATTAGTTTTGCTCTTCAATGGCTTTTTAAAAAAAATCCAAAGGCGGAAGTTAAATTTAAAAGAGCTTTCCATGTGACTACCCCAAAGAGAGATTATCAATCACCAAATTAAATATTTGTATACAAAATAATATCTGGATGCATAGATTCTTATGTTCATTAGATGAAGAGTAAAAGACTTATTAGTCAGCATGCTTTATTTACACCCCTGTCAAACGTACATGAAAATATTTCTCTCCAAAGAACCGTTCTAGAGAACCCTTTCATACAAAGTGGTGTGTGCACATCTAAGAGGTTGCTCAGACAGTTTAGCTCAAAGGCTAAAGAGTCTGGTAAACTGAGTTCCACCAAGTCTTGACTTTTAACTGGTAGGCTAGCAGCAGAAAGAGAGGACTTCAAGCACAGATTTCTAGCAGCAAGGCCAGGATTAAAAACCCATGTGACAATAGGCTTCAGAGAGAGGAACAATCCATTCATAATTCAAAGGCCGTCAAGCCCGAGTTGTAAGACCATTTTGACTCTGAGAATCTTTTCTTTTTACCAAGGAAATCCCTTGCAGTCATGGTTTAGTGTCCTGAATTAAGAAATAAAAGGAACAGGCCGGGCGCGGTGGCTCACGCCTGTAATCCCAGCACTGTGGGGGGCCGAGGCGGGTGGATCACGACGTCAGGAGATCGAGACCATCCTGGCTAACACGGTGAAACCCCGTCTCTCCTAAAAATACAAAAAAACAGCCGGGCGTCGTGGTGGGTGCCAGTAGTCCCAGCTACTTGGGAGGCTGAGGCAGGAGGATGGCGTGAACCCGGGAGGCGGAGCTTACAGTGAGCCGAGATCGCGCCAGTGCACTCCAGCCTGGGCGACAGAGCGAGACTCTGTCTCAAAAAAAAAAAAAAAAAAAAGAAATAGAAGAAACCAAATTAATTTTTAATTTATACTCCACTTATATATGTTTTCAATCATCCACTACTGCAGGATGTACACTGAACAGTACAACTCATATGCATCATTTTCACCAGACAACCTCATCTACCAAAATGGTGATAACACAATCTTATTTTGAAGCCAAAAGAGAGTTATAAACATCAATCGTTTTCAGATACGCTTTAAAAATATTTCTTTAAGTTTGTTCAAAAGTAACATCATTATTTTAAGTTATAGCACAATCATTAAAGGAAAAAAGAACCCAAGAACAAATGAAATTCGTTATTATTTTAGTCACTTTTAGTGGAAAAAATAAAACAAGATTTGGATTTTCATCCAGCATAAAGTAAAAAGACTCTTGTCAGATGTCAATTTTCTCATTAATGAACTACTTGAGACTGTACTCCTGGGTCAACTTATTTCTGCTTCTCCTGTCTCTAGACCTGTCTTAATTATATTTGTGTCTCAGGATCCATGACATAGATTTAAAGAGACCCATGGGCAAATCTAAACAGTGACCACACAGTGTCCAGTCTATTCGTTTCTCTACAAAGTGACAGAAATTCAACCTGTAATCAGTAGAAGTTGATTCTACCTAAATTCCTAATATAACTAATAAAATGTAGTCACCTTCAATAAAATAAATGCCCAGATACTATTTTAAAGGATACAGCAAATCCAAGTCATACCTCTACCAAGGCTAACTATGCTGTACCTTAATTTGTTTGTTCTCAGAGCTAAAATCAGTGCTTCACTTAGATTCTCCTTTCCTAAAGAGTCCGTCAACTCAGAAGAAATGCCTAGTTCTTGATGCAGACTCATCATTAGTCAATCTTGGTCTTGGATATTCATCCTTCTAATAAGCATGATTGATAACAATCTTGCTAATAAGCAATAGTAATATCAATCTTGAATATTCATGCTTCTAATAAGATTGGAAGAATACCACTTGGGTACTTGCATATAACTCCTACTACCTACATACTCCACTCCTTACAAGCTAACAACGCCTTTATTATTATTATTATTATTATTTTGAGACAGAGTCTTGCTATGTTGCCCAGGCTGCAGTGCAGTGATGCAATCATAGTTCACTGCAGCCTTGAATTCCTGGGCTCACGTGATCCTCCTGCCTCAGTCTCTTGAGTAGCTTGGATGACAGGCATGCACCACCACATCTTGCTAATTTTTATAGAGATGGGGTCTTGCTATGTTGCCCAGGCTATTCTTGAACTCCTGGGTTCAAGTGATCCTTCTGCCTTGGCCTCCCAAAGTGCTGGGATTACAGGCATGAGCCACCATGCTCAGCCTAACAGTGCCTTTAAAAACCTCCTGGGCTACATTGAAAACCTTATTATCACATGTCAACTTATTTTGAAGCAAGTTTGCTTATAATTTAGTAAAGTCCTTGTAAAACTTCTTGTTTCTCTCCACTGTCACTCAGTTTTCTGAAAACTTTAAGTAGAAGCAAGGCCTTGGCAACAAGATAACTCATCACATGGTTCAAAGTATATCTGTGCAATGGATCAAATTTACCTATTATCTTGCACACTGCTCTCAGTTATAACCTGAGAACCAGAAATTATCCCCTCACTTTATAAAAATACCGTTTTAAAAGATTATTTAACAGCATAATCTTTTTAAATCAATGTGTAATACTGAAAAACACTATACATGTATTTTATCTCTCTGGGGTTAAAAAAAAGTCTGAGGTGTACTGAAGGGTACTTTCTGTTGCTTCTTCAGATCTTGTATATTAACATTTAAGCACAAATACCCTTTGTCAAGTGCTTTCAATGCCAGAATCTGTGCTTATTCAAAAATGAAAACAAAACAACCAAATAATTAATAGTCTCTGCAGACCAAAGCGTAAATGGATTAACAAATAACACTGAATGCAAATTCAGGTAACCATATCAAACCAAGAGGAAAGAATGTGGTTCATCTTTTGGAGGAGTTGTCTAAAAGGATCCAATCAATCACAACCTCTCTTTTTCTCTGCAATGATACACCAGTTACCATGATCATTCCCAGAACTCAGGATACGGAGCTCTGACACATTCTCCTTGAGCAGACTGCAGAGCTCCCCTTCTCGAAACACATGGTAGTAGCGCATAAAGGCTGTGGAGTCCAAAACATCAGTCTGTGGATCTTCGACAGACATTGTATCATCTGGGTTGAAATCTGTGGAATCAACTGCAGAAATCCTTCTCAATATTTTACTAGCAGAAGGATTATCATCTTCTATGTTGCCTGCATCCACACAATTCACACCAGTATTAGTGCTATCCAGAAAATTTCCCCCTCCATTTCTCCTCATTTCCCCTTGATGGTCTCCATTTAAATGTTTCAGAGTGCCTGGTGCTCTCAGCCACTCCAAGTGTTTTCCAGAAGAAGATTCCACAAACACTTCCTCATCTAAACTTTGCCCTTTTGTTGAAAATGGCTCTTGGTGATCAAAGTCTAAACTAGAGTGTCTGGAAGGCTGGACTGTTACAGTGCTACTGGCCCAAACTTCTGTGTTTTTCAAGGGTCTTACTCTTTCAATTTGCTTCCTCAGAGTCGATTCATCCAAAGATCTGGAGAAAAACCAGGAACGAAACGATTTTCCTAATGTGCTGTAAAATCCATATTCTTCCTCGCCTTCCTTAGAAATATTTGCAAAACAGGTTCTTGCCATAGCAGGTTCATAGCCCACGCTGTGGGACCGTTTTGAACCACACTGCTCTTTAAAACAAACAGAACAGCTACACTCAGAGCAAGGAGGATGGTAGGGATGGCCTCTTTCTGGGTATCCACACTGCCTCTTCCTCCCAGACTGGCTGGACTCTGAGAAGAGCTGGGAACACAGAGCCCTGTTCCATGGAACAAGCACGTCTTGCTTCTCAAAGTGACGGTTCTTTTGTTCCATTGCCCAAACGTAAATCATCAGTTGGCCTCCGGGAACTAAGACCCTGGCCATTTCTTTTATTGCTCTGATTCTTCTTTGTTTTGTAGAAAAATGATGTATGACTGAAAAAGACAAAACTAGATCTCAGTGTGTATGCACACACATAAACCCACACACGTATACACTGGTGTTTACCATATAACAAGGATGAAATTTTGACATCTAATGAAACCTTCTTATTTCCTCCATGGCAACGATGATGACAGAAATAACACAGGACTGATTTTAGGAGAAACATAAATTTTAGCTTTGGCTCCTGTACTTTTAATATTAGATGGCTGATCTTGGGCAAGATATTTAAGTTCTACAGATTTTAAGTTTCTTCCTCTATAAGAAGAAGTCTAGAGTCCATAAATCCATAAAGTCTCTTCCAGTTCCAAAATACTATGGATTTTTTTTAACCAGAAGGATGGTCAATGTGAATTACTAAAATTTGAAAGAGATATTAAATGTTCCCTTTGAATTCTATGAGGTAATTCATTGTTTTAATGAACAATTTGTACTTCTAAAGTAATAGCTGAGAAGTACAGAAATATGTTAAAGATTGTTTCTCTGTCTAGATAATGCAAAGATCAGCAGCTCACCCCAAGTCCAATTGGTTGCTTATAATAAGATATAAAATAGTTGTGTCTATTTAAAAAATCAATGTATACATCATCATTTTACTTCCAATTCCTGCAAAGTCGAAATGAGCTTCAAGTAAGACTGCCTTTATCAAGTCATAAGTGTGTTATTAGGCATAATTTTATCTGCCAATAAAAGTGCTAGTCTGTTAGTTTTTGAGGGAGTATAATCACGGTATTGTGTCAAGAGAAAACTTCAAATTATTTTTCCCTACATAGATGCACCAATATATCAGTGAGGAAATTAATCTCAAGCAAAATTGGAAGATTCTTGTTTTGATATGAGCTGTGAGGGCAGAGACAGAGCCTGAGAGGGTTGCTCTAAGGGTCAAAATAATCCAACTGTTAGTGGTGATTTTAGGCAAACTAATCTTTGTAGTTTACCTTCCACAGAGGCATATTAAATATCAAAAATGGGGTTGTGTACAGATCAAACTAGTAAAGAAATATCACTCAACAGATACATTTTGTATCGTTAGCAATCAAGTTTTCATTCCTATCAACAGCACACAAACCTTGGTATCTCTACCATGCAGTAATGTAAGAAAGCCAGAGGTGTGAGGGTGAAATGGGTTTGAAGAACAACACACCAGTGTATTTCATTCTGCTAGAACTTTCGGTAACTAGTTTTGTGATCTTTAAACAATCACTCTACCCTCCTGGCCTCAGACTGCTGCCACCCACTCCCGAAAAGAAGAGTCCTTTAATATGGCTCATTTGAAAGCATACCTTTCTAGAAGTAGAGTCCTGATTACTAAGCTAAGGAGGTATAGCAGTCAGGACTGAGAAAGACTCAATCCACTGCTAATGCTCACATTTATCCACGGTTACTAAGGGCCATTAATATCTCCCGTGCTGTGTGCAGTGGCTCATGCCAGTAATCCCAGCACTTTGGGAGGCTGAGGTGGGCGGAACTCTTGAGGCCAGGAGTTTGAGACCAGCCTGGGCAACATGGCAAAACCCCATCTCTACAAAAAATATAAAAAAATTAACTGGGTGCATTGGTGTGTGCCTGTAGTTCCAGCTACTCAGGAGGCTGAAGTGGGAAGATCATTTGAGCCAGGGAGGTCGAGTTTGCAGTGGGCCATGATCATGCCACTGCAGTCCAGTCTGGCCAACAGAGTGAGACGCTGTCTCAAATATATGTATCTATATATACACACTCATATAAATGTATCTCCCATATGTATGTATCTCCCATAACTTGCACCTAATTCACTTTAGAGCGTCTTCTATGGGTGTATTTTCTAAATACAATCCATCTTCATTATTCATGGATTCTGTATTTGCGAATTTGCCCACTTGATAACAAATCGCCCCCAAATCAATACTCCCCAAATTGTAATCCCCCAAATCAATACTCCAGACTTTCATGGTCATTCACTGACGAATGCAGAGGGGCAACTTGAGCCTCTCAGTGCAAATATTCCCAGCTGAGATGAAACAAAGTAATGTTCTTTCTTCTTATTTCAACTCTAATACTGTAATCAAGGGTTCTTTTTGTGATCTATTTTGTGCCACATTTTCTGCATGTTTGTGCTTCTTGTTGGTGATTTTGCTATTTGAAATCGCCTCCAAACATAGTGTTGAGGTATTATTTAGTGTTTCTAAGCCTTGGAAGACTGTGATGCACCTTATGGAGAAAATACGAGTTAGATAACTTCGTTCAGGCATGAGTTGCAGTGCTGTTGGTATGAGTTTAAAATGAAATAAACTGTCTTTAAACAGAAACACACATAAAACAAGACAATATGTTGTTCAGCTGACAAAAATGTTGTGATCAGAGGCTCACAGAAACCGCTGTATGCCTCTTGGGATTCTATATTCCACTGAATTTATTAATTCAGTGTTCACAGAGACTTTATAGAACATGACTACTGTAGATAATGATAATTGACTATTTTTTGGGGGGTGGTATAAGACAAAAAAACCTTTAAAACGGGACTATTTTAATAAAATGGTCTCTTTTCAGTAGACTCATACATCAACATTCAGAATTTGATTGGACTTCAAAGTAGGTTTTTTTCTTTGTTGTCGTTTTTTTTTTTTTGAGACAGGGTCTTGCTCTGTCACCCAGGATGTAGTGGCTCCATCTCAGCTTGCTGCAGCCTCTGCCTTCTGAGTTCAGGTGATTCTCCTCTCTCAGCCTCCTGAGTAGCTGGGACCACAGGTATATATCACCACACCCAGCTAATTTTTGTATTTTTTGTAGAGATGGAGTTTTGCCATGTTGCCCAGGCTGGTATCGAACTCCTGGGCTCAAGCCATCCTCCTGCCTCAGCCTCCCAAAGTGCTGGGATTGCAGGCATGAACCACCACGCCTGGCCAAGTTTTTTTTTTTTTTTTTTAAGAAAGTCCTTATTTATTCATTTATTAATGCTTAAGTGACCATTCCTTTCTTATCAGATGTAACAGCATAATTTCACCCAGGAATATCAGTCGTTCATATTATGTTTTATATTTATACTTAAAGTGTAATAAGTAACAGCCTTTAAGCCAAATGTTCTTAAGAAAAAAATAGCTGGCCACGGATGGTGCCTCACACCTGTAATTCCAGCACTTTGAGGGGCTGAGGTGGGCGGATCACTTGAGCTCAGGGGTTCAAGACCAGCCTGGGCAACATAGTGAAACCCCATCTCTACCAAAAAAATAAAAAATAAAAAAAATTAGCTGGGCGTGGTGGTGTGTGTCTATGGTCCAAGTTACTCAGGAAACTGATGTGAGAGAATCTCTAGAGCCCAGGAGGCAGAGGTTGAAGTGAGTCAAGATCATGCCACTGTACTCCAACCTGGGTGACAGAGTAAGACACTGTCTCAAAAAAAAAAAAAAAAAGCCTACAAATGATTACTTCATTACATATTAAATGTATTAGACATGCATACGCATACATGTTCTATTAAGAAACATTGTAAATGTATCTAAAATGGGAAGTGAGAATATATTTATCCGAAATATCAATGTCTGGAAACTATGTTGAATTTTTTAAAGTCCCTTTTGTTTAAAAAATCATAATCACAACTTAAAGGCAAAAGTAGTACTCAATATATGCATCCTAAAGCAGTATTTTCCTGCTGAGAGCCCAGACAGTAGGTAGGTTGAATTCAATTACTGGATTCCAGATTCAGATGAGAAGTTACACATGATCTCCTTGAATGTCTTGTTACATCTTGATATTTCATCATTTGTTGACATTTAACTTTTCAAGTGTACATGCCTCGCCTCTCTAAACTTCAGCATTCAGAATCTGCAGGTTTAGCATAAAGCAGATTTTTTTTAAACATCAGTACTATTGACATTTTGGGCTAGATAATTCGGGGTTTTTTTGAGACGCAGTCTTGCTCTGTCGCCCAGGCTGGAGTGCAGTGGTGTGACCTGGTTCACTGCAACCTCTGCCTCCTGGGTTCAAGCAATTCTTCTACCTCAGCCTCCTGAGTAGCTGAGATTACAGGCATGCACTACTATGCCCGGCCAAGTTTCTATTTTTAGTACAGATGGGGTTTCACCATATTGGCCAGGCTGGTCTCAAACTCCTGACCTTGTGATCCGCCTGCCTCAGTCTCCCAAAGTGTATAATTCTTTATTGTGGGGGCCCACATACTAGATGATATTACACGTACATACATAAACATATCCAGTTGTGACAATTAAAAATGTCTCCAGACATTGCTCATGTCCTCTGGGGAAAGGGGGAAGGAGCAACGTAACCCCCAGTTGAGAAGCACTAGCCTGAAGGGCATTGTTGATTGCTCCTATGTTAATGCGCCACCACTTTTCCCTAGGATGTTTATCAGACTATTCCAAAAGTAAGTACAACAATATTTCTTTTTCTAATATGCCAATAAAATGAAGGCATAACCAGGTATGATGCTAAGCTCACATTATTATTAAAAGATGTGGAAAAGCAAATATATATATACTTATATATTTCTTCCTGTTAAGCAGGAAGTGCCAACATAAGAACTTTAAATAGAGAAGTAAATATATAGGGACATAAGAGAGACAGTCTATTGAAATTTCTCATAGTATACTTCCTTTTATATATATTATTTATATTTATATATTTATATATATTTCTCATAATATAGGTCCTTATATATGTCATATAAGAGAAATTTCAATAGACTATCTCTCTTATGCCTCATCTAGTTATATAAACACACAAATATATTTATATATATAAATATATATTTCACATTTATATTTTATATATAATATATATTTCACATTTATATTTTATATATATAAATATATATTTCACATTTATATTTATATATGTTTATATATATGATTTTCAGGTACAGGGTCCCTTATATTTATGTTATATGTATATATATATATATCATATATATATACCCATATGATTTTTAGGGACAAGTTCTCTTTAGGTTGCCCAGGCTGGACTCAAACTCCTGAACTCAAAGGATCCTCTCACCCCAGCCTCCCAAAGTAGCTGGGAATTCAGGTGCCCGTCACCATGCCTGGCTACCATAATATAGTCCTAAATGTGAACTCGAACTGAAAATAACCACATCACATTAATTCGTAGTTACAGATCATAAAAACGCGTGCTGTTTTCCACTCAAGGAAGCATTTTTAATTCGAAGATGGTAACTAGGTGTGCTCCATTTTCTCTGAGGGCAAGGCATGAGATGTAAACTGAAAATAGAGGACTTAGCCAGATAAGCATGGAGTGTTTCCCAAGCATAGGAAAGGTGGTCTATATCCCCTTCCTTCACCAGTGTCTCAGTGGAATGGTCTGGATATAGGTGGCCTTGCAGACTACAAGGAATTTAGCCTGGGCGTGGTAGTTCATGCCTGTAATCACAACACTTTGGGAGGCCAAGGCAGGTGGACTGGTTGAGCCCTGGACTTCAGGACCAGCCTGGACAATATGGCAACCCCATCTCTACAAAAAAAATTAGAAAAAATTAGCCAGGCATGGTGATGTGTGCTTGTAGTCCCAGCTACTTGGGAGGCTGAGGCAGGAGGATAACCTGAGACCAGGAGGTAGAGGCTGCCATTGCACTCCAACCAGGGTGATAAGAGTGAGACCAATAAAAAAATTGGTCTCACTTTACGCTAAACCTGCGGATTCTAAATGCTGAAGGTTAGGGAGGCGAGACATGTACACTTGAAAAGTTAAATGACAACAAATGATAAAATATCAAGATGTAACAAGACATCTAAAAAAACATTGCTTCGAAAAATAAAAAATAAAAATAAAAAATTCTTGAATCATTAAAAAAATCCAATAACAATTTGAAGGTTTAGTTAAAAAAATAAAAAATAAAATGAGTGTAGACAAAAGAAGACCAAGCAGTCCACAGATTTCTTTGACTTTTTATTTTATTTATTTATTTATTTATTTATTTATTTATTTATTTATTTCAGATGGAGTCTCACTCTGTTGCTTAGGCTGGAGTGCAGTGGCATGATCTTGGCTCACTGCAACCTCTTCCTTCTGGGTTCAAGCAATTCCCTGCCTCAGCTTCCCAAGTAGTGGGATTACAAGTGCTCACCACCATGCCCGGCTAATTTTTGCATTTTTAGTAGAGACGGGGTTTCACCTTCTTGGCCAGGCTGGTCTTGAACTCCTGACCTTGTGATCCACCCACCTTGGCCTCCCAAAGTGCTAGGATTACAGGCCTGAGTCACCGCGCCCGGCCCATTTCTTTGACCTTTCTCCAATTTCTAGTTAAGTGGAATGACCAAGCCAAAACCTTTTTCCACTAAAGATTCAAAGCATTGTATAGTGTTGCTTAATTCAAAAAGGTTTTCTCCGGGTTATAGACTGAATGTTTGTGGCCTCTGAGACCAACATGTCGAAGCCCTAACCCCCAGTATGAAGGTATTAGGAGGCAGAACTTTAGGAGGTTTAGATGAAGTTGTGAGAGTGGGGCCCCCATTATGGGCTTAATGGCCTATTTATAAGAAGAGACCAGAGAGCTTGCTCTATCTCTCTCATTCTCCCCTTCTTCTTCCAGTCTCCTGCCGCATTTCACGTGATGATGCAGCAAGAATTAAGCCATCTGCAACCTGGTAGGAGGGTCCCTACCAGAACCTTACCCTGCTGGCACCCTGATCTCAGATGTCCAGCCTCCAGAACGGTGAGAAATAAATGTCTGTTGTTTAAGCGAAGTCTATGGTATTTTGCTATAGCAGGCTGCAAAGGCTAAGACAATCCTCTTAATGCTTACAACCAAAATGGATCTAACAGTTTCAACTGCAAATGAGACTATCAGAGAGCAAGTTTCCATAGCAACCATCTCTTGCCAGTCCTTACTAGTTCCAAGGTTATGGCTTCCAGGTCTGCCTCCCCTCAGCATACGAAGAAATAGTCCCCACCTAATGTTGGATAAATCAATCTTTCATCTATTTTAGGAAAAGAGCAAATCATCTTATTCTGCAATTTTGTTATGAATAACTCCATTTTATAAAAGATCATCTTTCTTGGATAAAACTTATTAATCAAATAGTTTTTATTTTTTTTATTTTTTTGAGATGAGTCTCACTCTTGTCATCCAGGCTGGAGTGCAGTGGTGTGATCTCAGCTCACTGCACCCTCCGCCTTCCAGGTTCAAGCGATTCTCCTGCCTCAGCCTCCTGAGTAGCTGGGACTACAGGCGCTTGTACCATGCCCGGCTAATTTTTGTATTTTTAGTAGAGATGGGGTTTCACATGTTGGCCAGGCTGGTCTCGATCTCCTGACCTCCTGATACACCCACTTCGGCCTCCCAAAGGGTTGGGATTACAGGCATGAGCCGCTGCACCCGGCCAAATAGGTTGATTTTTAAGAGTGTATTGGGACAAGTAATTTGCCTTGCAAAATATTTTTCCATTGCAAAACAAACAAACAAAAAAAACCTTGTCATAGGATTCCATTAAATATCAAGTTTCCCTGCATATTTAAATATGGCAGATGTCATGTATTCCTTACCTGCATGTATTTCAGGCATGGATTTTTTCCCCCCATTTTTTGGCATGTGTGTTTTCTGGTCACACTTGTTGGGAGGATATGAGAAACACATTCCCTAGACTCATGAACGATCTCTGGCAGCAAATGAGCAGAGTGGCATTATAAAAACAATGCAATCCAAGACCAGATGGGACCTACCTTCTCCATGAACTTGAGTACCAGTGAGTGGCAGATTGGTCCAGGTGACATTTGGTTTGTTAGCCCTAGAATTCTCTGTTAACAAAGGCCACTATTTTGGCCTAAAAAATGGTAATATAACTTCTAAAAATCTACTTTGCTTTGGATTAATCTGGCTTCATTTAAATATAATGAAGTGCTATTTTCAATGAGTAAGATTCCTCTAATCCTTTCTTACTCAAAAGAAATTGGAATGAATCATAAAAAAACTGCAATACCAAGTTGAAGGTTTAAATAGTTAAAACAATCATATGTGCCATAAATACATTTTGGAGTTAAGTCAAATCAGTCAAGTAGTTGAAACAATTTTTTTAAATTAGATAAAATAAATTACATTGACATTTCTACACAGAACGGATGTTGAGTCATGAGAACGGACTAAACCGGGTCAATTATTCTCATGGCAAAGGGTGAATGTGTGATCTGGCTGCCTTACCTCCTATGGAGATGATGGCATCGAAGCCCTCATCCCTAAAGGGGAGATTAAGGTTGTCACATACCATGGCTTCACATCCTCTATTCCGGGCAATCTCTACCAGTGGCCCACAGTAGTCACAGCCCACGGTATGTACCTGGCTGTTCACTTTAAGATATTTTCCAGTCCCACAACCTATAAGAGAAAAACCTGCGTTACATGCTATCCTCAATGGAAAATGTGAAATACTTCATTTGTCTCATAACAAGAAATATAATTAACCTTTTATTTATTTATTTATTTTGAGACAGAGTCTCCCTCAGTCACCCAGGCTGGAGTGCAGTGGCGCAATCTCGGTTCACTGCAACCTCTGCCTCACGGGTTCAAGCAATTCTCTTGCCTTAGCCTCCCGAGTAGGTGGGATCATAGGCGCGTGCCACCATGACCGGATAATTTTGTATTTTTAGTAGAGACGGGTTTCTCCATGTTGGTCAGGTTGGTCTCGAACTCCCAACCTCAGGTGATCCGCCTGCCTCGGCCTCCCAAAGTGCTGGGATTACAGGTGCAAGCCACTGTGCCTGGCCAACTTTTTTTTTTTTTTTAACTAACCAAGACAGAATACAACATGGTGTGAAGGTATTCACAAAAGCAAAAGAAAAGCCTTCGGCGAATACTTACAGATTCTCATATAGAAGAGAGAAAGGCAATAGGAAAAAAATAACATTTATTGAATATTTAATGAGGTGATGTCCACAGGGCTCAGTACACTGGCGCAACCAAGGCACGTTAGCTGGTCCAAGGCAAGAAAGATAGTTCTAGTATCCGAGAGACCACGTGTAGCCTCTAAGCTCACATTCATATTTCATTTTGTATATACGCATGTTTCGGCTTTTATTCTCCTGTTGTCTCTCCAAAGATTCTTACCACTTGCTGACTGCAAAACAAACAACTGTCAACAACTTTTCTATTATTTATACACTAAAACATGCCTTTCAAATTTTTAAAATTTGAACTTGAATTAGAAAAGAATTTTTAACATTGTTTTTATCCAATCTCTATTCATTGCTACATTTAAAATGATCTCTATGGGTCCAGTATACAACTCAGATTATAAAAACTACTTTTTTTCTTAAATAGACAATTTTTGATATTCACTTTCCAGTAGCAGAGACCTAAGTAATTCAGGATTTACAAAGCCCAAATATTTAGATCATTGAGGTCTTACTGATGTTATGATTGAGGTAGGTAGTAACATGAATGAATAAACCACCTTGAAACAAAGCCTTCTACAGTCTAATACTTAGTATTATATTCTATCACAGATATATAATCTAATTACTTTCCAGAAATATTAAAAGAAATCATTAGAGCCTATATTTGTACTTATTGGCATTACTGATGAAATTTTTCTACCTGAAAAGATATCTACCACTATTCAAAGATGATTAGTTTGCTGCTTCTGAAATACATCAGGACACTAATAACCCCTCCTTACTAGGCACTTTCAAAATTATGATACAGTAAAAGCAAACTTAAGATTCATTAATGCCAGCTGAGACAGTGGAGAATATATGAATAAAAAATAAAATTTGGGGTCTGGCGCGGTGGCTCATGCCTATAATCCTAGCACTTTGGGAGGCTGTGGTGGGCGGATCACTTGAGGGCAGGAGTTCGAGACCAGTCTGGCCAACATGATGAAACCCCTCTCTACTAAAAATACAAAAATTAGCTGGGTGTGGTGGCAGGTACCTGTAATCCCAGTTACTCAGGAGGCTGAGGCAGAAAAAAATCACTTAAATTCAGGAGGTGGAGGTTGCAGTGAGCTGGGGTAGCATCACCTCACTCCAGCCTAGGTGATGACAGAGTTAGATTTTGTCTCAAAAAAGAAAAAGAAAACAATTCCAGGATTATTATTTCTACGTAAATGTGACCATATTATTTCTATGATATTATTTCTTTGATCTCGTAGCCACACTGTTCCCAATAATGATTATGAGAAAAAGTACCCTCTGTTTGAAGGCAATCATGGGGAAAATATAATTCACAAAGTATTTTAAAATTAAAATCCTGTGTATTTCAAAAGACGATGGTCCTATTTTAAGAAAAATAACCTTGCAATTCATTTGCTTTTTCATTGGCTCGAGGGATACTTTAGGAGAAATGAAAGGGAAAGTTACTTCAATGATATTAATAAAATCAGACTCATACATCTTTAGAATGAGGAGGGCCTGTTCAGAGAGCATTTTGTAATAAGAAGGAAACAGAGGTCTTTTCTCCTGACATGCTTCCAGTGCCCTAGAACTCTTGATTTGCCCCTATTCATTTCTAATGGCCTTCATGTTTAAATCTTGAATGTGAACAATAAAAGAATTTTAAATATTTTTTAATCCAAACTATTGTCTATTCATCAAACAGCTGATGACTTTAGCTAAGTGGAAAAACCTAGCAACAGAAACCATTTCCTTTAGAGGACAGTCATATTACCATCTGTCTTTTCTTCTCCTCATCCCTTTGAACTTCTTTCTTTTTCATTTCTTTCTTCTTTAACTTCAATTTCATTAAAATGCATCTTTCATTTTGCAATGAAAATATGACCCTATTTATTGAATAGTTTAAAAAATGTATATAGTACAAAATTCAAAAGATACAAATTGGCAAAAAGATATTTACTATAGATGTAGTTGTTGATTTGCACAGAGGTATTTAAAGAATATTATTTGTGAGACTTTTTTTTTTTTTTTCAGATAGGGTCTCACTATGCCACCCAGGCTAGAATGCAGTGGCACCATCTCGGCTCACTGCAACCTCTGCCTCCCAGACTCAATCTGTCCTCCTACCTCAGCCTCCCAAGTAGCTGAGACTACAGGCACGTGTATCATGCTTAGCTAATTATTTTTACTGTTGTTGTATTTTTTGTAGAGATGGGGTTTCACCATGTTTTCCAGGCTGGTCTCGAACTCCTGAGCTAAAAGATCTGCCCGCCACACCTCCCAAAGTGCTAGGATTACACGTGTGAGATACCGCGCCTGGCCTATCTGTAGTGTAATTTGTAGCGGCAAAATACAGCAAACAACATGTATTAAATGTTAATATGGCACTATTAGCATAGAATGCTAGGCAGGTTTTAATACTGGGTAGCTCTATAATAAATATAAATATGGAATGATTTCCTCAATATATTAAAAGTATAACAAAACCTAGGTGTATAATTATAATTGTTTTTATAGTATACTACCATTAGTGTAACCAAAAAAGGGAAATTACCCATCACACTCTCACAGGCACAAATACGCTTATTTTTACATAAAACATCTCAAAAAGATCATACAAGAAGCTAACAGCGTCAGAGGCCTCTGGTGTGGGTTGCTTGGCGCCAGGGACTGGGATGGGAGAAGATTTTACACTAAGCATTCTTTTGTACTTTGTTGCCGAACCGTATCAGTGGGTTACCTATTAAAATACTTTTACACATTTTGAACCATTTGTTCACATCCTTTCCCTATTTTTCTTGTGACTTGTTGATAGTTTTCCCTTTTTTTTTCCTTTGAATTTAATTCCTTCTGTTTGATACTCTGAGCCTTTTAACCAACGTCTTACCATTTCCTACACCTACCCCACCCGCTTCGACACCCCAGCCCCAGGTAACCACCATTTTAATCTCTCCTTCTATGAGTCCAACTGTTTTAGATCCCATGTATAAGTGAGATCACTGGGTATTTGTCTTTCTGTGCCTGGCTGATTTCACCTAGCATAATATCTTCCAGGTTCCTCCGTGTTGTCGCAAATGACAGGATGCTGGTCCTTTTTTTACAGTGATGTTGAAGAATGCTTAGTAGATTAAAAAAATTACCGGCCGGGCGCGGTGGCTCACGCCTGTAATCCCAGCACTTTGGGAGGCGAAGGTCGGTGGATCACAAAGTCAGGAGATCGACACCATCCTGGCTAACACGGTGAAACTCCGTCTCTACTAAAAATACAAAAAATTAGCTGGGCGTGGTGGCGGGCAACTGTAGTCCCAGCTACTAGGGAGGCTGAGGCAGGAGAATGGCGTGAACCCGGGAGGCGGAGCTTGCAGTGAGCCGAGATGGCGCCCCTGCACTCCAGCCTGGGCAACAGAGCAAGACTCCGTCTCAAAAAAGAAAAAAAAATTATCTAGATTTCTATGACATGTGTTGCAGATATTTTTACTTAGTTTGATTTTGGTCTTTTGACTTGAATTGTATGTCTGTCTAGATTTTTGTCTTGTGGAACTTTTCCATTTTTATAGGGTCAAAGTTATCTGTCAATATAGTTAATCCTCATAAATTACAGCTTCCATATTTGCAGTTAATGTACCTGCTGAAATTTATTTGTAACCCCAACGTCAATACTACAGCCTTGCATTGTCATTATTAGACTTAAATACTCACAGTGCAGCAAAATATTTGAGTCATCTGAGACCCACATACCCAGCCTCCTTTTTTCAGCTCCCATACCGTAATCAAGTGTCCTTTCCATAATCTATTTAGGGCCACAATTTCTCCATTTGTACAGTTTTTACTGGTGATTTTGCTCTTTCAAATGGCCTAAGCCTGGGGCTGAAATGCCGTCTAGTGTTCCTGAACATAAGAAGGCTGGGATGTCTCTGATGGACAAAATATATGTGTTAGATAAGCTTTGTTCACGAAAGAGTTATAGTGTGCTGGCCGTGAGCCCAATGTTTATGAAATAATGATATATAGTAAAGAAGGTGTCTTTAAACAGAAACACATATGCAACAAGCTTATACATTGGTAAATTGACAAAAATGTTGTGACCTGAAGCTTACAGGAGCCTAATCCAACATTTCCCCTAAAAACAATGATTCAGTATTTGCCAATTCAATGTTTATGATACATATATGAAATGTAAGTACTGTGAATAATGGCAATCAACTGTATATTCTTTTACGATTTCTTTTTGTATGTGTATCATATATAGGCATTTTGCCTCTGAGAATATTTTAAATAACAATCTAGTCATTTAGTCCTTTAATGAGCTCATTTTCTTATACTTAAATCTTTGCTTCATTTGGAATTTATTTTGATGTAAGGTGTGAGAAAGTAACTCTCTGATTATATATGTCGTTATCCCAAAGCCATTTACTGAATAGTTCCTTTCCCCCACTGATTTTAAGATCCTGGTACGTGGCTTACTTAGATTATACGTGGTAAGAGCTCCAAACTCACTGCACACTCCGAAACTAGATTTATTATTTTTTAATTTACAGGATAGAGATATTTTTCAAAGACTCCCAATTTCCATGTGACATGCACCCCTTCCCCAGATTCCACATTACTCATACCATCTTCAGCAAGCCACAAGTTCTGGTATGTCTGTTTCTCTTACCAGTATTTAGAAAGAATATCAAACTAGACACACTTTGCAACTACAGACTTACGACTCATAGGTGCAGTCAGCATGCAATTGCTAGAACGCAGTTTTAGGTGGGTAGGCCTTGAGTGAGATTCCAACCACATTTTAAGTCTTAGTCCTAGATCTACTAAGCTGTGGTTTACCAGTTCTTGATTTACGAAGATACTGAACCAACGTCCTCCAGACAAATAAGTTATTATTAAAATACTGTCTAATTAAAGATGCGCTCCTATAATGAAACACCTATAGAATAATTAAAGGAAAGGACCCATGAGATTCATAAGATATTACTGGACCTCTTCCATAATCCCACAATTCTATAGAAGGCATGTGAGCCACTCAAAGTGAGCCACCAGAGGAGAACACATTTGGCAAATGTGAATATCTTTAAATTTACAACGGTTAGTTTCACAAGCCATCATTTCCATCCTGATTTAGTCAATCAATGTCAGGTCCGTTTTGGTGGAGGATGTACACAAAGGCCCTGAAGAGCCACTGTCTAAAGGTAAAGTTTGAGGCCAGGCACGGTGGCTCAAGCCTGTAATCCCAGCACTTTGGGAAGCCGAGACAGATGGATCATCTGAGGTCAGGAGTTTGAGACCAGTCTGGCCAACATGGCAAAACCCCGTTTCTACTAAAAATACAAAAATTAGCTGGGCGTGGTGGCGGGTGCCTGTAATCATAGCTATTTGGGAGTCTGAGGCAGGAGAATCAGTTGAACCTGGGAGGCGGAGTTTGCAGCAAGCTGAGATTGCACCACTGCACTCCAATCTGGTTGACAAGAGTGAAACTCCATCTCAAAAGAATAAAAATAAAATAAAAGTTTGAGAAAGTTTTTTACTTGCTGCTGACTTGACTGTCTCGAGTTTCTGCTGTAAAATGAATATTCTAGGTACTGGCATGCCAAGGGTGCAATTTCAGGATTCCTATTAGAACAAAAATGAAAAATCAATGTGAAAAGCAAAGGCTCAATGGAAGGTATTTCATGCTACACGGCCCAGTGCTGGGTTACCTATGACAGCAATGAGGCTGCCTGGTTACCTATGTCAGCGATGAGGCTGCCTGGTTACCTATGTCAGCGATGAGGCTGCCTGGTTACCTATGTCAGCGATGAGGCTGCCTGGTTACCTATGTCAGCGATGAGGCTGCCTGGCTTCTGCTCTTGCAGGAACTGGCGGACACGAGGCCAGGCTTTGCTCTGCAGGTCGCTGAAGTAAGGGGCTGTGCTCTCGTACACATTGTGCACATGCTGCTTCTCCAGCTGGGCGGCTTCATGATCCATCCTGGAGAAAACAGGACCAACCCAAGGCATGCAGGTCAGCCTATGCACCATAGATGGCTGAAGGAGGATGCAGATTTCCTAAAATCTGGAGCCTACAACTGCAAACTCATGCTGTTTGCACACTTTCTTATAAGCTGCAAAGAACAATACCTTCACTATAACCTCGCCATAGTAGCCAAAAGACTAGCAAATGCATGGTTTTTACCTGCCATGTTAAGGAAAACAATTTTGAGAAAGAGCTAATTATTGTGTAATAAGTTCCTGTACAAGATGAATTCTTAATTTTGGAAGCATAGCCAAAATTCTTACCAAATGGTTTACTTTGGATAAGACCATTGTATCTGATGCTAAATAGATTTCAAAATTTCATAACAGGTAGCTCACCATTTCAACCCAATAGCAAAGCGCTATTAATTCTCCCTTTTTAGTGTTTGGGTTCCAGCCATGTCTCTGTATCAGTACTGCTTTTATTTTAGTATAGGTGCCCATTTCTTTACTGAATTACTTCAACAGCTGGCAAAACGGTTCTCTTGCCATTCAATGCTTTTCCCAATTTCAATTACGTCATAATTATTTTTGTAAAATATAGGACTGGTTGTGTTGCTTCTTATTTATTTATTTTTAATTTTTGTGGGTACATAGTAGGTGTATATATTTACGGAGTACATGAGATGTTTTGATACAGGCATGCAAGGCGTAATAATCACATGAGGGAGAATGGGGTGTTCATCACCTCGAGCACTTATCCTTTATGTTACAAACAATCCAATATACTCTTTTAGTCATTTAAAAATGTACAAATAAATTTTTTTTTACTATAGTCACCCTGTTGTCCTAGCAAATACTAGGTCTTATTCTGTTTTTTGTACCCATTAACAATCTCCACTTCCCTCCCACCTCCCCGCTACGCTTTGCAGCCTCTCGTAACCATCCTTCTACTCTCTATAACCATGAGTTCAATTATTTTAATTTTTAGCTGCCACAAATAAGTGAGAACATATGAAGCCTGTCTTTCTGTGCCTGACTGATTTCAGCTAACATAATGACCTCCAGATCCATCCATGTTATTGCGAATGACAGGATTTCTTTTCTTTTCTTTTTCTTTTTTTTTTTTTTTGAGATGCAGTCTCGCTGTATCGCCCAGGCTGGAGTGCAGTGGCATGATCTCGGCTCAGTGTAACCTCTGTAGCAAGTTCCCCCAGGCCGTGGGCAGGTCTAGAGGTGCTGTCTGGGAGCCAGGGACTGCAGTCAAAAACCTTAGAAGTCTACTTGGTGTTCTAGTGTACTGTGGCTGAGCTGGCACTCAAGCCATGAGATGCAGCCCTTCCCACTCTTCCCTCCCCTTTCCAAAGACCCCTTCCCCACTGTGGCCGAGCTGGTACCTAATGTGCAAGGCAAAGTCCCCTTTCCTTGTCCCTCCACTTTTCTTAAGCAGGAGTGTTGCCCCATAGCCACCACAGATGGGAATGTGCTAAGTCGCATCTGGAGCCAGCAAGACTCAGAGTCTCACCCAAGGCCCACAGCGTATTACTTGGGTATCACCGCTGGTTATTCAGGGCCAAAGGGCTCTTTAGTCAGAAGGTGATGGGTCCTGACAGGACTAGGTCCTTCCCTTCAAGACAGCAGGTTGCCTTCTGGCCCAGGGTGTGTCTAGAAATATCATCTGGGGGGTAGGGCCTGAACAGACGGCCTCAGGACTCTGCCTGGGCCCTATCCTACCGCAGCTGAACTGGTATCCAAAATACAAGACAAAATCCTCTTTATTCTTCCCTCTCCTCTCCTCAAGCAGAAGGAAGGGCTCTTTTGGAGCCAGGAGCTGTGCAGCCTGGGTTGGGAGCGGGGTGGTGCAAGCACTCCCTTAGCAGCCCTAGCTGGTGTCTCAGTAGTGGCGTTCCCTCCTCCCCACCTGGTCCACGGGCTCTGAGGCCAGTTCAGCAGGAGGACTCACCTAGGAGCTGCAGTCCTTGGGGCCTACACTGCCTTTCAAGTGTATTTAGTACCCCAGAGCCCTTTAGCCTACAGTGGTGAGGCCTGCCGGAACTCAAGTTCAGACTGCTGGGACCAGCAATTCCCCTCTGGCTAGGGCTGGTTTAAATGCTCCCTCTGTGGGCAGCTGTCAGCTGAGTTCAGCCACATGGCTTTGCTTTCTACTGTGACAGGGCAGCACTGAGTTCGATACGGTGTTTCACAAACGCAGCATTCTCCCTCCCCTAAGCACAGATTCTCTCTGCATGCACATGGCTGCTGCCAGGGAGTTGGAGGAGGGATGGCATGGGCATATCAAGACTGTCTTGCTCACCCTCTTCTGTGCTTCCTTTAGTGATATGAAGTCAAAACCAGGCACTGTGAGCGCTCTCCTGATTTTTGGTTCTTATGTAGGTGCTTTTTTTGTGTGTTAACTCTGGTCCTTGTGGGGAGGGTGGCGGAGTGGGGACACACCATCAGTGGAGCCTTCCATTTAGCCATCTTGCTCCACACTATCCCCCTCAGTTCTTACCTTCAACTTCTTCAGAGGCATTTTATAGCTTGTCCCATTGGGTTCAGCTGGCTTAGGCGGGCACATAAGGCTCTTTCCGATCTGGCCTCACCAGACCTCTTAAGGGTTATTTCTCACCATCTTTCCTCAGCATTAGCCATAATACCCAATGACCCACTGTTTCTCAGCGGTGGCACATTCCCTCTCATCCAGGGGCCTGAACATATGCTATGCTTTACCTGGCTAAATTCTAGTCATTCTTGGAAAAGGCATCATCTCCTCCAGGAAGACTTCCCTGACCTTCCAGGCAGGATAAGGGCAACAGGGAAGGAGTAAGAAAAGCACAAGAGCAGGTCCCGTTTTGGGCTTAACCCTGTAATTATTCTATTCTATTTTGGCATGTGAGTGAGTGGTATCCCAGGGAAGTGGCCAGGGACTCGGGTTGTGGCTTTTACCCATCAGTATGAAAGTATTTTCAATCATTTAAGAACTCATTTGGCCCTACTGATGGCTATCAGCTATTGCATCCCATGCATACCTCTACAGGGATCACATAGTCCTGTAATTGTTGAATTTAGATAAGATATTTTTCTCTGGCAGAGTCTGCTGGAAGACTCTGGAGAACAAGGAGTTGTCTTATTTAATACTGAGTCCCCAGCACTTAGGACACAGCAGACCCCCAGCAAATGATCAAATAAATACACATAGTGAGAATGGAATCTGGCTCTGAGTACAGAGGGTAGTATTGGCTTTGGTTAGCAGAGGGAGTGATCACCCTGAGGAGCTGGGGAAGGGAGGGGACACTACACCTGCAAACTGGCAGATGGGAGTGTAACTGGAGAGAAGATACTGTCCCTGGACAGCCTCTGTCCCCGCACCTCTACCCCTATCCTGGGAAGTGGGAAGTACTTGGGTAAGACGGTGTCTTCCCTGTATGGAGAGAGACTTTGAGACTATGCAAATATTGTTTCTTATTTGCTCACCCACCAGTTTTAGCATCTACCAATGATTCTTGCCCCAATTATTACTACAAGTATCACCGAATGATGATAATATAATTCCATCATTCCTTCCGTTTCAAGGAACAGATATTCAGGATTTACTCTTAAAACGTAATAGGTTGTCTTTAATCAGTATGAACCTACCCACAGCCCCTGCAAAAAATCCTAGCAAACTCCTAACTGAGTATAAATCTAATTTGTGAGGTCTGACTAAACTTCCACCCAAATTGAAACAGCTTATGTTGCACCTTCAACTGAAATTTACGAAGTAAACATATGGCTGGCTATAACTGCCCACACAAGAGAAAAACAGAAACACTGTGTGCTTTTCATTTAAATCAAAATCTCAGTAGATTTTAGTCTATTTACGTTTCCCCTTTCTCAAGGAATCAATCAAGCAATACGTTTTAGAGAACACTAGAACAAGCAAGTTTTTCTTTGTTGCACTTGGAAATGTTAAGTGGTAACCGACATAAACTGGGTTCCTTGCAAATTGCAATTTAAAAATGACTTCAATTTCAAGCTCAGAATTTGTAGTATCTGAACAGCACCCCCAAGATCTTCCCCTAAGTTTTCTATGGCCTCTACTACCATCGGGTAACCTAAAAGATAGTTATTTTTAAGTGTATAAGTAATATAAATCTATTTTGTTTTTCTGATATTTTACAGTTAACTTTATAAACACTGCAGATTTAAATTTTAAATGCTGCGGATTTAAATTTCCTATAATAGTTTCCACATGAATTTTATTTATATAAGCAAATTCCTTGTGAGTTTGAAAGTGTGACTAAGCTAATAAGACTAGTACTAAAACAAGAGCACGGGTTTCCAGATGAAGCGAGAGATAAAGGGTTTGGATTAGCCAGGATTCCTAATCTGTGTGCTGTCAAATTCCAGACCCATAAAATAATCCACATAAAAAGTCAGTACTTAAAGCCTCACATTGTGTCCCTCCTTTGAGATTCAAAATGCACACCAGCACACTATGAGTTTTGAAAAATCTTGGAGAAAAGAGTCCCGGTTGATGTTTCAAAAATCTCGCTTTTTTCTCAGAATTATTGGGTCTATAATACTCTTTCTGTCTTTAAACACCTCTTGTCTTTTTAGGAAATAATATTCTGTAGAAGACACTGTGGAAATGTTAATTTAGTGTTTTCCAATTTAAGAATGTCCCCAAAACAAAGCATTTTTCCTGATCATCCTTTTTCATTCATGTAGTTTTAGTGAAGTATGTTATCTACAAATCATAACTTCTAAGATGGTTTATAAAAAGACTAAAAGTATGAGACGGTAAACGTTTTAACTAGGAAGTCAGAAGGATGCGCATCAGAGTTGCTCATCACTGTCGATCCAAGAGAACCTGCTTCTGAGCCTTGTGCCTCCTCTTTCCAGGGATCCCCGCCTCACTGAGTGGACCCAGGTTGAAAACCAGATCTACAGGGAACCAGTCCATGGGTGAGACTGACCCAGTCTTGAGAATTTGAACTAAAAGACCTGAATAGTCAGATGACCACAAGTGGTTGGTTGTGATCACTTGGAGTCTGTGTTAGGGAGTCCATTTTTAGCCATGCACATATGGATGAAGCAAAAGAATATTTTTCTGCAAAATAAATGTAGCTGTAGGGAAAGAAAAACAAGATGAGAATCCGTGATGCTTCATAACATGGTGGGGGGAAAGGCAGAAAGATTGGGGAAGTCTAGTAGATGATATTCTAGTTCTAGTCCCTATGTAGGCTCTAGATAGGGGCTCAGGGTCACTCATCTCCAAGAAACCTGTTCATTTTACAGTACCAGCCTTGCGTCCTGAGGTACTTCATTTCCTAACCTTGAATCTCAAATCCATACCCTGTTCTAGCCCTGAAATATTCTTCACTTGAACTCACTTCTGTTTCTTACAACCACACCTTTCCCAAGGCAGGGAAACTGCTTTTTTAATTAACATTTTGAAATGATTATTTTACACTTTAAATAACTAGCGTGCAAGGATGCTGACACATAGTGTTGTAATATCTTACCTTTATTGCTACTTTTCAAGCAACTTGTAAAGCTTACGAGGTAACCTTAAAACAAACCCCCAAAATTGAATGCTAGCAATCAAAAGAAATCGTAAATGTGATGACAAAAACATAAATGAGACTGAGTAGACAAAGATACAACTAACTTTGCTGGGGGAAGTTGATGTAGGCACAGAAGAGGAGATCCCAGACATTGAATCATCTTTGTTCCTTCCCTTGCCCCACAAACTCTGCCTATTTCCAGCATTTATTTCTTGGAGGATGGAAGAGAGGACAGAAAGTGACAGAAAACTAACAGGAGAGTTAGTGGCCTGGCATGTTTCCAAAGGGTAGAAAAACAAAGAGAAGGACATTGGCAATTCCTGCTACTAGCAACAGGGTTCTACTGAGAAGTCACAAATGTTTAGTTTTCCTTCCCTGGACATGTGATTAGGCTAACATTTTTCTACCTACTTGAATTCAGATAAACCCTAAGTGACTTGCTATGGCATAAACGTCATCTGAAAAGATCAGGATTACCCCACTGTGTTGCTTTCCAAGTTCCCTATCCCTTATCACTGCAATGAAATGTTCCTTGTCCTGGAGGCATCAGCCTGGGTCCCTCAGAACTCTTGATGGAGAGATATCATGGGTATTCTAATCCCACCCACCAAAAGGAATAAAAAGCTCAGTTCATCATATGAACTGTAGAATATCTAGATCATGAAAAAGTGAAAAGTATACATCAGTTTTTATTAGATGACAACTTGTTACCATATAAGTTCCCCCTTTTTTCTTCATAAAGATTAAAAGTTTTCTTTCTCGTAGAGATATATTATAATAAAATTGAGAGAAAACCGGACAGTTTTGCATCCTACTTTTTTGAACTTAATATTGTGAGCCTAGTGGCAACTTCTACCTACAGTCTTCTCCACCTTCTCAAAGAAATATAACCTCTACACTCCCTAATTCCACAGCACTTGAAATATGTCATGTGCTGTAAAGTATTATAATGGCTTAAGTATTTCTACTAGATTCTGAACTTCTAAATAAGAAACAAGATTTCATACACATCTTTGGTTAGCCCATAATATCTAGCACTGGCCCTAAATGTAATAGGTCTAAATACGTTTAGTGAATTCATGAATGATGGAACTCTAGCCAATTCAACAATATTTCTTTTAAATTTTTAAATCATATTTTAACAGTTTTATTTAGGTATAATTGACATATAACAAACTGCATATATTTAAAGTATATAATTTGATGTTTTTACATACATATGTGTGTGCGTATGCGTGTATGTATGTGTGAAACCATCAAGACACTCAAGATAATGACCATATCCTTCCCCCAATAAATCACCCCTCCCATCTTCTCCCACCCTGAACAATCTTTCTTTTTTTTTTTCTTTTCTTTTTTTTTTTTTTTTTGAGATGGAGTCTCCCTCTGTCACCCAGGCTGGAGTGCGATGGCATGATCTTGGCTCACTGCAACCTCCGCCTCCCAGGTTCAAGCGATTCTCCTGCCTCAGCCTCCTGAGTACCTGGAATTATAGGCACGTACCACCATGCCTGGCTAATTTTTGTATTTTTACTAGAGACGGGGTTTCACCCTGTTGGTTAGGCTGGTCTTGAACATCTGACCTCATGATCCACCTGCCTTGGCCTACCAAAGTGCTAGGATTACAGGCGTGAGCCACTGCGCCCAGCCCCTGAACAATCTTTCTTAATGCCATGTTTCTGGGTAAAGAAACAGGGATAGAGAGGTGGACATTAACATATATATCCAACAGCCACAATTTCAAAGGCAACTCTGAGTATTTGATGTGTTGACAAATAAAAGTAAAAAGGTTTTTTCCCAAGTTTTTCCAGCTTCTTAATGATCACTGGAAAGCTATGCACATATTCACACCCAGAGGCAAATAGTAAAAATATTCTGAGGAACTGAAAAGGCTTCCAGGGAAAAGGTTTTTCTACTGTCTCATCAAGGAGATGACACTCTGTACTTGACCCACAGAAATCTAGTGAACTCTGAGAAAGAAGGCTTTGTTTTGTCCCCAAGAGTGGCTCCTTGTCACCAGGGAGGAGGTGCTATAACTAAATGTCCTCAAGACGGTGCTTTTTATACCTGCTCCTCCTAAGAAGTTAGCACAGAGGCCAGGGTAATAGGCTGTAAGCACTTAGCCCTGTCATCAGAAGGGATTTCTCATTTGTTTGTGATGGGAACTTCTATTACCTCTATCTTGAGTTTCTTTCTGTACCACACTTTTGCCTGTAGTGAGTCCTCTATGTTTTAGCTCTATGGAAAACACACGTGGCTTTAGAACAGTTCTGTCTCCAAATACTGACATACATTTATGAATTAAAACCTCTTTCTATCATACAGAACAATAAAGCTTTTAGAGGAAAATACAGAACATCCTCATGACCTTGGAGTAAGTTAAAATTTCTTACAAAGGGTCATATAAAGTGCTAACCATAAGAGGAAAAATAAAGTAGACTATATTAAAATGAAGACACCATGAAGAGAAGGAAAATTCAACCCAGAGTGTGAAGAAGTATTCGTAGTACATACAGATGACAATTGAGTAGTATCCAGAATATAAACAATTCTTACAAATCACAGAGTAATAGAAGACAACACAATTGAAAAATGGGCGAGAGACTTTAACAGACACTTCATAATGGTCAGGAGACGGGCAGGAAACACACACAAAGGGGCTTAACTTCACTAGTATCAGGGAACCGCAAATTTAAGCCACAATAGGATCCCACCACCTATACAAAAGAATGGGTAAAATGGAAAACACAAAGAATATCTAGTGTTGGTGAAAACATGGAATCGGTGAGTTCTAATACACCACTGGAAGAAATGTGAATTGTTTCAATCTGTTTGGAAAACCGCCTGACAGCAACAACTAAAGCTACACATATGCATAGCCTATGGCCCAGCAACCCCACTCTTAAAAGTATATACATATATCCGAAAGAAATGGACACCCATATTCACCAAAAGACATATGCTAGAATATCCAAAGAAGCACTCTTCGAAGTAGCACAAATCTGGAAACTGCACATGTGACCATCATCAGTAAAATGATCAAATAAATTGTGGTATATTCATAGAATGAAATGCTACCAGGGTAGCATGGAAGTTTGCAACCATATGCAACAATATGGATCAGTCCCTATATTAGTCCATTTCGTGTTGCTGTAAAGGAACTCCTGAGCCTGGGTAATTTATAAGGACAAGCAGTTTGTTTGGTTCATGGTTCTACAGGCTGTACAAGCATGGCACCAGCATCTGCTTGGATCCTGGTGAGGCCTCAGGAAGCTGTTACTCATGGTGGAAGGTGACTGAGGAGCACGTGTGTCACAAGGTCAGAGAGGGAGCAAGAGAGAGGGGAGGAGATGCCAGGCTCCTTTAAACAACCAGCTCTCATGTGAACTGATAGAGCAAGAAGTCACCCATTACCATAAGGAGGATGCCAAGCCATTCCTGAGGGATCCACCACCATAACCCGAACACATCCCAATAGTCCCCACCTCCAACATTGGGGGTCACATTTTAACATGAGATTTGGAGGGGACAAACATCCAAATGATATACATTCCACAAATATCATATTAAAAGGGAAGTCCACAAAAGAATACACACTGTTGGATTCCGTTTATGGAAAGTACAAAAACATGAGCCCATAGATAGATCAAAGAAAATAAAAAATAAAATAAAATAAAATAAAATAAAATAAAATAAAATAAAATAAAATAAAATAAAATAAAATAAAATAAAGAAGGTACAAAAACAGATAAAACAAATGTGGGCCATTAGAAGTGGGATAGAGGCTGCCTGGGGTAGCAGCTGGCAGGGAGCACTGGGGGTTGGGAGGTGGTCCTGGGGTGCTGATAATGTTCTGTTTCTTGATCTGGGCTCGGGTTACATGAGGGCGCTCAGGTTATGAAAAATTCATTCATTTATTTGTACATTTATGATATATGCACTTTGGTCCATGTATATTTCAATTAAAACCCCCTTTTGCTTTGAGGCAGTTGCCTTGTTATGTACTTTAAACCATGTTAGAACTTAAAACTGAGCAGAGTATCCTCTCTCATCTGTGTTCTGCCATTCCCATGAGGGATGAATGCCATCCAGTCAGTGCCTTCTGGGCAGCTAGAAATTGGAGATCACTGGGTTCAAAGATCAGGTGAAATGTCAAAGCAGTATCCCCATTCAATAAGATTATGTCATAGTATATACAGAAAGTGCTGAGAGAGTTTTGCCTCAGAAGAAATCTAACTGAAGAAATAAGTAACTTAAATGAGATAATGTCTAATGCCAGATTATCCAGTAACCAGCCAAGAATAGAGTCCATTTGCTCCCAGTAAAGAAGTTGTTTCAGTTAGGGCACCAGGTAAGTGACTCATCAGTATGATGAGAGGAAGGAAATTCATTTTACCTACCTTATATTTGTGATCTTATTACACATTGAATAGCTTTACTCAATAACTCAAAGTGAAATTAAGGATGAATTGTGCCAGCCACAGCTTCCAAGTAGCACAACTATAATAATGTATGAGGATTACTGATCTCAATAAATAGATGGGAACATAAATTGTGTAAAGGTCCAGGAAGGAGGCTACATGATCCTCAGCTTGTAGCAGCAGGTGGTTGCTATTGCTGCTTACCTTCATTCTCTAATTATCTTGCTGTTTCATGGTTACTGTTACTCGTTAAGACAATTTTCAGTTATTTCAGTACCTTATGAAAAATGTATGGACAAACTAGTGTCCTCATTTATTACTCTCATGTGGATCATCTGTGATATTTAGTCTACTGTTTATGTGGCTCTTTATATGTGCAGTTATTGGAAAAATCTGCTGAGCTTTTTAGTCTGCAGAGAATAAAATCTTTCTGAAAAATGTTATAATATTTAAAAGCCTTAGAACCTAAGACAACAATGACTTGGGTCTAATTGGTATCTGGATGGTTAATCTCCCGAAACACACACAACTAATAGATGAATCAGTGTTCCCTCCCAAAAAACCAAACCCAAAACAAAAACAACACAAAGAAGACAAACATGTGTATCAGTAAAGTTTTCTTTATAAAAATCAAGAAAAGGATCAAGACAGAATGACAAGGAAAAGAAGAAAGAAACCAGGGGAAGTGCAAGGAGAAGAAACGGGCAATTAATATATGTATTGAGTGATTATCATGCGGTTCATATATGTTAGTGCAAAGAAAGCCAGAAATGGAGAATAAGGAAAGCAGACAAAGAGCTAAGAGCTATGACTTAATATGTATAAAGAACAGAGAGAAGAAAAGGTAAAAAATATATAACTTTGTATAAATTTGTTTATATCTACTCCAATTAGCACTCAAACTAGATTTATATAATCAAATATCAATTGCTCATTTAACTTTTTACACATTTATCACTAATGGAAATTACATTTTGACTGCTTCTAACTGCAGCTGAAACTTGCTTGAAGCTTTGTGTTAAGAAACTAAAACCCAAAATAATGCCAAAGGTTAACAATTCTTGCTCTAGAAAGTCTAGAGTTGTATTGTGTTGCAGTTTATTATGTTCATTTCCACAGTATTAGGAAATTATTAAAAAGGGAAATTTTCAGTGAGCCCTCTGTGTGTGTAAACTGACACATCTTCAAACGAATGCATGAGAAGTCGGGAGCTGCGCCTTGGAACTCAGCCTGGAAGCGTAGGCAAGATTTGAAAATGTTCTTTTCAGCCAGGCGCGGGGGCTCACGCCTGTAATTCCAGCACTTTGGGAGGCCGAGGCGAGTGGATCACCTGAGGTCGAGAGTTCGAGACCAGCCTGACCAACATGGAGAAACCCCGTCTCTACTAAAAATACAAACATTAGCCGGGCATGGTGGTGCATGCCTATAATCCTAGGTACTCAGGAGGCTGAGGCAGGAGAATTGCTTGAACCCGAAAGGCGGAGGTTGCAGTGAGCTGAGATCGTGCCACTGCACTCCAGCCGGGGCAACAGGAGCGAAACTCCGTCTCAAATAAAAAAAAAGAAAATGTTCGTTTCTTGTCGTTTAAATTGCACTTGCAAGAAGAATCAATTCAAGGGTTCCCCAAAGGTGGACAAGCCACTCTGCTTTTAAGGTCCTCTTAGCCTGCTTTTCAGGGAAAGTAGCAAACTTGAGAATTCCAACATAGCTAAGACGCATAAATTAAGTCACCTCCGGGCACTTGATGTGTTTGAAGAGCTGAGCGCTACCGAAGGGAAGAAAGGAAAGGGAGAAAGAGAAAAGACACTTAATCCATGCAGCTAGAGGCATGCAGGCATGAAGGTATTGCCTAGTCAATACCTTCTAGTCAATATCAGTATCTTCTTAAAAAATAAAAAAGTTTTATTTTTTTCAAAACATTAGTTTGAAAGAGCAGAGGGTCCATCAGAGGTAGCAGTGAAAAGTAATTTTGGAGATCTAAGATTCTGGGGAATACCTGATCCGTTCCCAAGCCTGAGACCATGCACACACATATGACCACTATTTGCAGTCGCAGACGTTTTAGAGATTAAAATACTTTTAAAAGCTTCTGTTTATCCTCTGTTCCTTTGGGGAACTGCACCTCTCTCAGACTCCAAGTGTCACTGGGGCCTGCCAGGCACATTGACTGTGGCAGTGGGGTGGGCACATGATCCAGTCTCGGACAGTTATTCTCCCTCGCCCAGGAAATTGACAAGAGGTTGGAGCAGAACTGCTGATGGCTCAGCCCTGAAGAAAAGATCCTCATGCCTCATCCCAAGTTGTAACTTTCCCGAGGTTTAGTTTGCAGCAGTTCCTTTTATTGTGCCAGCTACTTAGGCACTCCCAACAAATCCTCCTTCTTGCTTTAGTTGATTTTGACATGTATAGCCAAAGGACTAAAGTATTACAAACTTGAATGCTTCTTCACAATCACAGCATGTACCCCAGTGGGGGCCACAGTGAAAGAGATGTACCATGGCCACTAGGGTTGCCAACAGGACTCATCACAAATGGATGAAGGGACTCTGACTGGAGCAAAAGAATCTGCTGAGATAGCAATGTGCTATTGGAATGCCAGCCTAGAAGATCAAAGTTGTCACAGTGCTGGCACCTTTGCCCCCTTTCTGTCTTTCTGTTTGTACTGCCATCCCCTAGTATCTCAGCTAGTCTAACTGGTCTGTCTGTTCCTCTTGCTGTCTCTGCACCCCCCACATCTATCCCCTCTAATATATTCATAAAGATGGGAGTTGGCAACACAACCTTCTCTGTTAATGTCCACTTGGCTGGAGACACAATACATTCTTACAGTAAAAGGTAACTGCGTAAACCACATAGCACATGTGCCATTCCTGGTTTGCTGGCTACAATTCATGATTTTCCTTCTATGAATTCAAGGAAAGTTGGTTAGAATCTCTATTTCATGGCAGTGCAGGGTTAATTTTTCTATACAACCTCATTGGATAATATTCACTCCTTCTTGAAAGCCCTTCAGGGGACCTCTGCTGCCTACGGGATAGCACCTGCACTCCTCAGTCTGTCACGAAAACCCTCCCTGACCTGGTCCAGTCCACTTTGCAGTCTTATATCGTGCAACGACAGTACCTCAGACTCTCAGCTGTATCCACACAAATCTACTCACTTTTTCCCGAGAGGGACTTGCTCAGGACCTTATTCAGGTCTTTGCTGAAGCCAGCAGTCTATTCTCTCTCACCGGCAATGCTCTCCTATCACTTCCTCCTGCCAAAATCTACTGGTCTGCAAAGTCTAGCACAGTTTCTTCCTCCTGCATAAAGAATTTATGGGTAACTACAGATAAAAATCATCCATTCCAGGACTTATTTTTAGTTTTTACTTTTTGGAGATGGAGTCTTGCTCTGTCTCCTAGGCTGGAGTGTAGTGGCATGATCTCTGCTCACTGCAACCTCTGCCTCCCAGATTCAAGCAATTCTCCTGCCTCAGCCTCCTGAGTAGCTGGGACCACAAGACCACAGGTGCATGCCGTCACACCTGGCTTTTTTTTTTCTTTTTTTGTATTTTAGTAGAGATGGGTTTTCACCATGTTGCCCAGGCTGGTCTCAAACTCCTGAGCTCAGGTGATCTGCCTAACCCGGCCTCTCAAAATGCTGGGATTGCAAGCATGAGCCACTGTGCCCAGTCAATGATGCTGTTTAAATGAAGTTCTCCTGAGCTTCATGACCATCTAAGTTTGTTGTCCTTCAGATACCACAGAGACAATATGCCCAAGTCTAGAACCTACACCTCCTATCACATTTCCTCTGATGGTGAACCACTGCACTGTCTACCCAGGCCTCCCAAAGAGCTAGAATTACAGGTGTGAGCCACTGTGCCCGGCCCCAGGACTTCTATACACTGCAAATTTATTATCTCTATCACTCTTAGGACATTTTTCCGGATACTGTCATGAACTCTCAACTCTGTATATGTTCCCAAATAGATTATAAGTTTTTGGACGGCAGAGATGGAAATGTGATGTTTTTATATATCTCTATCTATGTCTCATCTGTACATCATAGAGCCTAGGATAGTGCAGAACACAGAGCATCACTCAATAATTAATTGTAGATCCAATGAATCAAGGAGCTGTTTCTTAGCTCCCTCTGCAAAACAACAATACTTTACTCTGTACAAGCTGGTCCTTGACTCTTTGGTTATAAATCCTAAAGAGCCAGCTGTGAGTCAATGGGCACTTGGAGGAAAGCAAGACTGAGCTTTTCCAGTTTTATTTTGTGTTTTCTGATTTGCTGCCCCAGAGGTCTGTTGTTGTTGTTGTTTTTGAGACAGAGTCTTGCTCTTGTTGCCCAGCCTGGAGTGCAGTGGCGCAATCTCGGCTTGCTGCAACCTCCACCTCCTGGGTTCAAGCAATTCTCCTAACCCAGCCTCCCGAGTAGTTGGGATTACAGGCGCCCACCACCACGCCTGGCTAAGTTGTGCATTTTTAGTAGAGACGGGGTCACCATGTTGGCCAGGCTGGTCTTGAACTCCGGACCTCAGGTGATCCACCTGCCTCGGCCTCCCAAAGTGCTGGAATTACAGGCATGAGCCAATGCGCCCAGCCAGGTCTGTATTATAGGTACAATCTAGGCATACGATGGTCACTTTTTCATAACTAAAAAGAAATACAAATATTGGAAATGGCTCTCCTATTATAAATGCCACAGAAGACACAGAATTAAAAAAGAGAGAGCATAAAATTCTGCTTTAAATTTCAAAGACACACTTAAACTACAATTCTAAAGTGAAAATGCAAGTTGGTCCGAACAGTTAAAAGACAACTTACATTATAAAAAAGACCTAATTACAAAATGCATAGCTTTTTCATTTTACTTTTTAATACATGCAACTTCACACTTAACATCTATATATCATTTCCAAGTACAAATGATATTGTAAACTTTTGTGTGATAAAAATCTCATTTAAAAATATGTTTAAGTCCTACAAAAGTATTTTGCTTTCTAAAAATGCTAAATATGTTCTTATAATTTTTACATACCCTGTACAACTACTTTCAAATACTGTTTTCCACCTCATGCAAAAATAAATTCCAACTTACTTTATATCACATTGTCATAAATTTAAAATTATAGGGATTGGGAAGAATTAGGTTCACTAAATATGCACATTGCTAAAAACACCTCATGGTATGTGAGTTGCAGAAGCGCTGAAAGCTACTAACCTGAGTCATCCTGTGATTACAGGAAAATTACCTCTTGTCTTTGTGAATCACGGCAGTCTCCACCTCCAGAGAGTGACAGTTGCTTCTCATAACTTTCTCAATGTGTAACGTAAATGAAAACTTGTAGGAGTGAAATGAAATAGTGCGGTCCTTCTCATGATAAACCTCTTGTGTGAGTCTCTGAAGGAAGCACAGGCCCTATCAGGAAGAAAACAAATACTAAATGTCATTTCACATGGTATGTATATGGAGCCAGCTACAGCCCAGGCTGACTTCCTGACCTATGCATAAATTACCCAGCCAAGTAGGGATTAGAAAGAATTGTTAATATGTGGAGTGTGCCAGAATTATAAGAGCAGTTCAAATCAATAGGCCAATAAATCAATTCCTAAGCTTTCTATAAAACATACAATACTTTCTCCTAAAATTAAATTGAATGATTTCATCTTGTTCCTGGGAAAATTGCTAACATTGAGAGTCATCTCTGATTCCAGGGGCTTAATTAAATAAATACTACCTAAGACAATATTACTAAATTGTACTAAATCATTCCAGTACAATTGGACTGCTCAATATTTTCCATATTACTAGCTACTTTCTTGTCACTTTGATAAGTACTCGTAGTTATTCATCATTGTTCACATTTTTCTTCTTCATAAGAGTTTGTTATGAAACCCATCAAAAGGCTTTTAGTTATTAAAAAAATAATGCACCAAAAACCACTTTGTAATATAGAGGTCTTGTGATATACAATGAGATCTCGAGAGATGCCTGATATGATAGGAAAAGCCCATCCTATAACACCTTGGACCCTAATTGCTTGTCTGCAAGTGGGGTGAATGGACCATAATCTAAGTCCCAGCCTGCAACCATTTTTCCTAGTTTCCTTATCACTTGTGTGTTCACCACACTGCCACAAACTGTACTTCTTATTACACCCAGTGATTCTCACGATGGCAGGGTGCGTGTGGGTTTTCTACTCAGAGATGCGTGTGCCTTCCCCCAACATTCCCCTACACCAGCCCAACCCTAGTCCTGGCCCCTATTTAAGAATCAATGATCTGGATGTGCTTTGGAAAACTTCTCTCTAGTCTTCAGAACTTGCCTATAGATTTTAACCCCAGCTACATCTCACTCATATGTAGGCACATGATCTGTGCCATTGAGAGCCACAGAAGCTAACTTTTTAGAAGTGCGTTTAAGAAGCATTTTGAAAGAGCTACCAAAGCATCTTATCTTTCCTCATGCAATTTTAGAGCCTACCTTAATTATAAGAGAGATGATGTTTGCTAACTGAGTCCCTATGACAGGGTAAAGCTAAAGATTCTCTGTTCGGACTTACCCTGCCAGGCTCTGACCTGGGCAGTCGACTGTCATCAGACAATGTGGTTGTCTATGCGCCTTTCCTTCAGGCATTTGTGCCTAAATGTGTTAGACCCCTCAGATAAGCCACCAAAGGCAAAGTCTTCAACGCCCCCATCAGTAAGAGTACCAATGAGAAGAGGAATTGTAGCTAGTGTAGAAGTAGGAGGCATATGTGTGCTACCTGGGCAGGAGGCTTGTCTATACGCCCAAATCAGGCACCCAAAACACCTACAAATATGACTGATTTTGCTTCTTTTTCCTAAATTAGGATCCAAATTTGCCTCTGTCTAAAGTGCATGAATCATATCACCTTCTCCAAGAAGTTACTGGGCAAAGATAGAATGGGGTCGTATATATCTAAAAGGAGTTGAATTCCAATTGAGACTTTTTATTAAATCAGTCATATTTAGTATTGAAAGAAACACATTTCTTCTTCTCTTCTCTTTGACTAAACAGGAGGCCATCTTCTAGGGCAAGGTCTGTACCTTAAACCTTCTGAAATAAGCCATGCGTGTATTTTCCTGGGAAGAGGGTCAGCACCACAAACCATGGCTCAGGGGCAAAGCCAGATTTTTGAAAAAAAAAAAATTTCTGTATTAAATTAAAAATACACATTCATCTTTTCAACAAATATTAACTGAATCTCTGGCAGATGTAAGGCACTAGGGATACAGATAAAAGAGCTCTCACCCCATTCAGGACCCCAGAATTTAATATCTGAAGCATACAAATAAACAGAAAATTAAAGTGCAGTAGAACTTTACTTCTGGGATGGATACATCCTGAGCTAATGTGATTCCCCAAACTCATGCCTTGCCTTATTTAATACCAAGAATCAAGATTATTTGATATAATCATCTAAAAAATAATAGAATTGATATGGTTTGGCTGTGTCCCCACCCAAATCTCATCTTGAATTGTAGTTCCCATCATCCCCATGTATTGTGGGAGGGAACTGGTGGGAGGTAATTGAATCATAGGGGTGGTTACCCTCATGCTGTTCTCATGATAGTGAGTGAGTTCTCAAGAGATCTGATGGTTTTATAAGGGAATTTTTTCCCTTTTGCTTGGCACTTCTCCTTGCTGCCGCCATGTGAAGAAGGATATGTTTGCTTCCCCTTCCACTCATGATTGTAAGTTTCCTGAGGCCTCCCCAGCCATGCTGAACTGTGAGTCAATTAAACCTCTTTCCTTTATAAATTACACAGTCTCGGGTATGTCTTTATTAGTAGCCTGAGAATGGACTAATACTGTAATCATATATTCATACAATCATTATAAAATAATCATTTTGTGTTATTGCAAATTATTAATTATCATGGATCTAAACAGTGTTCAAAATCACAATGTCAATACCCCTTATCTGGTGTGAAGAATGTTATGATGTGGGTGTGCGCCGGTGCTACAGGAGCACATAGGCGACTGATCCAGCCTGGAGTGGGAAGGGGGAGTGAAGGCTCCCTCAAGGGGCTGACACCTAAACGGAAGTTCAAAAGATGAGTGGGGTCAGCCAGGTGAAAAGGAGAAGTGGGTGATTCCAGGCATATGAAACAGCATATGCAAAAAGAAAGACACAAAGCCAATAAATGAATAACAACAGCAATAACAGCAACACACGCACAGAAATATATACAGATGGTCCCAGACTTATGAAGGTTTGACTTTATGATGGTGTCAAAGTGATATACATTCAGTAATAATTGTGCTTTGAATTTTGAATTGTGATCTTTTTTCCAGGCTAATGACATGCGGTGGGATCCTCTCTCACAATGCTGGGAAGCCACAGAGAGCCACATCTCCCAGTTGGCACACCATCATGAATGTAGACAACTGAGATTTGACAGTGTTCCTTTTTGCCAGGTGATTTTGCCCAGCTGTCGGCTAATGTAAATGTTCTGAGCACGTTTAAGGTAGGCTAGGGAGGTAAGCTATGATGTTCTGTAGGTTAGTTGTATTAAATGCATTTTTTTTTTTGAGACAGGGTATTCATTCTGTTGCCCAGGCTGGAGTGCAGTGGCACCATCGTAGCTCACTGCAGCCTTGACCTCCCAGGTGCAAATGATCCTCCTGCTTCAGCCCCTCCCAAGTATCTGGGACTATAGGCGTGTACCACCATATCCTGCTAATTTTGTGATTTTTGTAGAAATGGGGTCTCCCTACGTTCCCCAGGCTGGTCTCAAACTCCTGGGCTCAAACAGTCCTCCTGCCTTGGCCTCCTGAAATGCTGGGATTACAGAAGTCAGCCACTGCACCAGGCCTAAGTGCATTTTTGACTTATAATATTTTCAACTTATAATGGGTTTATTGGGATGTAACCCCATCATAAGTGGAGAAGTGTCTGTATTAATTATTTGCTATGGGCCAGGCCGTGTTGTAAGCATTTAACACATTGACTCTTCCCAATAACTATATAATATAGGAACTACTAGTTCTCCCATTTTACAGATAAGAAGGAGGACCTAAGTGACTTTCCCAAAGTTACATAGCTAGTAAGTGGCAGAGCCAGGATTTGAACCCAGATAATTTGACCCTAGCGTTCGCACTCTTAACTATACAGATGGCGAGGAGAAAGGGAGGCAAGGAAGCAAATGGCGAAATAAGAGGCTGGAAGAGAGGGCAGGAGTCAGATCATATAGGACCTAGTCCAGCTTCTGAACATCATGGGGAACCACTGAATTATTTCAACAAGAAGAATGACAAAAGTTGATCTCGGTTTTAGAAATTGCCTCTGGCAGTAGTGTAGACTGGCACTTCATGGATGGGTCCACAATGAAGGCAGAGAAAGAACTTGGTTAAATATGTTAGCAAAGAATGATATTAATAATGCTTAGAAAGGATTGAAATGAAGGGATATTAAGGAGAAAGAACCAAATTAATAGGACCTGGTGACTCATGCAGAGTTAAGGCAGGGAACATGCTGAAGATGACGCTCTGATAATAAGCCTGATACAGTACAATGTACCACTACTATCCTAAAATAAGGAAGAAGAAAGAATACAAGGTAAAGCAAAGGAAACTTTAGTAATGGCCATATATAAACTCTAATAAACCCTTCCTTCGTAATGCATGTGAATACATCCAAATTAGTTTACTTAAGATGTATGCATTTGCGGGAAATAGGATATAAGAAGGTCTAGATACTGGTAACTGATTTTGAAATGTCATAATGGTCAGCAATGCCTTGTATTTTATATTACAGTATGAGCTGTGTGAACATATGTTCCATAATTGACGGCAGCACTTTCTAGACAGGGACAATATGTCTTATGATCTCTGCATCTTTTTTGGTATTTTTACAATGTTCAATGAATGTCTACTGTACAAACACGTGGAGAACAGAAAAGAAGGATGGCCCCAGGGAAGACAGTACAGTGGTTCACCATCAGAGGAAATGCGACAGGAGGTGTAGGTTTTAGACTTGGGCATATTGTCTCTGTGGTAACTGAAGGACAACAAACTCAGATGGTCATGAATCTCAGGAGAACTTCATTTAAACATCATCATTGACTGGGCACAGTGGCTCATGCCTGTAATCCCAGCACTTTGGGAGGCCGGGATAGGCAGATCACCTGAGGTCAGGAGTTTAAGACCAGCTTGTCCAGCATGGTGAAACCCCGTCTCTACTAAAATTACAAAAATTAGCCAGGTGCGGTAACACCTGCCTGTAATCCCAGCTGCTCAGGAGGCTGAGGCAGGAGAATCCATTTGAACCTGGGAGGCGGAGGTTGCAGTGAGCCAAGATCACGCCACAGCACTCAAGCCTGGGTGACAGAGTGAGACTCCATCTCAAAAAAATTAAATTAAAAAAAAATCATTAATCTAGTACATAGCCCATTAGGGACATTAGAGTTTATTAAATCAAAAGAGAATACACACAGTAAGAAAATAAATGAAACTAGAGGAGGAAGGATCACAAACTCTTAAGTCCCATAGATGTCAGCATTAGAGGAGAGGCTAGCCATGTATGATAGAGCTCTACTATAACTAAATTTAATTTGAGAAATGTTGACTAAGCACCTACTAGGCTACAGATGCTTTGGTAGCTGTAAGACAAACAAAGATGGGTGGTCCGTACTGTCTCAAAGCTACAGACTAATTCAGGAGTAACACAGAATAAGAGCTGAATAAGCACAGCCTGGGGTAAGCATATGACGGGTGGATACAAAAGTATAGACAGCAAGCAATATTAGCTTTTCTAGATTGGGGTGACACTTTGACTCTGGTTCCAACTCCCTTTGAATAATGAGCCAGTAAAACAGCTTCATAAATATTTTCTCCTCTACACAGAACTCCTTAATGATACACCAGAGAGATTACAATGGAAATGCTAAGGAAAGGAACAGCTGGCATCTCTCCTTGAAATCCTATGAGCAGAACAAATTCAGAGCTTCAAAACAACAAAATATGTTGCACCGGGAGAATACGATCCTCTCTGGAATCCCATCAGGGACTAGAAAGTTACCCCCGATAAACATGATGAAAGAAAGTGAACAACGTGAGGGGCGTTTATCTTAGCGGAAAGAGATCAAATACTCCCTGAGAGCACTTTGTTTTCCTCGAAAAATGTCAAGGAGTATGTGTCTAAATGAACTGTTCACTAAGAGTAGGATATTAGCCCCCAAAACGAAATAGGGGAAATGAACATGATAACATCTGGGTGGGGAGTGTGAGAGAGAGAGTGTGTGTGTGTGTGTGTGTGTGTGTGTGTGTGTATGTTGAGGGAGGTGGTTGTAAGAGGATAATGCAAAAATTCGGAAAAGAGAGCTCACAGCTTAATATTGGTCATGAGATCAGTTACCAAAGGCCATCCCTCCACAGACAATGACAAGGCCATGTTCATTGCAACTATATTACAATTCATTTTGGTTTTGTAGATGAGAGAATGTCAGAAATGAACAAGAAAATCAAACACGAGAGTGAAGAAAAATGAAAATATAGCGCCCGGCTTCCCCTAGGCATTGGCTGCTGGTGTCAGTTTGACAAAAACAGCTGTCAGTTTTGTTGAGATAAAAGCAATAGGTCCCCCAAAATAGTACCGTGGAAGAAGACTGCTCTGCTATTACATACGAAAGGCACTTCCAGAGAAGGAGTGGAATGTGTATTACTCATCCTCTTTTCTCCCAGGAAAGAAGGTTTAGGCAGGATGGAGGACAAGTAATCCCAAAGTCATTTTACTGAAAAAAGGTTGCTCAAGAAAGAGCTTTTAAATGAAGATCATGGTTTTCAACCATAAAGCTGTAAGTCACCTAATGATTTTTCTAAGGCTGAATTAAGGGGAAACGTGACGATGAATTATATATTAGTGTAACACAATTGCTCCCAAAGAGGCACTCATGGGGTTATTACAGTTTGAGTATCCCTTAACCAAAGTGCTTGGGACCAGAAGTGTTTCGTATTTTGGATTTTAGAAGATTTGCATAGACAGAATGACATTTCTTAGAGATGAGACCCAAGTCTAAACACAAAATTCATGGTTGTTTCATAATACCTTATATACATAGCCTGAGGGTAATTTTATACCACATTTTTAATAATTTTGGGCATGAAGCAAAGTTTGTGTACACTGAACCATCAGAAAGAAAAGGCGTCACTATCTCAGCCACCCATGTGGACAATCTGCGGTTGTGTGACCTCACCATCATTCCTGACTCTAAATTTATATGCTTCTGATAAGCAATCATGTTCATATACTTATTCACACTTAAATACTTAACAGTAAAAATAGGACATATCATTAATACAGTTTTTTAAAAAAAGTGTTCAGGGTAGCCAAGCAGCACAACATGAGATACCTGTGTCAGCTGTTAACAGCAACAAATAAGAGCACGCTTTCTGTCTCCATCTGCAATGCTATGTTTTGATTAAAAGGCTACTGTACCCTGTATTTTATTTTTTGAGGCAAGAAGCAACATCAGAAGCAGTTGAGGGACCAAAAAGAGGGGCCTCTAGGGATGAGGAGACATTCTGCTAGAAGGGTTTTATTATTATTATTATTTTGAGACGGCGTCTTGCTCTGTTGCCCAGGCTAGAGTGCAGTGACACCATCTTGGCTCACTGCTACCTCCGCCTCCTGGATTCAAGCGATTGTCCTGCCTCAGCCTCCTGAGCAGCTGAGATTACAGGCACCTGCCACAACGCCCAGCTAATTTCTGTAATTTTAGTAGAGATGGGATTTCACCGTGTTGGTCAGGCTGGTCTCAAACTCCTGACCTCAGGTAATCTGCCCTCCTCAGCCACCCAAAGTGCTGGGATTACAGGCATGAGCCACTGTACCCAGCCTGCTAGATGGCTTTTAAAAAATATTTCCTCCAGAGTCACCTGCCTCATTAAGAATTTTTTTTTTGTCTTGGAACTCTCTCTTTGATTTTATAAACTGACATGATTTCTTGTGTTATGGCTGCACACTGCTCTAGTCCTTAAATAAGCCCATTGCACCTTTTCACCATGCCATCGACAGGCACTTTTTCTGCAGTGTTGACAATGTCATCTTCATCATCACTACTACATAAATGCTTCCTTTTTCTCATCAGTGTTACTCATAGGGGTATCTGCAGGTCTTTTTGACATTTTCAACAATATCTTTACACCACAGAGCAGGAAATAAGCAAAAGACCACACTGAGTAATGCACGCAGCTCTTGGCCCCATGTGGGGCATCGTGGGGAACCCGTGGTTGGTGCCTGAACACATGCCATTTTATTACACTTTGTTAGTGTGCTCGCATGGGGAAATCTGGGCATGCGAGGAAAACATAGATAGCATCCGAAGAGGAGTGGAAGGGCCTTTTGTCCCTTGGAGAAGCTGAAGAAATCATGTGTCCTGTGGCTGCATTTTGACTGCAACCAGTCACATGAAGTCAGGCGTGACTTCCACTTGTGGCATCATGTGGTCACTCAAAAAGTTTCAAATTTTTGAGCATTTCAGATTTGGAATTTCAGACTAGAAATATCCAACCTGTACTAAAAAAATAAACTAAATAAACTCTGATTATGATTTTTTTTTTTTTGAGATGGAGTCTCTCTCTGTTGCCCAGGCTGGAGTGCAGTGGCGCAATCTCGGCTCACTGCAACCTCCGCCTCTTGGGTTCCAGTGATGTTCCCATCTCAGCCTCCCGAGTAGCTGCGATTACAAGCATGTGCCACTGCACCCAGCTAATTTTTGTATTTTTAGTAGAGACGGGGTTTCACTATGTTGTCCAGGCTTGTCTTGAACTCCTGACCTCAAGTGATCCACCTACCTCGGCATCCCAAACTGCTGGGATTACAGGCATAAGCCACCGTGTCTGACCCTGATTATGTATTTGAATTTCAGACAGAGTCCATGTGTATGCAAAGCATAGTAGAATCTGGTCTGTCAAGGATCTCATGGTGTGGATTCCAGCTCCATCATATCCCTCTTGTGAGTAACCCTGCCCCTTCCCTATCACCTCTGCCTGGGGTTAAGTCCTCACCTGGTCCAGGATTTCCCACTCTTGCAGATTGCACAGTCCAGAAAAATCTCAAAGGGACAACTGGAGAACTAGAGGGACCAGCTGATTTTTTACTTGAGGGCAAAGACATGGAGAGGTATGTAGACAGATAGATATAATAGATAGATACAGATATTGTAAAGCCTACTATTTACTATTACCATAATTTCACAGACAAATGGACAATTTTACCCTCATAAAATTTAGGAGGTCATGATCTCAAACCAAAGGAGAGTCCTTTGAAATTGAACAGAATTTATGAAGAACTGACTATATCATGTTTAATTTTCTCATTTCACTACAGATTGATGAAAACGTTGTCACCTCCCAACACTGGCTTTGGGAGGCTGAGGCAGGATGATCACTTGAGGCCAGATGTTTGAGATAAGCCTGGGCAACTTAATGAGATTCTTGTCTCTAAAAAGATTGAAAAATAGCCGGGTGTGGTGGTGCATGCCTATAGTCCTAGCTACTCAGGAGACTGAGGCTGGATGATCACTTGAGCCCAGGAGGTTGAGGCTGCAGTGAGGTATGATCACAACACTGCACTCCAGCCTGGGCAATAGAGCGAGACCCTGTTTCTATCAAAAAAAAATAAATAAATAAATAAAAGAAAGAAAGGAAAGCAAAAATAAACCAATACTGGAATAAAGAACTGAGTTTGGGGAAACAGATAATATAATGGTCTCCAATCTCCAATGCTCCGTGCCGTCACACTCAAGTCCTAAAAGTCACCCTCTGTGTCACCATTGTATCACTCTCCAGCTCTAAAGAGAAAGTCCAAATACCTGAGCATGTCGCCTAAAGCCCCCCACAATCTGATCTGCATCTTTGCTCATGATGTCCCACCCCCAATTCACACCCTGTGCTCTGCCAGCACCATTTGAAGTAGCCAGCCAATGACTTCTCTGTGACAACGAGAGGAGGACTTTGCACCAGAGTGTAAATCAACGTGTTGTTTCTATCATGGAGAGAAACTCTTGCAGTGATCAAAGAAATCAAAGAAAAAGGAATCCGCAGAGTGACTTCGTGGATTTATATTCCAGCACAAGCTCCTTTTCTAAATCAATGTGTTGCTTCTATTATGGAGAAACTCTTGCAGTGATCAAAGAAACAAACAAACAAAAAAACAAAACCACCAGAAAAGGAATCCGCATAGTGACTTCGTGGATTTATATTCCAGCACAAGCTCCTTATCTAAATCAATGTGTTGCTTCTATCATGGAGAAACTCTTGCAGTGATCAAAGAAACACAAACAAACAAACAAAAAAGAATTCGCATAGTGACTTCCTGGATTTATATTTCAGCACAAGCTCCTTATCTAGTGCCACTGCTCTTCCATCCGGGCTTGAAATTCCCTGAATGCTTTGGACATTTGATACCTTCATGCTTTTTGCTTGTCTGTTCCCTCTCTGCCTGGAATTTCCTTTCTCCTCTACACCACCTAACACACCCAAGTATCTTCGAAGGTTCAGCTTGTGTCACGAAGCTTTTCTTGTGTCCCATGTAGGATTCGTCTCCTGTGCTCTCTTTTATCTCTCCTGTGTTATATGGTAGGCTTTGGCACTAGTGCTGTGATTGCAATCTTGGTTTATTTTGGCTTTAATATCTCACGGCATTTTCTACTCAACTCTGTAGTGTGCAGTGCTGGGGGGATGCAGAACCTTGCCTCTCACCATAGACACGGGAGCAGGGAGCTTTGCCCACTCCCCGTCCCGTGAGATGGTGTAGTCACACCATGACATGCCCACATCCTAACCTCTGGAACCTGGGAATATGACCTTATTTGGAAAAAAGGGTTTATAGATGTAATTAAAGATTTCAAGGCGAGATCATCCTGGGTTATCTGGGTGGACCCTACATGCCAATGACAAGTGTCCTTATAATAGACAGGAGAGAAGACAGAAGGCAGAAATTGGAGTTACACTAGCACAAGCCAAAGAGTGCCTGGGCCCACCGGGAATTGGAGGAGGCAAGGAGGAATTTTCCTGTGGAGAATTCAAAGGGAGCAGGCCCCGCTGACAACTTCATTTAGGACGTCTGGCCTCCTGAGCTGCAAGAGAATACATTTCTGTTGTTTTCAGCCACCCACTTTGTGGTCATTTATTACAGCAGCCCCGGGAAACAAATATAGATGCCTGGCCCTATGACCTAGATTCAATCAACCATGAACTCTCATCCTGGACTCTGAATGCAAAACGGGTCATTCAAAGGCACAGGCGGGGTGACAGTGTCCTGGCCACATCACTCTCACTAAAAGGGGCCCTTGTCCTTCTCAGACGATCAGGGTTCAAACCCATTTTCCAGCCGAGGTTCTCTTGATTCTGTACAGTCCCTACTGTATTCCAGAAAATGTTTTCTCTGCTTAAGATATCCAGAATTCCTTTCTGTTGCCTGCAATTCACAATTTTAACTAAATTTTAAAAAATGTGTTGGTCATTGTTCCGGCCATTCCAAGATAAATATGAAGATTCTGAAAAACATCATTAAGTCCAGAATGGGACTCTGACAACCAATGGTGTACGGTAGCAGAAAGCTCATTAACTAATCACCTGTAGTTGCAGGAATTAGGTACCCAAGTAGGGCAAGGCTTTGGGAGTTAACATCGTTCTCACTGGAGAATGCTACCAAGGGCATGAGGAATTCAAGAAGGCAGGAAGGCATTTGAATGAGCTTAAGAAAAAAGAAACACAAACCTTTATTTTTTTATTTTTTTTTATTTTGAGATGGAGTCTTATCCTGTCGCCCAGCCTGGAGTGCAGTGGCATGATATTGGCTCACTGCAACCTCCCATTTAATTCTTAACTCGACACAGGCTTGATTGTCTTATCTCTTGAAGCTGTAGTGCTAAGGCAGCTGAAATATAAACTCTAGGTTACTGAGAATCTATAGGCTGCCAAATTACTTGAATTCACAGCCTCCCCACATACTTTATGCGAAAGTCAGGGCATTGCCTGCAGGGGTCAAAACTGGGCCCTGAGAACAGGAATGAGAATTTTTGGATGCAGCACTAGGTCACTCCCCTGAAAAGGACAACGCTTACTTCCTCATAGGCCTGCCATTCCCCCGCCAGAGGGAGTTTCCTGTAAGAGGGAGAGAGCTCAGCCCATTCCACACCACCACGTTCCCTCCCCTTCTCAGTGTCCCCAAGTCTGTAACTGGCCACTTTCCTGCATGTTCCAGAGAAAAAATATTACAAAGTCAAACCCAGAAGGTTTACACACCAGAAGATTTACAGCCCATTGAATTTAGAAGGCAAAGATCTGGGGTAAGTATCCACGCATACAGATTCTGCAGGTGACTGCCAAAGAGAGAGAAATGTAATTATAGACTATATTGAGTTTATTAACATGGGTGAGCTTACCAGGGAGTCTGGACTCCACGTGCCAACCTGGGCGACTGAATGCAGTTCTAGGAGCTTGCTCATCTGTCAAATCAAAACCTGGACTCAGTGGTGGCCTAACCAGAGTTGAGACGCTGTGTATGTCTTGGTTAAAGATAACTAAGGTGTAGCAAGTAGGCCTGTTTCATGCCCTGCAGTGGCTACTATATTGGCTGGTTAGTGACACAGAAACAATCTGGAGAAGAGTCATATAAATGAACTTCTCAGAATTGCTCATAGTGCAAGAATCTATCTATCTATCTATCTATCTATCTATCTATCTATCTATCTATCTATCATCTATCTATCATCTGTCTATCTCTCTGTCGCGGGTTAGCAGCAACTGTCTGGGCCAGTGATGCAGGGGTAAACAAATGTACCAAGACAGTTGTAGGTAAAGAAAAGCAGATTTATTAGAGAAAGTTGGAAAATATGTTGCCAGGTTGCAATGGGCACAATCAGCAGAAGAGGAGCTGACTGCCAGGAAACAAAGGCTTGCTGGAGATTTTATAGAATGGTTCTTGGGCTGATCGATAATGCCAAGGTAGCAGGGAGCTCACCTGCATTCTCCTGTCAGCCAAGGAGCTTGATGATAAATCGAAGTGTTTGATGATGAGCAGGAAGTTTGTGAGTTATGCACATTATTTGCTCAGGAGGCCTATATTCCTGGGCCATGAAGAAAGGCAGATCTATAGCTTATTTGCTTTCTCTCTTCGCTTTCCCCTGGTCCTTTCAGCCTGACTCCTTTTCCCTAATTAAGACTCCACACTATCCATCTACTTTTTTTGGAGACAGGGTCTCGCTCTGTCATGCAGGCTCGAGTGCAGTGGTACAGTCGCAGCTCACTGCAGCCTTGACCTCCCAGGCTCAAGCAGTCTTCCCACCTCAGCCTCCCTAGTAGATGGGACTAAAGGCACATGCCACGGCACCTGGCTAATGTTTTTGTATTTTTTTCTTTTTTTTTTGTAGAGATAGGGTCTTGCTATATTGCCCAGGCTGGTCTCGAACTCCTGGCCTCAAGCCATCCTCCTGCCCCAGCCTCCCAAAGTGTTGAGATTACAGACATGAGCCACTGCACCCAGCTGCAAGAATATAGTTTGTTTGTTTGTTTGTTTTTGAGACAGAGTCTTGCTCTGTCACAAGGCTGGAATGCAGTTGCGTGATCTCAGCTCACTGCAACCTCTGCCTCCCGTGTTCAAGTGATTCTCCTGCCTCAGCCTCCCAAGTAGCTGGGATTATAGGCATGTGCCACCACGCCCAGCTAATTTTTGTATTTTTAGTAGAGATGGGGTTTCATCATGTTGGCCGGGATGGTCTCGATTTCTCGACCTCGTGATCCACCCACCTCAGCCTCCCAAAGTGCTGGGATTACAGATGTGAGCACCCACGCCCGGCCAAGAATATTTTTAACTCAAGAAAATAAGATGGTCATGGTGACTTCCTTGCTTGACACTCTAGGGCTTGCTCCACTGGGGTCGTGAACAGGTTGACGGTTATCTGTGTGCACAGTAACACATTCCTCTCCTCTCCAGGCTGATCTTGTGATTGGCACTGCTGAGTGCTCCATCGACCAGCATTAGTAATAAACCCTGAGCCCATGGCATTATGCAAAGCTTCAAGGGAATCAGCCATCTGTCTGACAGCAGGCTGATTGTCTGGGGTCACCTTCCAACCTGGAGAGGGCAGCAACTGGAGAGGGATTCAATAGAGTAGACATTTAATCTGCATTTGAATTTTCTCTTTGCCCACCATGCTTCTATTTGCAACACCATCTGCTAGCAGCACCTCCAGGAGGCTCTCCAAGGAAGTTTCTTTGCCCTCAGGCCTCCATCTGGGGCATGAGCAGGCATAGGCAGGATTTGGGAGGAGGCAGCAGGAGCAGAGGTCAAGTTAATGTATTACCCCAACTCCCTCCCAGATAGGTCTGGGTTGAACAATGGCTTTGTCCTTTGCCTGCAGGTCAGAGCTGATGCTGGGCAGCTCTTTCCTGGGTTTAAAGTCATGCCAAGTTCTGGAATCCAGTCTTTCCGCTTTCCCTTTCAGGCTAAGGATGGTAATCCTGTCAGTGCTAACCCCAGGATGCTTTGCCATCCCTGGTTAGTTTTCTTAACCTTGCTGACACTTTGTGAACGGGCCTTTTACTAAACTCTCTTCAGTAACATCTTTTGAATATGCCACTTTTTACAGAAATCTGTACTGATATGTTATTTTTATTTTATTTTTTATTTTTTGTATTTTTAGTAGAGACAGGGTTTTACTATATTACCCAGGCTGGTCTCAAACTCCTGACCTCAAGTGATCCGCCCGCTTCTGCCTCCCAAAGTGCTGAGATTATAGGCACGAGCCACTGCACCCGGCCCATATGCTATGTTAATGTAACTAATATATAGTATCTCACACAACGTTGCTGCTGACCAAGAAATTCACTTTATAGTGAAAAAAAAAAAAGTAAAGCATAAACAATGCCCTATTACTAATCCTACCATGTCTTCCTCACCTAAAAATCCCTTGCCTTTTACGATGGTGAAATGGTCTCTAAAAGGCTCAGTTAAGCTGCATGTGGAAAATCTTCGGAGCTGGGAAAGTGGCTTTGTTATACATAGACCTCCCAAAGGAGAACTAGGGCAGGTGCCGAGGGTGGCAGCAGGAGCTCAGCAGTGGCACTGGGTCCTGGTCCGACTGACTGTTGTACCTAAGACTCTTGGCATGGTGGAGCTTCCCTGGGGCACATTTATTTTCCAAGTCTAGTTCTCTGGCTTTCTATGTCCTTCATATTTCAATAAATTCCTGATCAGTCCAAAGATCACGAGTCAGTTTCTGTTGCTTGTAATCAGCAACCATGGCTCATATAGAACTGAGAAAATATTATCGTATTCATTTGTTGATGCTTGTTTATTGCCCCCAACTTTTACTCTTTATGGACAATGACCATACGTGTCTCATCTCTTTATCCGTAATGTCTGTCACCATATCTGGCAAATATGGTGGTGGTGGATTATCATCAATTGAAGGAATGAATGCCCCCAAATAGCTAGAAGCATCAATTTATTTATTTTTATTTTTATTTTTATTTTTATTTTTGAGACAGTCTTGCTCTGTCGCCCACACTGGAGTGCAGTGGCACCATCTCGGCTCACTGCTACCTCCACCTCACGGGTTCAAAGGATTCTCAGACCTTAGCTTCCAAAGTAGCTGGGATTACAGACACATGCCACCATACCCAGCTAATTTTTTGTATTTTTAATAGAGACTCGGTTTCGCCATGTTGGCCAGGCTGGTCTCGAACTCCTGGCCTCAAGTGATCTGCTTGCCTCAGCCTCCCAAAGTGCTGGGATTACAGGCATAAGCTACTGTACCTCCCCTAGAAACATCAATTTAAAAGCTTTTTTTTTTCTTTCCTGCTACTTTTAGAAGAAAGGAGCAATTAATAAGTTCTAAATTTTATTCTGGGGTCAGTCTATATATGTTCAACAATTACATGATCAACAAAATATTTGTTATCTATATCAAGTATATCGTTCAGGGGAGTGGACCATTTTGATTCCCATGGGCTTATACCAGCAAATCTACTAATCTATTTGTATCTCTTCTCATATACTCTTTCTTCCTGGAAGAGAGATGAGGATGAACTATCTGTACTTCTATAATACAAACCCTCCTAGCCGTACATGGAATCCTATGTTCTGGACAATTAACAGCTTCTCTCCTGTAATTTTCTTCTCTCTCTTCTCAATCATCGATTTTCCCCATTAGTGTAAAAATACACTTCAATATCTCAACTAAAAAAAAAAAAAACTGCTTATGTATGACCACAGACCATGATCCAGTCTCAACCCTAACTTCCCTGCTTCCTTTTATGGCAAAGTTCTTTCACAAATAATGCTGCTGCCTCTATTTGTTGGTTTTCCTTTGATCTGAAAACTTTAGCTTTATGATCTTTTAGGGGATCATAAAACACCTGTCAACCTCAGGCGTGAAGAGCTGCACCTAGCAAGCTGTGTAACCAAGTGAGCTACTTTAAAAAAACAAAACAAAACAAAACCCTGCCTGCTGCTGTCCCGCCTCCTGTCCCTTTTCATGCAAGAGAAGTGAAATGCTTTTATTTTACAAATAATGCAGTCGTTTACTTTTCATCAACCTCACAACATTACTTTCACTGCAACGCAGGCAGTACTCCAGACTGCCACGTTTTGCTTCCAGCCTTCATCGCCACTTGAAACATCTATTGGCCAACCTGTTGTCTGGAACGAGGCAGGACTTGTAGGTGACTTCATATCCCTGGAAACTTATTCTGTTGGGGCTCATTCTTCCATTGCCCTTGAATGAAATTCAGGCAGGCCCACAGATTTTTCATAAATTTCAATAGTAAGTAAATGCTCTCCAGGTCACAAAACGTTCTCACTTCTGAAATTGATTCCCCGTCCAGTGTAAAATCCAGGCTCCACGTTTCATCACCATTTGAAACTTCTCATCTCCAGCTTGGACCTGCTGCTATCAAGAAGCTTGCAGTGGGAAAGGTGGTTTCTTCTCTTGTTGCATCCTTCACTCCCAACTCAGTAGTTAATGGGACAGGGTCACGGTGGTGGTGAAGGGAGCCGGCAAGGAGAGGTTAGGGAGCCAGAAAAGTCCTTTTCTTTTCTTTTTTAAGGGACAGGGTCTTGCTTGTCACCCAGGCTGGAGAGCATCGGTGCGATCTTGGCTCACTGAAGCCTTGAATTCCTGGGCTCAAGCCATCCTCCCGCCTCAGCCTTCTGAGTAGCTGGGACTACAAGTGCTTGCCACTATGCCTAGCTTTTTAAAAAAAAAATTTTAATATATTTTTGGAGATGACATCTCACTATAATGCTCAGGCTGGTCTGAAACTCCTGGCCTTAAGCGATCCTCCCATCTCAGCCTCCCAAAGTACTAGGATTACAGGTATGAGCCACCGCATATGGCCAAAATGTTCTTTTCGACTGGCACTGGCGTGAACTGAGTTCAGTGATCTCTGGGCACGGTGGGAACTAAAGGCTGTTCTCATTCATGAAGTGTTTTGTGGATCTCATGGAATCTTTCACTGGCTCTGTGCAGACGCTTATGGCTGAAGTCCTTTCACCAGCAGTTTTCTGAAACGGATAATCCACCGTCCTGCTGGCTGCCTATGACAGTTCCATGTCATCCACCCCTACACCTCCAACATGTTTCACCCGCCATCTCTTCACCTCTCCAGATGAGATCCTAGCCAATGCCACCTGTCTTTCGTGGCCCACATCTAGTCCAAGGAAAACAAGTGCCTTTGTTCTCTCTTCAGTGAAAGTAGCAGTTACTTCCCAAGCAATACCCACTCTCTGCTGCCATAGATTGCTTCTACCAGCCTTTAGATTTTTTCAGGCATAGCTTGGTCCAGACCACTGTGTCTGAGATCTCATCTGCAGTGGCACATATCCAGCTTTCTGTGTGGTCCTCCTGAAGCCCCTGTCACTTGACTTGAGGATGGGGAGAAATACCTTCTCTTCTCCCACGATGCTGTGCATGTGCTGGCAAGGGAAGGGGCACCCAGAGCATGCCAAAAAAAATCTTCCTAAATACGTCTTCTCCCCAGTGTCCAACTGGGCGTTGGACTAAGGGTCACAAAACCAGATTTCATATTATTCAGCCTTAAAAAGCAATGCAATTCTGACACATGCCACAAACACGGATAAACCCGGAAGACATTATGCTCAGTGAAATAAGCCAGACATGAAAGGACAAACACTGCATGACTCCACTCATGTGAGGTTCCTGGAACAGTCAGCTACATAGAGACAGAAAGCAGAATGGTGGCTCCCAGGGCCTGGGGAGTCAGGGTAAAAGGGGCTTAGTGTTTAAATGGCCTGGAGGTTCACTTTGGGAAGATGAAAAAGTTCTGACGATGGATCATAGTGATGGTTGCACAAGACTGTTAATGTATTTAACGCCCCTGAGTTATATAATTAAAAATGGTTAAATGGTCGTTTTTATATTATGCATATTTTACCACAATAAAAAACATTTCAGTCATTTCTTCTGCAAGTCCTGCTGAGGTAGTCTAGCAACTAGCTTCAGAACATGAGAGTCATTGTCACCTAGCGTATTTGGGACCATGCCTGTTATCAAGCCATTGTCTCTCCCCTCCAAACACTCCCTCCTACACACCGCTTTGTGTGGAGAGGGCGGGACTCTGTAAACAGCACTGCTAGTTTACTAAGTGTCTCTGCTGACAAGGGGACACCATAGGGAGCCTGGAAGGACAGGGTGGGAGAGGGGACCGGCTCCTCTCTGTTTGCTTCCTGTTCCTGCCAGAGTTGGCCAGCAACAGCCCTTCACCCTGGCAGCGGCATTTGTTTCCAATAGGAGTCGGTTAGTTTCCAGTTTCTTTCACTTTCCCAGGACTAGCTCTTTTGCACACCCCTAAAAGACACCTCGCCCACAAGCAAGTCTCCTCCCAAGAGATCTGCCTCCCAACTCCTCAGGGACTCTCCTCTGAGCTCTCAAAGTCTCCGCACCAGCCGGCCAGCCCCGCCTCCACGGGAGTCTGGGTCCCAGCTCTGGGGACCCCTCGTCCAAGCTTCTAGGTTCTGAGAAGCTCATTTTCTTCTCTTTGTCCTCTCAGCACAGGGGCAGCTGCTTCCTGCTGTTGTTCTTGCCATCCTGCCTCATTTGTTCCCTCTTTGCATTGCTTGTCCTCTAATATCTGTCTAATCAATTCCTTATATTAAATTTTCTCTGTTAACATAACTGATGGGGTTTTCCCTCCCAGACTCTACCTAACACTGCTGTATTTTTGCGCTATTGTGCAAAACATGAAAACAATAAAGAGTTTCTTTTCAGTATTTGGCTAGAGTTATTTATGGCTTGTCTCTCCCAGTGAGTTTATAAATTCCATGAAATTAGGGTTTTTTTTGGTTCACTGATGCTATGTTCTGCATTCTAAACATGGCCTGGCCCAAAGCAGGCACCCAATCATATCTGTTGGACAAATAAATAGGAAATATTTAAACACTAAAAAAGCAATTTTGGTCATGAAAATATGCTTATAATATGTAAAAGCGATAACCACATCTAAATATATTCGGAGGAAAATAAGTAGCTGAACTCTCTTTTTCTGAAATTTTTAGCAATATCCATTTTCTGCTTTCCCTGCCCCCCATTTTCTTGTTTGCTAATTTTTGTCAGTACTGTTTCTCCATCTTTTTCTTGCAGATTAGGGCAAGTTATCCACAAGATAGTCATTCAGCCAGCAAAATACTTTTTAATGTCAACTGTATACTGGATATCGCACTAGATGCTGCAATGACAAGTTCATTTTAAATCCAGCTAATACACAATTTGAAGTCGGAACACCAATACAATATGTTAAACCTCACAAAGAAAACTTCAAAAGTAGAACTCAGAGGATTTCATTATTATGAAAAAATGCTGTACCGGGAGAACCCTGAGGTCACAGGCCCAGGCCCGCCGTTCCCTGGCAAAGTCACCTTGAGCAAAATATTTAGCTTCTCTGGGTACATGCTCTTTCCTCTTAGAAATAAAGAAATATCAAAATGAAAAACAAAACAAAAAAAGAAAAAAATTGAAAAAAGGGGAAACAAAAAGAAAGAAAAATAAATAAATACCAGTATTTGATAATACAGCAGGGAAACGACAGTTAACAAAACTTTATTGTCTATTTCAAAATAGCTACAAGAACTGCAATGTTCCCAAGGCAAAGATACATGTTTGAGGTGACGGTATGCAAATTACTCAGATTAATCATCACATATTGTATACATGTGTCAAAATAGCACATGTACCCCAAAATATGTACAACTATGATACATCATTTAAAAATGCAAAAAATGAAGAAATACAGATACTTTCTAAAGTGCCTCTCCTCTTTTAAGACTGAGCCTTCATAGAGAAATGTGTTTTAACATCCCCCAAATCACAACAGAACTTTCGAGCATTGGCAGCCAATATGCAGACTTGAATTTCTTCTTATCACAGTTCCCAAACGTGTTACCCTGTACAGACTAAGAGGCTAGAAAGACATGAAGTGAGTGACAGGAAGCCAAAAGTGTCATAAAAAGCCTTGGTGCCAATTCCTAATTCCACTTCCAAATAAAATTGTGATTTTCTGTAGTGATACTTTTTAAACTTGGCTGGATATTTTTAGGACCTTAATCCATGGAATAGTATTAATATTGACAGCTGCATTAACCATCTCACACATTTGAATACATTGCAAGCCTCAAAAAAGGTCAGCACAGCCGGCTCATCTCTTTCACTGATGTAAATCTGTAGGACCGCCCAGAAGGCGTCTGCTCTAGATCTGAACAACGGAGTCCACGTTTACCAAGAGGCCCTGCACCAAGCCATGAAATTGGATTGGAATCATGCAGCAATAAGAAGAGGAAGGCACCTGCCACAATGTGCTCTCTTCACTGTTAGGTTGGGATGGAGAATACTGAATACATGACAACGTAAAAGTTGGGCAAATGCTACTTTGAAAATAAGAGTGAATAAATGAGGAGAAATAGGCTTACATAAAAAACAGGACCAAAAGTTCATGGACAGTGAAGGAAGGCACTGGTCTGTTTAATAACAACAGATGTCTACAAGCTAACGAAGTAAATTTGTTTTTTGTTTCAAATATTTTTGTTCACAGAAGTGAAACACTTTGCACATACCTGGAAGAAAACCAGGTGGTATTGGTGTTATCACCAGGTGAGGGGCTAAAGTTTATTCAGCAACAGTGAGGTCACCAAGGATCTCCAAAAGTTCTGCCTCGTTATGCATGGTTGGCCTTCTGTTTCTGAGTTCCACACGGACCAATCTGACCAACTGTGTATCAAAAATATTTAAAATCAGAATCATGCCTGTAATTCCAGCATTTTGGGAAGCTGAGGTGGGAGGATGGCTTGAGGTCAGTTTGAGACCAGCCTGGGCCACATAGCAAGACCATGTGTCTACAAAAAAAAAAAAAAAAAAAAATTAAAACATTAGCTGGGTGTGGTGGTGCAGGCCTGTAGTCCTAGCTACTTGGGAGGCTTAGGTGGGAGGATTCCTGGAGCCCAGGCACTTGAGGCTGCAATGAGCCGTGATTGTACCAGTGCACTCTACACTCCAGCCTGCGGTATAGAGAGACACTCACTCTCTAAAAAAAGAAGAAAGAAACAATAAAAAGAGAATTTTTAAAAAAGAAAAAATATTAGGAAAAAATAAAAAATAATACAAATAAGAGATACATTATTACAACTACTTAGCACTTACATTGTATTAGGTTATTGCAAGTAATCTAGAGATGATTTAAAATAATGGGAGAATGTACACAGGTTATATGCAAATACTATGCCCTTTTGTATCACAGAGTTGTGCATCCATGAATTTTAGTACAGGGGTGTGGGGGTAGAGTGGGTCCTGGAACCAATCCCCTTTGGATGCAAAGGAGTGACTGGGTGCAATTGTTTACTTACTTATATATACACAATACAGAAACATAGGAAGGTAGATTTACAGGCCTCTGTGAGCCCAAAGGTAGCTAGCACTGTCCCAGAGACTAGGATGGATGGAAACCTGTGTAATGAAGAGACGGTGGGCCTTTCAGTATTTTGTTTGTTTGTTTGTTTGTTTTTAGACACAGTTTCACTCTCTTGCCTAGGCTGGAGTGCAGTGGCGCAATCTCAGCTCACTGCAATCTCCACCTTCCAAGCGATTCTCCTGCCTCAGCCTCCCGAGTAGCTAGAATTACAGGTGCATGCTACCACGCCCGGCCAATATTTTCTATTATTAGTAGAGATGGGGTTTCACCATGTTGATCAGGCTAGCCTCGAACTCCCGACCTCAGGTGATCCACCTGCCTTGGCCTCCCAAAGTGCTGGGATTACAGGCATGAGCCACCTCACCCAGCCCACTTTTCGGTTTTATATAAATATGTGTAAGAGCAGGCTTATGTGACCACTGCCGAAGTCCTGCAAATCTGTTGCTTCTCCATGGGGTGAGTCAGGCCAGGCCTGTGTAGATAATGAACAGCATGGCTCTCTACCCACCATACTGCACCTCTTCTAGTAACTGACCTTGTCAAACAGGACTACACCTCCTGTGAGAGGTAGGGGTGCACTCTCGCGACTCAGGGAGGGGCCTTCTGGACTGCCAGCTGCTCAGGCTGTCCCTCCCACCCTGAGGACTGACTCCTCCCAGAGTAGGGAGTTGAACCTGGAGTCCACGTGGCTATCGGCTCACAGCTCATGCCTCCAAATGTCACTCTCTTAAGATTCCAGTTAACCTGATTGCATTCCATTAAAATGCAGACCACCTATTAGAAAGCATTAAGGGATTTTGGTAATTTATTTAAAACTATGTAGCTCTTCACAACAAATATACCAGAAATTGCTAAAATGTCTGTCACTGGATAATGTCTGTTTATGAAAGGAAAAGTCTCCTTTTACAGCAATTCCAACCAAACAACAAGCCTGAGGCTTTCTAGATTAAAGGGACAGAAACCAGGAAGATCTGCCCACTTCCTCACTCTTCTTGACCTCATCCCCATCACACAGGCCACATGCCCAGAAAGTCATATACTCCTGTAGAACTTTATAGTCCCTTGGGATGTATGTCTTCCGTGACTTGAACAGTATTTCATTTAAAATAGCACTTTTGGCCAGGTGGTGGCTCATGTCTGTAATCCCAGCACTTAGAGAGATCGAGGTGGGTGGATTGCTTAAGCCCAGGAGTTTGAGACCAGCCTGGACAACATGGTGAAATCCCATCTTTACTAAAAATGCAAGAATTAGCTGGGTGTGGTGGTGTGTGCCTGTAGTCCCAGCTGCTCAGGAGGCTGAGGTGAGAGCCCAGTAGGCGGAGGTTGCAGTGAGCCAAGATCGTGCCACTGCACTCCAGCCTGGGCAACAGAGCAAGAGCCTGTCTCAGAAAGTAAATAAGTAAACAAATTAGAAGACTGTTCTCTTTTTTAGCAGCTGTATAATAAGGACCTTCAGCCTGTCCAAAGACATGGGAAAATTAAACTGTTAACAATGCTTCAAAACCCATTTGTTAAGCTTTGTCCCACTGATCACTTTCATACTGACCATCACTATATGCATAAAGATGTATTTAATACTCTCCTGACATTTTAAGTGGATGAGTAATTCTACTATGGAAGTGACTACTCACTTAAAAAGAAAAATTGAAAACTCAGGAGGCTTTGCCATTGTTAATGAGCTGCTTTAATTAGAAAGGATGCATTTAATTATTAGTTCATTGGTGGAGAAAAGCTAAAAACAATCTAATTGAAGAGGGTCTGAGTTGGTCAAATGGTAACTGGAGAATGTCATCCTTTTTAATGTCAACTTTAACCCAAGAAAAATCTCTGGGGTAAACAAATCATCGTTGTCACCATCCCTGCCATTTCGTTATGGTCTGGTGAGGTTCAGTCTTTGTAGGGGAGCTATAGGATGTAGTAGTAGTTCAGAAAAGGATTTTTCTAGACCTATAGTCCCAAAGTCAAGTCTCAGCTGTGCCACTGTCTAGTCCTATGAAATACATTTGTTCCTAAAACCTTTCATGACTTTTTACCTATGCCTTTGTTCAACCCACTGGTATTTAACTTAACTGATCAAAGATTTCTGAACATTGTGCATATCTTTGGATGATCATTTCAGAAAGAGAACAAATTCAGGAGATGACTTACCCAGGATCCTAAAGATATGTCTTGTTTGGACATGAAACTTGTAAAACATTTCTGCTTCTCAATTTGAATTTTGTGTACTGTTAAAAAAATACCTAGGATGTCATTACCTATCCTTCCCACACCTTGGGAGTATTCACCGTCGGTGTCTGTAAGGAAGGTGAGTACTAGAGTACTACCTAGCCCTAAAATGCTTTTGGATTATAATCTCATAATGTAAACATGGAAAGGAACACTGTAAAATGGAAGCAAGGTAGTAAGAATGTGGTAAAGCCGATTTTTTTGCTCCTCTGGGAAAACAAGGCCTGCAGACTTCCCCACTGCACCCAGCTCCTCAACAAACCCTACGAAGCTCAGGTCCCATCTTGAACAGGATGGTTCCCCTAACCCTATGCGCTAGAAATGAGGGTGCTCTGTGAGTTCCCACAGCATCCAGTTCTTACTCTCATACATTGGATGGTATTCATGCTTGCCATCTCCTGTATTAATCAAAGAAGTCCCAGGCTAAATAAATGGGCACTGAACTAAAAATTTAGACCAATTTAAATAAATGCTGTGCCACATGGCTAAACAATAGAAATAGCTGTATTATCATGGAAATCTTTCCAACACATGCTTTTATGTCTATCTAAATAGTCTATAAGTAACACATTTTTTATTGGTAACATAGGAGCTAATTATGACAAAGTATTACAGAACAGCAATGTCTAGCTTGTAAACAACACATCTTTATTGATAACATAGGGGTTATCAATAAAGACGACAAAGTATTATACAGTAGCAATGCTTTCCGGGGTTAACAAAGTGTCTGCATCCACACTAAATGGCACATGGTTGTATCTGTTTGGAGTATTTCTTCCCCCCGCCCACACCCTGAGCACAGAGACAAGGTCTCACTCTGTCACCGAGGCTGGAGTGCAGTAGCTACTGAGTAGCTGGGACCAGAGGTATGGGTCACCATGCCAGGCTACTGTTTTTTTCACTTTCTGTAGAGATGGGGGGGGTCTTACTATGTTGCCCAGGCTGGTCTTGAACTCCTGGGCTCAAGTGATCCTTCTACCTTGGTCTCCCAAAGTGCTCGGATTATAGGTGTACATCACCATGCCTGGCCATGGAGTGCTTCTTTTTTTTTTTTTCTTTTTGAGACAGAGTCTTGCTCTGTCACCCAGGCTGGGGTGCGGTGGCACTATCTTGGCTCACTACTACTTCCGCCTCCCAGGTTCAAGTGGTTCTCCTGCCTCAGCCTCCCGAGTAGCTGGAACTACAGGTGCCCGCCACCACACCCGGCTGATTTTTGTATATTTAGTAGAGATGGGGTTTTGCCATGTTGCCCAGGCTGGTCTTGAACTACTGAGCTCATGCAATCTGCCTGCCTCAGTCTCCCCACATGCTGGGATTACAGGCGTGAGTTGCTGTGCCCCAGCCTGCCCCACCTTGCTGTCGGCTGCCACTTCTCACTCTCATTGTGCCTGTCTCCACAAGCTCCTCCACTTTCTAATTTCCTGCTTGTAGTCTACCTTGGGCTTAAAAAAAAAAAAAATCAGACAACTAAGCCTTTTGGGATCCTATCAAAAATATGAAGAAAAAGACTTTCGGGTCATCAGACAGGTCAGCTTTGGACTAATGAGTTTGGTGACATCCTGTACTGACAGCTCACAGGCCACCTTGGTTCTGGACGGGGATCCGGATGCTGGGGAAGGCTGGCCACACCATGTCTTCTGGCTAAGCCCTTGAGTAGTTGGCCTTCTGATTGCCAGCCTTCTGCTTTTTAGCCAAATCTCCCTGCCACCATCTCTATGCTCTGTGTTCACTGTGATGCTAGCTCTGTTTCTTTCCAACTGAGCTCCTCAATAGCTTGGATTTTGTAGTTCCCTCCAGAGTCTCCGAATCCACACCTGCTTAATACCTACAAAAACCAATTCAGCCATATGGCTTGAATGCTTATATCACACACAGAGGCTTTTGGTTCTGAGTAAGTGCCACGATTATGAAAACTGCACTGAAGCAGGGAATAACACCAGTTGAAAGAATGGCCTCATTTGCAGGCAGCTTGCACTGTATTCTATAAGAATGTGTTTGACATTTTAAGCTTTCCTGTGGCAGCAAATTGTACTTCTTCTAGTGGGAGGGGTTATTAAGTCTGTGACCAGAATAAACCAGACTATTTTGGAAAGTTTAATTTTTTCGGTTTTCATATTCCATTTTATGACTGTGTTTGCTTTTTCAGAGATAAGCCTGTGTGTAAGAAAACAGTCTTATCTCTGAACCAAGCACATGGCTCACACCTGTAATCCCAGCACTTTGGGAGGCCGAACTGGGAGGATCATTTGAGGCCAGGAGTTTGAGACCAGCCTAGGCATCGTAGTGACACCCCATCTTTACAAACAAAACAAACAAACAAACAAACAAAAAACATTAGCCTGGTGTGGTGGCATGCTTATAGTCCAAGTTACTCAGGAGGATAAGGAGGGAAGATCGCTTGAGCCCGGGAGTTTGAGGCTACAATGAGCTGTGACTGTGCCACTGCACTCCAGCCTGAGTGACAGAGAGAGACCCCGTCTCAAAAACAAACGAACAAGCAAAAACAAACAAAAAGCAATTATTTAGAGTTAAAAACTACAAATACTATTTTTTAACCTCAAGGAGTTCTATCATAAACTGCTTTAAAAGTAAAAAACAAATTAAACAGGAATACGGAACTCTGGCTCCAAATTTAAAATTACAAAATAAATAAGACAAAGCATTCGACATGAAGTTCCTGCGGCAGGATGGAAATGTTCTGGTGAGTGGCTATCACACATTTCACAGAAGCTAGGAGGCCATCTATTTTGTAAAATACACAACTATTTTACTTATTGCCAAGAAAGATGAGGATGTGTTATCAACTGTAGGATGTACCCCATGTCAATGATGTTGAAATGTAAAATAATGTTTTTCAAAAAGATGCAATACAATATTTTTGAAAAATAGCTTTAAAATAACAAAACTAATGTCACAATAATGACACGAGTCTTTTTGAGTTTCCTTAGAAAAGCCAATATTCTACCTTGATCATAAAACCTCTGTTTTAGGGCATCCTAAATTGTTAGAAAATGAGAAGTTACACAGTTCATGTACGAGAAGATCAGAGTCAAAAACAAGTGAATGGTTTACAAAACCAAAGCTGATGCGATTGGTGTCATTTATAAATATTTGGGAATCAACCAGTATGGAAACAATATCACTAGTTTCTTGAGGAGCAAGGACTAGAACCCATATGGGCTGATTCCACATGTCCACAGATCTATCATGCCACGCTGCAGCCTAGTTTAAATAAACAGAAAACAGGAGCTACTCAGGCACAGCTTAAATGAAAGTAGCCATTGCACAAGGTTTTAAAAAACTTGTATACATTTTTGTTTTGTTTGAGACAGGGTCTTCTTCTGCTGCGCAGGCTGGAGTGCAGTGGTGCAATCACGGCTCATCATAGCATTGACCTCCAAGGCTCAAGCAATCCTCTCTGCTCAAGCCTCCCGAGTAGCTAGAACTACAGGCACACTCCACCACCGCCAGGCTAATTTTTGTTTTTGTAGAGACGGGGTTTCACCATGTTGCCCAGGCTGGCCTTGAATTCCTGGGCTCAAGCGATCTGCCTAGCTCTGCCTCCCAAAACACTAGGATTACAGGCATGAGCCACTGTGTCCTGTCAGTATACATGTGTTTTTCTGTTTTGTTTTGTTTTTGTGACAAAGTCTCACTCTGTCTCCCAGGCTGGAGTGCAGTGGTGCAATCTTGGCTCACTGCAACCTCTACCTCCCAGGTTCAAGCAATTCTCCTGCCTCAGCCTCCTGAGTAGCGGGGATTACAGACGCATGCCACCACACCAGGCTAATTTTTGAATTTTTAAAGTAGAGACGGTGTTTCACTATATTGGCCAGCTGGTCTCAAACTCCTGACCTCATGAATCGCCCACCTTGGCCTCCCAAAGTGCTGGGATTACAGGAGTGAGCCACCATGCCCAGCTGCCAGTATACATGGTTTAGTGATTACTATTTACCTGTAATAAAAAGCTCCATGTAAAAATATAACATAATTTTTCCTCCATTTTTTAGTTATTCAATTATTCTTGAATTTCCTGCTTTAATGGATAAATCATAATACTCAGCGGACTGGGAAGAAATCAAACCCCCAAATCATGTGGCTACAAGTTTTTAACTTGACAATTAAGTTGACAAGCCCTACCTCGTCTATAGCACAAACACACAGCCACAGCGTGAAGTCAGTCAGCTGTTAGCTGTGCCAGTGGTAGGATTTCTAGTAGGTTCTGCTTTTCAAAGACTCACTTTCATTCTAAAGTGGTATGCTACACATAAAACCATCAATCTGGCCAGGCGCAGTGGCTCATGCCTATAATCTCAGTACTTTGGGAGGGCGAGGTGGGAAGATCACTTGAGCTCAGGAGTTCCAGACCAGCCTGGACAACATAGCGAGACCCCGTCTCTACAAAAAATATAAAAATTAGCTGGGTGTAGTGGCACACACCTGTAGTCCCAGCTACTTGGGGGGCTGAGGTACGAGGATCGCTTGAACCCAGGAGGCAGAGGTTGCAGTGAGCCAAGATCACACCACTGCACTCCAGCCTGGGTGATAGAGGGGAACCCTATCAAAAACAAAAAACAAAAAACAAACGAAAAAAAAAATTTAAGCCAGAACACATCATCTTAAGGAGAACGAAAATCTTCTGTATGCACATACTGCCAACACATTTTAAAAGGCCCACATTTTAACAAGTAGACAAACTATCAGACAAGAGATCATAAATTATTTTGGCTGACAAAAATCGTTAAAATTATCTAACTCAACATTCTGCATGTAGGTTTCTACACATAATGTATATGTATGGGTGTGTCTACACAGCCTTTTGAAGGGAATGGCATATGATGAAGCCCATTTTTCCATAGTTATGATGGTGTCCTAGCAAAGCAAGAATATCAAGGTCTGCATTTCTGCCAACTCAATGCATAGCCCCAAGAGCTTCCTGCAGAGGAAAGCTAGCATGGAGAATCCAGTCCATGTCTGTAGGACAAAACATTAATGGTAGAAGGTTGGAGAAACTTGTGGATGGTTGGCATTGCAGCTTCAGGGCTGGCATTCTCTGTGGTTTCAGGTGTGTCTGTTAATGGATTCTGTGGTCTCTGATCCAAGTCTTTAACCAATATGAAACTGGATGGCAAGGAAGTGGTCTGCTGAGAAGTCTGATTGAATATATTCTCCTCGCCTGCTAAAAGCCTGGGTGAAATGTCTGCACTGAAGGTGCAGTGTAGCTGATTAGATGTTTCCTCTGGGATTAAGGCAACAGAGCTGCTCTGTTTTGTTAATTCTTTTGACTTGGAGCTATGTAGCCTACCATTTGACCTGCCATCACTTGGATCCCTGAAGGTAACGTTTTCTTCTTTCTTTTTTTTTTTTTTTTTTGAGATGGAGTCTCGCTCTGTCACCCAGGCTGGAGTGCTGTGGCGTGATCTCGGCTCACTGCAAGCTCCGCCTCCCGGGTTCAAGCCATTCTCCTGCCTCAGCCTCTCAGGTAGCTGGGACTACAGGCGCCCACCACCACGCCCAGCTAATTTTTTGTGTTTTTAGTAGAGACGGGGTTTCACCGTGTTAACCAGGATGGTCTCCATCTCCTGACCTCGTGATCCGCCCACCTCGGCCTCCCAAAGTGCTGGGATTACAGGCGTGAGCCACCGCGCCCGGCCGAAGGTAATGTTTTCTACAACTCCTATGCTAGCATCAAGTGAGGTATTTCTTAACTTTAAAAAAAATATGATTTTTTTAAATTAAAATATTGCATTGGTGTGGTACTTGGGTTACAACTGATGAACCACTATTGATATTTATTATTAACTAACATTCGTAGGCTGTATTAGGATTCACTCTTTGTATTAGACAGTTCTTTGTGTTTTGCCAAATGCATAATGTCACATATCCACCACTACTATATCACACAGAATAGTTTTTTGTTTGTTTGTTTGTTTTGAGATGGAGTCTCACTCTGTCACCAGGCTGGAGTGCAGTGGTGCAATCTCGGCTCACTGCAACCTCCACTTCCCGGGTTCAAGCGATTCTCCTGCCTCAGCCTCCCGAGTAGCTGGGACTACAGGCACGCACCATCACGCCCAGCTAATTTTTGTATTTTTAGTAGAGACAAGGTTTCACTACTTTGGCCAGGATGGTCTAGGTCTCTTGACCTCGTGATCCACCCACTTTGGCCTCCCAAAGTGCTGGGATTACAGGTGTGAGCCACCGCGCCCAGCCCAGTTTTATTGCCCTACAAATCCCTGGTGTTTAACCTATTCTTCTCTTACCCCCACACTCGACCCATGGCAACCACTGATCTTTTTACAGTCTCTAGAGTTTTGCCTTTGCATATGTCAATTAGCTGGAATCACACAGCATTTAGGCTTTTTCAGACTGGCTTCTTTTACTTAGTAATATGCATTTAGGGTTCCACCGTGTCTTTTTGTGACTTGAAAAATCATTTCTTTTTAATCACTAAATAATATTCCATTGTAAGGATATACTACAATTTGTTTATCCATTCACCTATTGAAGGACATCTTGGTTGCTTCCAGTTTTTGGCAATTAGGAACAAAGTGGCTACAGACATTTGTGTGCAGGTTCTGTGTGGAGTTGCCTGTTCATTTTTCAGTCTTCACCCATACAGGTACAGTCCAAGGAGAGCAGGCCTGGGAACACTGTCCATTCTGGGCTGCCGTAAGATACTCCGTGGGCTCCATTTTTCTGAAAGCTCCTTAATACGTGTTTGGTTCTCAGCTACCATTTCTGATTGTCAGGTAGCTTTTGCAGATATATTTTCTTAAGCTTGGTTACTACTAGTGACTGAAATGTAACTATTTCCCTTAAGGCTGCCACTAAAAATGAGCAGATTTCCTCTGTTGACTCCTTAGAGTGCCAAAACTGGCTCAGAGAATTAAACAGGGGGAGCAATTCCCATATAGTAAATGCAGCAACTCCTTATTTGTCCCAGAGGCATGGACATTACTTTCCAGGACTGTAAAGCTCCAGTGGAAATTGTGTTACTTAAAACTTCCAATGAAGAGTTGCAATTTGATGTCTCCACTTCCATAAAGGGATTGTCTGAATTGAGATCAGCTGCACGTATGTTCTTGACACTGGCATTCAGGTGTCTACTTCCACAGCCAAAGGAAGAATACTTTTCTGGGTACCTGGAAGCTCCCTATTCTGCTGTAGCCTGTCTCCTTTCATCTCAGCTTCCAAATCAAGAGAAGCAGATTAAGTATTCCTTTTCTGAAATCTTTGGGACCAGGCCAGGCATGGTGGCTCACGTTTGTAATCCCAGCACTTGGGGAAGCTGAGGTGGGAGGATCGCTTGAGCCTAGGAGTTCAAGACCAGCCTGGGCAAAGTAGCCTTTTTGTGAGACCTAGTATACACAAAAACTAAACAAAGTTAGCTAGGTGTAGTGGCGTGAACCTGTAGCCCCGGCTACTTGGGCGGCTGAGGCAGGAGGATCATTTGAGCCCAGGAGGTTGAGGTTCCAATGAGCCATGATGGTGCCACTGCACTCCAGCCTGGGCAACAGAGCAAGACTCTGTCAAAAAAAAAAAAAAAAAAAAAAAGGAAGGAAAAAGGAAAGGAGAGGAGAGGAGAGGAGAGGAAAATACAAATGCTTGGGACCAGAAGTGTTTCCAGTTGTGGCATATTTGCATGGACATAAAGACAACATACATTTATGATTTATATACACATAGCTGAAGGTAATTTTATACAATCTTTTGAAATAATTGTACGCATGAAACAAAGTTTGGACTGCGTTTTGACCGCAATCTGTCAAGTGAAGTCAGGTGTGGGATTTTTCCACTTGGCATATCATATTAGTGCTCAAAAATTTTTGGATACTGGAGCATTTCAAATTTTGGATTTTCAGGTTAGGGATGCCCAAGGTGTAGTTGTTAGACCTGTTCCCTTTCACCCAGGAAGTTCATGGTCCCCTGTGTTACAAAGATGTTCTTGGTCACGTGAAGAATTCTTTTTATTATTATTATTATACTTTAAGTTCTAGGGTACATGTGCACAACATGCAGGTTTGTTACATAGGTATACATGTGCCATGTTGGTTTGCTGCACCCATCAACTTGTCATTTACATTAGATATTTCTCCTAATGCTATCCCTCCCACAGCCCCCGACCCCTGACAAGCCCCGGTGTGTGATGTTCCCCGCCCTGTGTCCAAGTGTTCTCATTGTTCAATTCCCACCTATGAATGAGAACATGTGGTGTCTGGTTTTCTGACTTTGTGAAAGTTTGCTGAGAATGATGGTTTCCAGCTTCATCCATGTCCCCACAAAGGACAGGAACTCATCCTTTTTTATGGCTGCATAGTATTCCATGGTGTATATGTCACATGGAGAATTCTTTTGTTCAATCTCATGCTGGTTCTTTGTGCTACTGAAGGCCATCATTCACTTTGTTCAGATTCTGACATTCTAGATGCTAGCCTTGTTCATTTAGAGACATACATCTGTGGTAAATGCATCATGGTAGTTGTGACAGAAAAACTAGCTTCCTTTCTTGTATGGAGATGAAATTTAAGATCTTGGGTGCTTTTTTCAGCAGGTAGTTTCTTTCAATTACCTGCTTCTTCTGATGAACCCTACAGAGGCATAGCTGGGCACCAATCTGATGCAGTACTATGCTGGAGAAACAGGATCAGAAATATCTTACAGAAGAAAAGAATGCTTTTCTTTTCCTTCCATTTTTAATTTCTTCATTTAAAAACCAATACTTGGGTATATACCTAAAAGAATTGAAAGCAGGGACTCTAAGAGATATCCGTACACTCATATTCACGGCAGCATTATGCACAACAGGCAAAAGGTGGAGGCAAGCCATGTATCCGAACTGCAGCTGAATGGATAAGCATAATGTGGCGTAAACAATGGGATATTATTCAGCCTTAAAAAGAAAGGAGATTCTGATATACACTATAACATGGATGAACCTTGAAAATATTATACTACATGGAATAAATTAATCACAAAAGGACAAAAAACCTCTTTTTCTTTATAAATCACCCAGTCTCGGGTATGTCTTTATCAGCCGGGTGAAAACGGACTAATATACTATATAAGTGGAATCCCTTATTGATATTTTTAACAGCAACAAAAAGGTACTGTGAGGAGGAGGGATGGGGAGTTATGGTTTAATGGGTATGGAGTTTCACTTTGAGAAGATAAAAACGTTCTGGAGATGGATGGCAGCGATGGTTGCACAGCAATGTGAAAATAAATGTCACTGAACTGTACACTCAAAAAACAGTTAAAATAGTACACTTCATTCTATGCAAAATACAAAATTCTATGCATATTTTATTACAATTTTTTAAAATCAATGTTGCAGTTAATGCAATCAAGCTATAATACTAGCACCTTAATCTTGAGTGACCATTAAGTCCTGGTCACCCCTAGGTTTGCTGAGGTAGTCTCCATTTATGCTTCTGTATTCAGGGCAATCAGTAATCATTCCCTCTTCACTCTCAAAAGTGTCCTGGCTTGAACAATAAGTCATCTGATCACCCTAGATCTATTTCATAATTGTATTAAGTCATTGAATTACCATCTTTGTATGCAAATGTCTTAACATTGAGAATGTACCTGTATTTTTTTAATTACTCTAATCATAAATTTGATGTCCCATGGAATGTTATAGGCTCTGATAAAATTTTAATGGCTTCTGATTACTTCATGAACACTGATTAGAGCACCAAGAGCAGTCCTCATTTCTTATAAACACATTATTTCTCTAAACACTAAAACTCTCTAACATTTATCAAGCTCACCTACTTCACTAGCTCTGTGTTAAAGGGAACAGAGAAGACAAAGACATGGGCCCAGACAGTTGCTACTTCTTGCCTCTCTTGGCTACCTTTTTGTTGCTATTAAAAATATCAACAAATATTCTTTGAAAGCAGAAACATGTTCATGTTTCAATTATTTCCATCTTCCACCTCACCATGAGAGAATACACCACTTTCTCTTCGAGTAAGCTACTGTTCTGCACTTATAATAAAAGTACCATACTATCATAACCTTATTGTTATCCACTCCCTGGACGAATATTTTCTCTCATTTTCCAACTCCAAATATCAGAGGTAAATATAACAAAATTTTGTTCAATAATCAAGACCATCCCTTGATGTGCTAATGTAATTTGTGAGTGCAAATAAACTGGTAATTTACTGCTTAAAAATAGAAGAGATCCAATCATATCTACTTCAATAGTTTGGAAAAAAAGGAATCTGACAAGCACCAGGGTATGAAATAAGTAATTAAAGTGAATTCAAGCATACTCTTATGTTATTCTCCAATAAACAAGTCATGTCTATTTCTGTAATCCTTAAAATGAGCATGCTGAAAGTTACAGGGGAGAGAAAGATTCGGGAAAAACACAGATAATTCATCTAATGAAAGAACTAACAAGCCAGGTGCTATTATTTCTCTCTCAGTACATTACTTTCTTCCTTTGTATTGTGGTTCATTAAATGGGTAGACTATCTGCGGCTTTGAGAAGGAAAAATAATTTTTAAACAATCATTTTCCTAATATTTTACCTTGATTATGAAATCAAACCTAAGAAACATTATTTTCATTCAATTAGTACCGTATGCAGAGGCAGGCGCTTGGTAATTTTTAGTTATTCATTTGCTTGATGCTTTTTCCAGCAATTTCAGCTGCAAAACGATAACATCCATCTGTTTGAAAAGGTAACTGGTTAGCAACTAGCTCCTTTAAAAAATTTTTACAACATATCCTCTTACCTTTCCAAAGTCAATCTCTACCAATTTTAAAAATAAATACTCTAGCCAAATCTCGGATGAAATATATTTTAGATATGTGTTAGGCATGATGGATTGTCACAGAACATTCACTCCTATCTCCTTCAAGTGTGCATCCCTCTACCTTTGAGGCTAGAAACCTATAAGCTGCATTTCCCAGAGTCCCTTGCAGCTAGGGTTCTGGGCACAGTGTTCTTGCAGGGAGATGAGTAGCGTAAGAAGGAAAGTGGAGAGCATCTAAGGAAAACATTTGCTTTCTTGTTTTTGTTGTTGGTAGCAATGTTCAGTCACCAGCTTCCTAGGGTGGAGAGGCATTTTGCAGCAGCCTCTCTGATCAATGGAACACAGCCCAAAAGGTGCACCCTTGATGTTAGCAGTTCTAGCGGTGGTTCTGATTCCCAGCCCCCAGGCTGTGGCAATGACAGCAGCAACCCTGGGGGCCCATCAAGCTTGCCGCCCGGGAGCCAACGCATGAGGCTCAGGCCAGGTCCCCTCCCCTACTTTCAGTTGCAACCTTCATTCCAACCTTCCTGTGAGCATCTAATTCTCATATTCAACCCCTTCCTGCTCGAAATAGTTAGGATAGTTTCCATTATCTGCAACCTAACAGAGAAGAAAGAGAAGGTAGAAATGAGCACATTCGATACAGCAAAATGGGACGTAACACCCCAGAAGAACCATGGAAGTGGCAAAGGTTGTGCCTATTTGACATTCGCAGTTACACCTTTAAGAACAAGAAGTTCATAGGCTGCACCTTGCAGGACTACCCAAATCAGGACTAACAACCCTTTACGGCTTAGGGTTGATGCCGAGACATATTAACAAAGGCTGGGAAATAATGATCGGGACCCCTAGAGAGAAAAGAAGGGAGGATAGGAGGGAACGGGGAAAGGCAAAGAGAATAAAAACACGCATATGTGTGAAGAGGACCATACACCAAACTCCTCAAGTGCCCTCCTTCCCCTACCACCTCATCATCATCTCTAAAAACAACCACAGGTTACTTCTTTAACCTAGCTGAGTCAAAGGCCTGTCTAGGGTGGAGAAGATGCAAGTGTGACAGCCTCTGGCTCCCAAAGGACACTGATTACTAAGAGTACAGCATATTCTATACTCTATGCTATAGGAGTATACTAGCAGTATATTCAGTATACCCAGATGGGGGATTAAACCAGTGACCCAAATATTCAGTTCTAGAGTCTATTAGGCAGCAACCTCTCTGCAGCCTCCAGGAGATGATATTTAGTCAACACACTCCTACTTCTTATTATAAACCCCTCTTTATGACTGCTCACAATGTGCCAACTGTGTACTCAGCATTTACACCTATTCATTTGCTCCCCACAGCCACCTGGGGAGGTGTCATTATCTCCATTTCACAGACAAGGAAATGGCTCAGAGCTGGGCTTTTTAATCCAGGTGATCTAGTTCAAACTCTTAAAATGTCTTCTTTGAGTGGTTAGAAGTTTCTCTGGATGAGAAGTGAGTATCCAAAATGAATGATGTTAACTCTTTTTGAAGATGTCTCAGCTAGGAGTTCTATGCAAGGTACTTTCTTTATGGCATCAAAAGAAGTGAGTCACAAAAGCTGAAGGACATTTAAATGGCCATTTGGCATCACTCTTCAGTCTGTCCTTAAATGAATTCTCCAGTTATCTTAATGCTTTCATGCCATTCTTTTCAGAAGAATTCCTAATTTATCTACGAGTAAAAACATAAGATTGCACAGACAAGCGCTGACAGCCTAATTTCAATAATGCATTATACCAGGGGCTTAATCGCAATGAGAGCTTTCACTCAATTCCTGTTTAAAAACACAAATGAGAACAGTGACATGTAGTAAACAGGCATTTAATTGCATTTTGCTCTCAATATTATGAGCCTGTATAGTGCCAAATATGTCTTGCTTGTGTCTTCTTCAAAGCAATGATAGAGCCTTCTTCATAAATGTGTTTCAAATTTTGGAGACTAGTTCTCTAAAGGAGCATATAAATTCTTTACAAGTGAAATGCATTTAAGCATTCACATATCCGCGTATCAGAAATACTATAAGGTCTGGTCTCTTCTTTACAACCCCTGCAATCTCCAGTAAGATTTCGCTGTCAGAGATACACGTACACAGAGATTTAAGATTTACTGGGAAGATCCCCACTCCCATTGACCTTCCAATTTAAAGTAGAGTTAACCATTCACACAGGGTATTCCCAATTTCACATCACTCTGGTAAGTAAAATTTTATTAAAACCTTTGAACTACCTTGGAACTTTATCCATATTAAGATATACACGCAAAAAGGCACATTTCCAAAGAACATCATTACGGTAATTGAATCTTTCTAGAAACAAAATTTCTTTGGAGTTAGAAAAAGAGTGTATACAGAGCTCTCTTTTCAAATCTGATCAAATGCGTTAATAAAGCAGCAGTTCTTTGGCACAATTTCCTCAGTGACAAGATATGTCCCAACTTCTCAAGGTCTTCTTTAAATAAGTTATAGGTAACCAATGACCATCTGAGAGCCACTTCCACCCTCCCAAGTGATTTTCTTGCTATGAGCAACTCTAAGGCACCACTCACAACACTGGACAGTTCTTTACCCTGTATTCTCAGCCAGCCATCAAAGACAGAGAAAGTTCTAACTCTCCCTTCCCCAAACTTCAAACAAGTTAACCATTCGTTAGCTAAAAGATAAAGGCTTCCAAGGTGGGTGGATCATTTGAGGTCAGGAGTTCAAGACCAGCCTGGCCAACAAGGTGAAATCCCCCTCTCTACTAAAAACACAAAAAAATTAGCTGGGCATGGTGGTTTGCACCTGTAATCCCAGCTACTGGGGAGGCTGAGGCAGGAGAATCGGTTGAACTCGGGAGACGGAAGTTGTATTGAGCCAAGATCGCACCACTGCACCCCAGCCTAGGCGATAGAGTGAGGCTCCATCTCAAACATAAACAAACAAACAAATAAATAATAAAAAATAGAAAGATAAAGGCTTCCATTTGCTGATGTCACATGAATAATAGCAATTTTAATTGCTGAAACAGGGTGAAATGCCAATGGTTAGCTGTATTACCAATAATCTTAACCTGAAAACAATATAGATATATTTTAGCTCTTTCTACACACTAAATTTTCAATGTACATTTAAATTCATGCCTACCACCTAACATAAAGCTCTGCAAGTAGACGTTTACAGCCTTATCTTCTTTCTACATAGAGCATTGTGGGCTCACATCATTTATCACAAAGAACCCAAGTACTATAAAAAGAATCAGCCGGGCCCGGTGGCTCACGCCTGTAATCCCAGCACTTTGGGAGGCCGAGGCAGGCGGATCACGAGGTCAGGAGTTCCAGACCAGCCTGACCAACATGGTGAAACCCCGTCTCTAGTAAAAATACAAAAATTAGCCAGGCATGGTGACGGTTGCCTGTAATCCCAGCTACTCAGAAGACTGACGCAAGGGAATTGCTTGAACCCGGGAGGCGGAGGTTGCAGTGAGCCGAGATCGTGCCATTGCACTCCAGCCTGGGTGACAGAGAGAGACTCCGTCAAACAACAACAAAAAAAACCCCACACATAGCAAGTAATATCATACAAATCCTTACCTTCCTATTTTGGCATTCCTTCTTAAACTGTATTTTCATCGTGAGCTTTGAAAACTTTCTGGCTTCAAGTTATCTTAGTTCTTTGCCTCTTACTAATTAAAAATCAGTTCCCCAGGGAAAGATACACGTGCACTCCATGAAAAAATACGAATCCACTTTAACCCTTAAGGCACTAGACATGTCCTTTATCTCTGAATTCTGATTTATCCAATCTCACACCCAAAGCACATCCCGCAATCCCTTACTGCATGGCTGTCTCGCCTGTTTTGATCGTATTGCAAGGCTGTTTGCAAGGTAAACAGCCACCCCGGGCTACTGGAAAGGCAGGGGACGAGCAGGAACTCACCCAGGCGGCCAGACCCGGGCGCGGGCTCCGGGGCACGCGCTAGACGACCTGTCGCGCCCCCTCCTCCCTGCGGGCGGGCGCCGAGGCAGCGGATCTAGGGCGCAACAGAAGCTTCTCTCCGCTCCCCTATGCAGACCATTGTCAGTGCTCCGGTCGCCGGCGCTTTCCGCACGGTGTGGCGACTGGCAGCAGCTCTCCCGTTGCGAGTAGTCACAGCGCTGTCCCGCAGCCAGGGGCAAAAGCTGCTTTTGCATCAGAGCCGAGGGCTGCACCAGGTGTAACTTCCACCCCTTGACCTATTTTAGAGTGTGAGGATGAAAGGAAGAGGAAAAAATAGACGGAGGGCGCGCGGGGGTGCGGGCGGCAGGGTGCGCGCGTGGCCGTGGGGGAGCGCGCGCGCGGGCCGGGGCTCGTGTCGGGGCTTCCAAAGAGAAGTTGCAGCGAGGCGCCCCCCGGCGTCCGGCGCCTGGGCCCGGTCGGGGGTGCTTCGCTAGCCCTTCTTCCCGCCGCGGCCGCAGGCCAGCTTGGCCCGCCCTACTCCGGCGCCCCGCGCGGGAAGCGCAGCTACCGGGGATCGGGGGCTTTGGGCTGGCCCCGCGACAGCCGTCGGGAGACCGCCCGCGGCCCCCGCCCCCGTCACCGTCCCCGCCTCCCCGGGCCGCCTTCACCTTTCGGGAGGCGGCGCTCGGGCTCAGCTGTCCGGGAACCCAGGCCTGCGGCGCCTCCGGGCAGCGAAGGCGGGCTGGCGCGCGGCGGAGCCGGGGACTGTCGCCTCCCCGCCCCGTTCCCTGCAATCGCCCCGCCCGAACGTGCCCGGGAAGTGAGGCTGGGCCGCGCCCGCCCCGCCGGGGACGGGGTGACCTTCCGGCCTCCAGCCGTGCCCTTGTTGCCTGCCTCTCTCGGCGTGGCCCTTCCTGCGTAGGAGAAGACGCCCCGGCGGGAGCACCTGGTCGGCCCGCAGCGCATCAGCGCAGTACCTTGGGTGACGACGACGCTTGGCTTTAGCGCGGCTCTTCTCACTTAATTTTTTACAGCCCCGGACTTCAGCGGAAATGCCCCCTCGGGGTCGGTTCATTGGGATAACTGGAGATGGGGGGGTTAAGTAGGGTGCCACGGCTTAGACGCTCCAAATCATTCCACTACACAACATGCCTAATCTGCTGAGTTTTGCAAAACGAGCCCCATCAAAAAAGCATCCATCAGAAGGCGGGGTGGAACTTAGAAGTTTTTGCCCAAAACTGGACACAAACCTTTCCTCCCCCCATTGCTTCTATGACAATAGCGTTAACTACTTTCTTCCAGGTCCCTAACGTAATAGTATCTTCAACCGCCTATTATCAAACAACTCCGTTATCATCAGGGATCTATGCACTTTAAAAATGCACGTTCTTAGTGACGAAAAATGAGCACATTTAGTAACCGCTCTGCCGCCCTTTGTATAGAGGTTCGTGCTCCTGATCCCCAGCGTAGGGGGCAGAGTTCATGTCGAGCTGTTGTTTCCAGTTCAGGTTATTTATGGGGACCCAACTACAGGTCTCACATAGACGCTGGTCTATAACAGGTTATTTGTGAGGACACAACTACAGGTCTCACATAGACGCTGGTCTATTTCAGGTGCTACTAAGAGGGCTAATGGACGTCAGCATATAGTTTCTGATTCTGGAATCGTTTTCTAGTGCCACAGTATATTGGGTGGGGTGGAGTGGGGGAAACCTTTGTTTGGGCTTCTCTTTATCCTCATGCCCTGGATAATCAGACTGACATTTTCTTTTTCTGTAAAGGCCTCACATTCAAAAAGAAAGAAAGAAAGAAAGAAAGAAAAAACCACGAGTCTGGTTTTACGTATTCTTGAGCTGAATGCCAGCTACAGAAATGCAGCAGCTCATCCTTGCTTCCATTCACTGGAGCTACAACTACAATATGTCTTCGGACACAGAAGACGTATTGGATACTGTGATGTTCCTTGTCCTCTTCTAACAGTGCATTAGGAGACAAAGCATACCTAAAGTATAGGATAGTGCCTGGCAAATAGTAGGACCTGATAAATACTCGTCCAGTGATTGAAAGACTGTGATAAACAGGAAAGTAACCTACCTTAACTTTTGTAGGAAAACATAAGGGAAATCAGTTATAGGTGACATTGTCAGGGAAGGCATCCTGGAAGTGGTGTCCAATGTCTGATTTAGATATAAAAAATTGGCTAAGGACTAGGTGAGGTGGCTCATGCCTGTTATTCCAGCAGTTTGGGAGGCTGAGGTGGGAGGATCGCTTGAGGCCAGGAGTTTGAGACCAGCTTGGGCAACATAGTGAAACCTCATTTCTGAAAGAAATACAAAACATTAGCTGGGCGTGGTGGTGCATGCCTATGATCCCAGCCATTCAGGAGGTTGAGGCAGGAGGGTCACTTGAGCCCAGAAGCTTGAAGTTGCAGTGAGCTGTGCTTGCACCACTGCATTCCAGCCTGGGTGACAGAGAACCTATCTCAAAATAAGTAAATAAATAAATAGAATTAACTAGGGAGTGGAAGTGAGAAAGTATATTTGATATGCTTTCAAGACATAATAGAGGCAGAGATTCTTAACCTTTTGTAGGTAATAGGCCCCTATGAAAATGTTGATAGAAGCTTTGAAACCCCCTTATATAATAAACAAATGTAAAATATTTGCATTTGTTTTCTGAAAGTTCACTGACGGCTTGAAGCAGACATGTAGAATCCCTAGAGACTTGTGAACTATGACATGAGTTACCAACTTCTTTCTTGTTTGGAGGCAGGTAGAAAAATAAAGAGATTTTTCTAGTTGAGGCCATCATAAGCGGCATTTCAGTGACCACCAGTAGAATTTGGGTAATGGTTGTGGGAAAGGAAAGAAAAATGTACTGTAAAGAAAATTTGTACACCAGAGAAACATAGCTAGACTTTTAAGCCATTTATGTTATTTTTGTACCAGAGAATTTCACTTTCACATCTCAGCAAAAAGGAGGAAAGGATAAAAAATGACTGTCAAAATATTGACAGTTGCTGATGCTGGGTGTACACATGGGGGTTTATTGCATTATTTTCTCATTATTTGTGAGGTTTAACGTTTTTCAGTTTTTTAAAATTTCAGTGGATTTTTACTCTCGGTAGTCATAACCAATCCTATGGCATTTCCTAACTTGAGTTCTTAGAATGGAGATTTTTGTATATAAAAAAAGAAAGAAAGAAAAGAAAAAGAAAACAATACAAACAGGCCAGTGATGCCACACATAAGATTGTTATTAATAAGTAGAGTCTATGTAGAAACAATACGTTTTCTCTGAGGAAGAATTATAAAGTGTGTTGGCCATAGTCTCAACAGAAATTAGACAACTATGAAACGTTGAACACGTGTTTTTCTGGTTTTTTGTTTGTTTGTTTTTGAAACGGAGTCTTGCCCTGTCACCCAGGCTGGAGTGCAGTGGTGCGATCTCGGCTCACTGCAAGCTCCGCCTCCCAGGTTCACGCCATTCTCCTGCCTCAGCCTCCCAAGTAGCGGGGACTACAGGCGCCTGCCACCATGCCCGGCTAAGTTTTTGTATTTTTAGTAGAGATGAGGTTTCACCGTGTTAGCCAGAATGGTCTCGATCTCCTGACCTCGTGATCCACCCGCCTTGGCCTCCCAAAGTGCTGGGATTACAGGCATGAGCCACCGTGCCTGGCCTTCTGTTTTTTTCTAATGTTACACTTAACTTCACTGTGTGTTGCTTAGTTAACTAAGTTTCTTTATCATTACATTTTATTATTATATCATGCATATAATTTATATACTTATATATTATATATTCATATGCAATGTAAATATATATGCAATATGAATATATATTCACATGTATTATATATTTTAATATATTTATATAATATAAATTATTGTATTATGTGTTATATACATACATATATTTATATATAACAGAATATATTATATATATTATATATACAGATGTTCCTTGAATTACGATGGTTCATTTACAATTTTTCAACTTTATGATGATTTGAAAGCAATGCATATTCACAAGAAGTTATACTTCTAGTACTCATACAACCATTGTCTTTCATTTTTACTACAGGATTCAATAAATTACATGAGATATTCAACACTTTATTATAAAATAGGCTTTGTCTTAGATGGTTTTGCCCAATTGCAGGTTAATGTAAGTGTTCTGAGCACATTTTAAGGCTAAGCTAAACCAAGCTATCATGTTCAGTAGGTTAGGTGTGTTAAATGCATTTTACAACACTTTCCATTTACAATGGGTTTATTAGGATGTAACCCCCATCGTAAGTCAAGGAGCAACAGTACTATATAATATTATTATGACCTTTCTCAGTTAACTCAGTTTCTTTATTAGTCAACTCCCTGGGTCTGGCACACACCTCTTAAGGCTACAGATGGCCGGCCATGATTCCTTGAATGCCTGCCTTACTCACTGCCTGTTTCTGAGCAAGGCAGCCCCAATGCTTCCTTATACATAGGCTGCACACTTTCCAAATGTGACCAATTCAATCAACCAAAGGAGCTATCTAGCATGTCCTGTGGACTACAAGGCTGTTGCCTAGCAAAGCATGAAATTTCTCCAGCTTATGTAATAAATACTGCACACCTGAAGTCTCTTAAGTTATGGCATTTAAGTAAGGAATTCACGTAAGTTCTTTTCCTAAAGCTTTTGACCATTATTTTACTTATCCTCATTGGCTATCACAGTCCTTAGCACTTAGAACTCAATGCACATATTTGCATTAATATGCATGTGTTGCCATAAGCCTCAAAATGTGCTGCATGATGCTTATGTCACCATTTCATTCACTTCAGCCTTGACCATCTATTTTATTCAAGGACGTGGTCTAAGGTACTGGCTCTTAGCCATTGAGGGTGCTTACCTATTATTAGCTTAATGGAGACTTACCAAAAAAATTACTGTATTTTTACCCACTTTTCTCCACCTTTCCAAGTCATCCCATATTTTTTTAGTGGTTTTAGCTAGTTTAGCATGATAACATCTTGATGCATAAGGAAGTGGAATCATCACCAGGCTGAATGGTAGACCCGGGTGAGCTTAACTTCAGATTGCAGGAAGAAATTGTGAGGTGTGTTCCAGTCTCTCAGACTGATCTTTAGGAGACTGGAGACAAAATATTCCAACAACAGGGATAGGCAAAGCTCAAGCTTTATGGCCTCATTGGTTTTAAAGGATTCCCCACAGTGACCCAGTCAGAATGGACTGAGAATCAAAGAGCTCACAGCTGTTTATTAGTCAGCACAATTTAGAGACAGACATGCTAACCAAGAGCTGTCTTTGTCATTTTGGGATGTTCACGGGCTGGAGTCCCAGTAGCCATCTCCTAAATCCTAAACCCTTCAGTTCTTCAGCCATTTTGCTGCTAGAAAGTGTGTAGCTGCTGCCTTTATCCAAGGAACTGATATCTTCCACACCTCTGAAACCTGGAAGACCTTCTCAAGGTACATAGGGAACTTCCTGGCATTGGGAATAGGATGGTTTCTTCTCTTATAGGGTTTTATGCACCAAAAAGAGAAATGCCACTTCTTCTCTTTCTTCCTGAACTTTTAAAAAAGTAGTCCTGCCAAGTCTCATCATTTCTCAAGCACCTGTCCTTGGTCCTCTGCTTTTCTCTCTATATAATCTCCCTAGACAACCTCATCCACCTTTCTAACTGCAAGGAAAAACGCTGTGTAGATTTCTCAAAATTCTGTTTCTCTGAATTGGTCTTCTCATAAACCTGCAGATCCCATGCTCTCATCTTGCTTGACATCTCCACCAGGGTGACATCAACACATTCGAACCTGAGGTCCTTCGCCCTCCGTGCACCTAAAGCAGCTGCCCTTTTCTTTCTTCTACAATCTCCGTCCTCCCAGTCACCTGGCACATTCTTAGACTCTGCTTCTTCTTGCCCTTCATAGCCCATGGGTGACCACCGTCTGACAATTTTGTATCTGTACTGCTTTTATTTATCAACTCTGCTCCCTTCTTATTGTTTCTATTCTAGTTCTTTATGTCCCATTACTTCCCACCTAGATGATTACACTAATTGCTTAATCTGCTCTTCTGATTGCCAAGGCCGTCTCTTCCATAAAAGATAATTCCAGACAAAAAGCTATTGTCTAGATTAATCTTTCTGTCCTAAGAATGTATCAGTTCTTGATCTAGATGCTTCTTACATTTATCACTAACCTTTGTATAAAGTATTATTTTATTCAACAAAGATTCATTGCTGAGCAGTCTGTGAGAAAAGCAATGGGGAGCAAAACAGATAAGATATCTACCCTCATGGCACTTATAGTCTCGTGGGATGACAAACATTAATCAACTAATCACAAATATCACAACTAAAATGTGCAACCCCAAATTGCAACACATACCTTGAAGGAAGACTGCAGAGTTGCTAGGAGAGCTCACAGGTTTCATCACTTTCCCAGAGGGAGGACTGTGTAGGATTCAGCCTTAGATCCTGAAAGTCTAGTCCAGAGCCCTGCACATGGAAGTACTGAATAAGTTGAAGGAACATATGCATCAAGAAAAAAAATTCAAAACAAACTAACAAAAAACACAAAAAATGAAAAAAGAATAAAACAAAGAAAAAAAGCCAAAAGAACATGTGCATCTACTTCTGACATATACATGTGTGATCTTTTCTGTACTACACAATACTGAATAAAACACACACCGGATGTTCCCTCAAATACTGACCTCAACACATAGCCACGTTAGCTGTTTGCTTTTGTTTCCATGACCACATGTCCATGGGGCATCTAATCTCTAAATACACCCTATTTTCTTTGCCAGCATGACAACATGTAGAAACTTGTTATCCTGGTAGCATTACCAAGAATAATTGTTGCTTTATGGTGAAAGTTTTTAGGCATGCTTTAATACTTTGCTGTTATCACCAACACAAACCCATCATCCCTCTTCCCTACAGTTTGGAATGTTTGCTGAAGATGTCAAACAACATTGTTTCTTTTGCCCCTTGGGAAACTGGTTCATCCTCCAGCTGTCCTTTGTGTCATTCGCCAGCTTCCTCTCCATTTCCAAAGCTGTTTGAGTATTACCTCTTCATCCTCATGCTCTTACCTTTTGTCTGTCACTCTTTCATCATTCTGCTATTATGATCACGTAATTTTTGGAGTCAGCTTTTCGCTGGAACACTGAGTGACACATATCACTTGGCTTATTTTATCTCTTTTTTTTTCTTTTTACAATACTATTAGATAATTTGTTTCAAGAAGCACTTTTGTGCATAGAATCTCAGGTCTGATTTGGGTGTGTGTGTTGTTTGTTTCCAGCTTTGAATGAACAAGGACTGGAAAAGATGAGCTTATTTGTCATGGTAGGAAAAGAAAAACTGCAAAAAAATACAATAAATTTCACCAACAGAGAATGTGTTATATAAATAAGGGAGCAACTACATGTTAAAAAATGCAGAGCCATGATCCTGAAGACAATTTAATGACCTGGAGATACAATGCAGTGTTAAATAAAAAGCAGTTTCACCCCAATATTTTAACATTATATAGTATATTTACATATATGTAGGGGAAAATGCTGGACAACCATACAAAAATGTGACTAGTGATTTTCTCTAGGTGATGGAATTTTATTTTCATATATATATATATATATATATATATACTTTTTTTTTTGAGAGAGGCAGACTTGCTCTGTCCCTCAGGCTGGAGTGCAGTGGTGCAATCTCAGCTCACTGTAATCTCTGACTCCCAGGTTCGAGTGATTCTCCTTCCTCAGCCTCCCAAGTAGCTGGAATTACAGGCGCGTGCCACCAGGCCTGGTTAATTTTTTTGTATTTTTAGTAGAGACAGGGTTTCACCATGTTGGTCAGGCTGGTTTCAAACTCCTGACCTCAGGTGATCCACCCACTTTGGCCCCCCAAAGCGCTGGGATTACAGGCATGAGCCACCACACCTGGCCTCTTCTATATATTTTTTAAAGGGAAGGGGATTCTATGCAGTTTGCGAGCAAAGCATATCCCTATTTATAGCCACAACTCTTGTCTCATAAATTTTATTGCTATTTCATCACTGCTCTTACCAATGAAATATGTGAGGAGCAGTACCAACATAGTACTCTTTCGTTCTCTTTATTATTATTTTAAATTCTCAAGTGCAAAAGTACGAGAAAGTCCAATTGTTTCAAGTGTAGAAGTCACAATGACCTCATCATTCTCACCGTAAAAAGCTATTTTATGTCTATGTCAAAAATAAATTACCTATTGTATTTACATCCTGTTTTTTAGGTGAAGGCAAATGTTGGCTCCCTGGCTAAGTGTCTTGATGAGATCTACCTATTAGTAATGGTAATCTTGGGTTTGTATGACAGTCAGCTCTAGGAAAAATGGAGAAATAGGGTCACTCTGTGTGTGTGTGTGTGTGTGTGTGTGTGCATTATGTGCACTTGTGCACTCACCTGTGCTCGTGTCATCCCTAGAGATTTGATTCTGGGGAAAACAAAGGGTGAATTTTGAGATAGTTGGTTTTTATTTTTCTCTGGAGATATATTTTGAACTTTTTGGGGGATACAAGTTTTGAGATATTTTCAAATAAATTAATACTTAAGATTAGATCCTAATGTATGTTACTAGAAGTTAACGCATTGTAAAATAGTTTCAGAAAGCTGTGCCATAAGAAAATTTTGTTCGAAAACTATTTGCAATTGTCAAAGCACAGCTCTTATCTTCTGAGAGCAAGCAAGACAATACTAATCTTCTTCAGCCTTCCTCTCAGAGTTCAAATAACCCGAGTTCTGTGACACTGATCTTAATCAAGACCTCTGGGCCTTAAATTACTTATCTAAAAAGAGAGAGCATTGAGTCAGATAATCACTGAGATCACCCACGATTCTTAAAAGAAAATGCATTTTTGCTTAGATCTGGAGTGAAAATCATTCCATTGTAAAAAGCTATTTTATGTCTATGTCAAAAATAAATTACCTATTGTATTTACATTCTGTTTGTTAGGTGAAGGCAAATGTTGGCTCCCTGGCTAAGTGTCTTGATTATATCTACCTATTCGTAATGGTAATCTTGGGTTTGTGTGAAAGTCAGCTCTAGGAAAAATGGAGAAATAGGGTCACTCTGTGTGTGTGTGTGTGTGTGTGCATTGTGTGTACTTGTGCACTCACCTGTGCTCATGTCATCCCTAGAGATTTGTAGAGTTGTAAAATAAAGAAGGAATTTGGTGCTTTCTTTATTGCATCCATTTATGATCTAAAGGTTCAGTAGGAAAATTTCCCATTTTCCAAGCTGCATTTCAAAAGGCTGGGTATGGAGTTAATAGTTGGTAGAAGCTTCTATTTAATTCATCCGAAAAATTTAGGAAGAACTTGTGAGATGGAAGAGGAAGGAGACTTATTCTGAGATGCTCCAGAGGGCAGACTTGGACCAGTGAATGCAAGTTACGGGGAAGAACATTTAGACTCAACTAGAGGAAGAGATTTCTAAAGTTTGAACTGCATAAAAGCAGAGCTTTTGCAAGAGGCACAACTCTTTGTCTCTGGATCGGCAGAGGAAGAGGGCAGCTCGTTTACTGGTGATGTTTGTAGAGGGTACCCATACATCAGACAGGAAGTCGTGTCAGACACCTCAATGTCCCCTCCTGGGCTGGGGTTCTTTGATGTGATATGACAATGTACTTTGGCAAATGGCAGAATACACAGTCTTTTCAGGTGTTTGGACAAAGAATGAGCCTAGTATTTTCACAACACAGGCTTTGCAGCTCTTATTTCTCTTTCCTGCTCCGATGGTGTCACCTTCTGTACTGGTGATGAAACTGGTTATGTTTGGAATAGGAGTCAAGTCAAGGTATAAATAACGCGAGAAAGAGATGGCAAAGATTGGTTTCATCCAATTTATTTGAAGGATCCAGCTGAGACCAGAACAGGGAATCCGCCTTGGAGACCATGAAAAAATGTTTTCATGGATAATCCAGGAAAATGGCGTCCTAGTTTCGGCATAAGACTGCACATACCTGTTGAACTGGAATTTGTACTTTCTTCTTCCCATTTAATGTGAAAGAAGAAAAGGAAACAGAATAAGCAAATGAGAAAGAAAAGAAACTTTATCCGAGGAATGCAAGCCTCCTGTAAATGATCAGGCCCAGAGAGGCAAGGGAATGAGGCAGCAGTCAGGCCCCACTTCTCCCCTGGAGCTAAGCTAATCATCTCTTGAATCTGCTTGCTCTAGACTGACTGTCGCCACAAGTAGCTGTAAATTAACCTAACAATGCCATGCACTGGACACCATAACTAATATCCTATAGTTCAAAAATATATAGCTAATTACTAATCATTGTCATTTCTGTTAACCAATGGGAATTCCTGACAACTTGTCTGCCTTGTTGCCTTTAAAAACCTGCTTGTAAGAAAGGTTGAATGAAGCTCATATCCAAAGTTACTTGGGTCTGAGTCTTTCAGGCAGCTGTCCTCATCTTGGCTCAAGTAAACGCTTTAAAATTATATTTTGTGCCTTAGCTTCTTCCATGAGGTTGCCACAAATAACAATTATCAGTAGAAAGATGACTAGAAGCATTTTAAAAATCCAACTGAGCAGTCAAAACAGGCACTAAAGGTCAGAGAAGTTATTTTTTTCTTGTAGTTTGTCTAAAAGAAAAATAAATTACCATCAGGAAACAAAAACAACAAAACGGGAGAAAATGCCATTCGCAGGAGAAGATTGCAGGTGAAATAGCACAGAGGTTGAAGTCACTGCTCAGGGCCAGACGGGTGGGAAGTTTCCTTGGCTCGTCCTTTATTTATTTATTTATTTATTTATTTATTTATTTATTTATTTATTTTTAAATTATACTTTTAAGTTCTAGGGTACATGTGCGCAACGTGCAGGTTTGTTACATATGTATCCATGTGCCATCTTGCTGTGCTGCACCCATTAACTCGTCATTTACATTAGGTATATCTCCTAATGCTATCCCTCCCCACTCCCCCAACCCCACGACAGGCCCCAGTGTGTGATGTTCCCCTTCCTGTGTCCACGTGTTCTCATTGTTCAATTCCCACCTATGAGTGAGAACATGCAGTGTTTGGTTTTCTGTCCTTGCGATAGTTTGCTCAGAATGATGGTTTCCAGCTTCATCCATGTCCCTAGAAAGGACATGAACTCATCGTTTTTTTATGGCTGCATAGTATTCCATGGTGTATATATGCCACATTTTCTTAATCCAGTCTATCATTGTTGGACATTTCGGTTGGTTCCAAGTGTTTGCTATTGTGAATAGTGCCGCGATAAATATACGTGTTCATGTGTCTTTAAAGCGACATGATTTATAATCCTTTTGGTATATACCCAGTAATGGGATGGCTGGGTCACATGGTATTTCTAGTTCTAGATCTTTGAGGAATCACCACACTGTCTTCCACAATGGTTGAACTAGTTTACAGTCCCACCAACAGTGTAAAAGTGTTCCTATTTCTCCACATCCTCTCCAGCATCTATTGTTTCCTGACGTTTTAATGATAGCCATTCTAACTGGTGTGAGATGGTATCTCACTGTGGTTTTGATTTGCATTTCTCCGATGGCCCATCACTTTCTTAATTGCAGGAGAGAATTCATCCATGATTTTGGACAGTGGCTCTTTTCTTTCCCCACAGCAAAGCTTTTCTACATTTACTATTCAGGACGTATACAGGCAACTGTAAGGTAACATAGGTCACTTCTCTCAATTCTATCTGATTACAAATCGGATCAGCATAACCTGGAGCACACAATTTAAGAAAAATGTCAAGCACAATTTTCCTATATTCAAACTTAATACATGTTAAAAGAAAATTTTGTTTACACAAAGTTTAACTTGTAATTTTGTAATCAAGATTCAAGAAATGTTCATGCACACTGTTTAGCCAAAAAAAAAAAAAAAAAAAAAAGGCAGGCAGGCACAGAGGCTCACACCTGTAATCCCAGCACTTCGGGAGGCCGAGGTGGGGCAGATCACTTGAGCCCAGGAGTTCAAGACCAGCCTGGGCAACATAGTGAAACTCTGCCTCTACCAAAACACACACACACACACACACACACACACACACACGTACACACAAAATTAGGCTGGTGTGGTCGTGTGTCTGTAGTTCCAGCTGCTCAGGAGGCTGAGGCAGGAGGATTGCTTGAGCCTAGGAGGTCGAAGCTGCAGTGAGCCATGATCATACCACTGCACTTCAGCCTGGGAAACAGAGGGAGACCCTGTCTCAAAAAAAGAAGACGAAAATCCTGCCATTTGTGACAACATGGATGAACCTGGAGGGTATTGTGTTCAGTGAAATAAGCCAGGTACAGAAAGACAAAAAACATGTGATCTCACTCATATGTGGAATCTAAAAAAGGAATTTAATCTAAATTCCTTTTGTTGCAATTTGGTGGTGGGGATATAGGTCAAAGAACACAAAATGTCAGATAGGAAGAATGCCTTCAAGAGATCTATGGTAAATATGATGACCATAGTTAATAACATCTTGTATTGTTGCAAAATGCTAAGTTAGTGCATGTTAAGTGCTCTCACCACAAAAATGATAGCTACGTGAGATAATGCATATGTTAATTAGCTAGATTTAGTCATTCTACTCTATATATACTACAGACAATTTTATCTGTCAATTAAAAAATGTTTAAAGAAATGTTCATGCAAAAGAGAAAGCTATTTAAAATGGAAACAAAAATGAACACTTTTTCTCAAGATTGCAATTTATACCTAAATGTACAAAGCCAAATAAATGTATGCACTCTGTATACCTTAGCTTCAGCTTTAAAGAAACTCTGCAATGGTTTGGGGTTCTAGAGTTTGATATCTCCAATTGTCATGTTTAAATGTCAGTAAAATTTAACAATAGAAATTATTTGGAATTATTCCAATATGTATTCATTCAGGATCCAGGAAATATTAGACAAAAAAGGGGAAAAAAATGAGGATTTGAAAAGGTATGTTATGTTTTTACTATTGACTAAGAAAAAAACTAGAAACAAACAAACAAAACACCTATTTGCTTCTCAGCAGATGAATTTTTAACGTTGCTGGCCAATTATTCTAAGGCAAGAGCAAAGTCAAGAGTTTCCTCAGGGTGGCCTTGTCTTTAGGAGAAAATAACAGATGGAATCACATCATGTTAATAAAGCAGTTATGTATGCATACAAAGTTTAAGGGATGTAAGGGATTTTCGAAATAATACGATGCAAATAAAAGAAACAAATGTTTACCCCTAAACTTCTGAAGATTCAGAATTGTATGACCCGGAATATAAAAACATCCATAATTGTACCACCTACAAACATCATTGTTAATATTTTGGTGCATTTCTTTTCTGTCTGTCTGTGTCAGTCAAAGTTGGGATTACATTGTATTCATTTTTACTTTAAATTGCATTTTTTGTGCAACATATCGTGTTGTTAAATAATCTACAAAACATTGATTTTTAACACTCTCATAATCTTTCATTTAAAAAGTATTTATAATGTGCCCTGTGGTGGACGAAATACAATGGAGCTTTAACTCATGTAATCCTCAGGAGATCCTGAGGAAGCATTAGTGTTATTATTGTTATGATCCCTATTGTTTCACAAATGGGGGAAACCGAGGTTAAGGGAGGTTAAGGAACTTGCCCCAAGCCAACAAAAAGCTGGGCTGTGACTTGAAATGATTTGCATCTAACTCTAATGCCAATATTCTTAATGATTATGGTAAACTTTCTCTATGTGAGAAATGTAAATGATTCAAATGAAATGTCAAAATCTTTTTTTTTTAACTTGTCAAGAGATCAAGTAACTTTTTTCAGGTGTACTGACTAAATCGCCATGACAGCTATGTGAATTGTATCTTTCCTTAGAGAGTAAATAATACTGTCTGTTTATCAAGGTCTTCAGTTTTCATTTGCACTTGTCTGATTTTTTAAAGGCCAATATATTTTGTCTATGCTTGGAGAATACGATAAGCCTACCTTAAAACTATGTAATGAAATCCAAATAACAATATATTTTGCTTCTTTTTCAGAATAGCATTATATGAATCATAAATTAAAATCATATAAAGTGTTGCTTTGTATATTGTCATTTACCATATGCCATATTATATTGTAATTCTCTCACTCTGTGTGTCCTCTCCCTTGTCTAAATTGTAAGCACCTTCAGTAATTATATCATTTATTGCATTTTCAGAGTCGAGTGCATCTTGTAAAATAGTTATTCAATATTTGCTTCCATCCAGCTACTTGGGTGGCTGAGGTGGGAAGATCTCTTGAAGTCAGGAGTTTGAGGCTATACTGTGCTATGATTGTGCCTGTCAATCGCCATTGCACTCCAGCCTGGGCAACATATCAAGATCCTGTCTCTTAAAAAAAAAAGAAAATTAAAAAAAAGTTGTTTGCAACGTACATAATGTTGTTCATGTTTCATGTATCAGTAACTAAATACAAATTACTTAAACACTAAACAATAGTCCTCTTAAATAAATTGGTCTTTATAGATAATATTGTCTCTGTGGCAGAGATAACGTTAAGTGATCAACAAACTAGGCTCAGTTACCTCTTGGGCACGCAGGAGACTACATAGCCCAGTCTCCTTTGTGTTTAAGTGGGACCACATCCATGTGACTTAGTTCTGGCCAATAGAATGTGGACAGAAATGATGCATGGCAAGTTCTAGTGCTCACTCTGTACAGCCTCCTCTATGTCATGATCTCTCTTTCTTGCTCTTTCATTCTCTGTCTCTCTTTGTCTGCTGAATACAGGTAGAATTAGTAAGGAAGAGAGACCCAAGAGATTCATGAATCTCCATGTAGAAGATCACAGTCTGAATTCTAAATGTGACTGTGATGTGAGCTATTGAGATTTAGGGGTTGTTAGTGATAGCCTCTAGCATCCTATTGTGTTTATCATGTATTGAGTTTCAGTTCTGCCTCAGGTACATACCAACACACCCTCTACTATCACATTCTCTTCCTTTCCCTCATACTGTTCTCTCAACCTGACATTTCCTCTTTCCATATTTTTATCTATTAAAACTGTACTTATGACAGAGTTCAAATGCCCCTTACATAAAGCTTTGTTTCATATCACAGGCAAAATAATCTTGCTCCACTGTAACCCATCACAGAATTTTCTTCCCTTATTCCACATCCATAGTCGAGTGCTGGTCACCATCATATCCCTAATGCCCAATGGTTGGCATTTACAATATTTATCCAACAAATGAATGAATTGGTGCATTTCATTTCTCTCACAGGTTTGATACATTCCCTGTGTGTAGGATCATGTCTCATTCATCTTTATACTTCCCAGTGACAAGCACAGAACTTGGAACATAGTAGATACTCAAAAAATGTTTGTGGAATTGCTAAAGTATTATTAATGATGATTGAGAGAGGTGCATTTTTTAAATATAAATGTTCACAGTTTTATAATTCTTCAAGTATTTAATAACTTTCACAGCGGGAAAATTTGTCATTAAATTTAATCTAAATTCCTTTTGTTGCAATTTCAAGTTTTTAATGATTTTTGTTACCTTCAGTCACAGCACTTCTGAGTAGGAAGAGGCTCAGTTCTCAGAAGTTATTTCTGTCTTGACTGATATATTTACAGAAGGGGTGGTAATGATTCAACTGCTCTAAATCAATACTGCTGAATTATTTCAGGAAAGACAGGGTTTTTGGACACTTATCCCTCCGTATATTCTTTTTCCCTTATGGTTTCTATAATTAGTCACAAATCTATGCTTGTATGAAGGTGAAAAATTGAATATCATTATTTAGGGAGAAGTGAGGGAGATGGCAATTGGTGACGCCTACTCTATTGCTGAAGGCTCAGTAAGTAGTACTATAAATAGAAAACAAACTAGGCCAGGCACAGTGGCTCATGCTTGTAATCCCAGCACTTTGGGAGCCAAAGAAAGAGGATCACTTGAGCCAAGAGTTTCAATCCAGCCTGGGCAACATAGTGAAACCCTGCTTCTACCAAAAAATTTAAAAATTAGCTGGGGTGGTGGCCTGTGCTTGTAGCCCCAGCTACTCAGGAGGCTGAGGTGGGAGGATCACTTTAGCCCAGGAGTTCGAGGTTGCTGTGAGGTATGACAGCACCACTGCATTCCAGCCTAGTGACAGAGTAAAACCTGGTCTCAAAAATGAAATAAATAAAATATTTATTTCCCAATTATAAAATCAAGAAATGTATATCATATGAGCAAAATGGTAAAAATTGCATGGAATTAATTATCAAGGATTTGTAATTATCCAAAGTATAAACACAAGCTTCTGATTTCAGAAAATACATCTAAGCATTGAAAAAGCCCACCATGGTTGTTATTGCACTGAAATGGCCTCCAGCCATACCCTGAAATGCAAAAATATATGTTTATTGCTAACTATTATAAAGCCAGCAAAATAAGATTTTATAGTTTAACTGTACAGCTAATACCCAAATATATTTTTGTAAAAATTCAAACAACAGGGAAGATGTACAAAAGAAAGGGCCCTTTTGACAACCTCCTTCTCCCCTCACTTGCACTTTCCTTCCCAGAATTAGCCTCTTTTAAGGGTGTTTTATTCCTCTAGATTTCTGTGCAATTGCAAAACAACTATATCCTTATACAAATAGGATAAAAAGTAGCTTTTATTTAAATATCACTGAAATACTTTGGATATTTGTTCCCCTCCAAATCTCATGTTGACATGTAATCCCCAGTGTTGGAGGTGGGGACTAGTGGGAGATGTCTGGATCATGGGGGTGGGTCCCTCATGAATGGCTTATCACCTTAGTGATGAGTGAGTTCACGCAAGATCTGGTTTAAAGTATCTGGCATCTCCCACTCTCTCTCTCTTACTCCTGCTCTGGCCATGTGACATGCCTGCTCCTGCTTCACCTTCCGCCACTAGTAAAAGCTTCCTGAGGGCTCCCCAGAAGCCAAGCAGATGTCAGCACCATGCTTTCTGTAAAGCCTGCAGAACTGTGAGCCAATTAAAGGCTTTTCTTTGTTAATTATCCAGTCTCAGGTATTTCTAGCAATGCAAGAACAGTCGAATATCGTTGCTTGCTCATTTCACTTCCCCAATTTCATAGAGCTGGATATCTTTTTCTTACTGATTTGTAAGGTCTTTTTATTAATTCTAAACCCTCCTTTTTTTGCTATAAATGTTGCTAAATTTTCTCCCAGCTATGAGACTTCTAAATTTTGTTTCTCTTTTGTCATCTAAAAGTTTTCACTTTTTAGGGAGTCAAGGCTATTAATCTTTTTTATACAATGACTTCTGGGGTTCATATTTTGTTTTTGAAATCTTTCTCCTTCGTATGATTATAAAAACGCTTGCCTATATTTTTGTGTAATGGCTTTGTTCTTTATTTATTTTTGCTGTGGTGAGAGATAAGGATCATGTCATAAATGCAGTATGTCTCAATGACCATTCTGACCTTCCAGACTTCCATAGAACCAGGGTTTAGGGATGCGAGTCTCATTCTACCAATCAGAGGTTCTCACAAGAGACTGTGATTTGAACTGAGTTATTTTGAGAGAAAGAAAGGGCATGGGGCATTCACTTTGCAGGTTTGGGTCATGGTGGAAGTAGCAAGGTCTGAAATCAACAACTATGGTGGCCGCTTCTCATCAGGCAGATGGATTCCTGTTTTGGCATCTTCCTGAGAAGTGGTGTGGTTCTGGTCACTGCTGTGGTAGAAACGTCTGATTTTTGCAGCTTCCCCTTTTGTAGTATATGCACCAGTTCCTCGGGCTGTTTAGTTCTGTGGTTTGGTTTTGCTGGTCATTCCTTAAAATAAACACTGGAATCTTTTTCTTCACGAATTCCCTGCAAGGATTGTGTACTCCACGTACCCTCTAATATGTTCCATTTACCTTAAACTAGTTTGAAGGAATTTTATTTTTTGAAACTATGAACCTTGACCAAAACAACATATGACATTCCGTTTTTGCCCCGAATCTATTTCAACATCATTTATTGTACAACCTTTTCCCTACTTAAAGGCCTCTTTTCATAAGTCTTCATAATTATATTTGAAGGATCAATTTCTGTATTTTAATGTATTTTATTGATGTGTTTATCTACTTTTGTACTGATTCCACACAGGTTTGTTTTGTTTTGTTTTGTTTTGAGACAGAGTTTCGCTCTTGTTGCCAAGGCTGAAGTGTAATGGCCCCATCTTGGCTCACTGCAACCTCCGCCTCTCAGGTTCAAGCGATTCTCCTGCCTCAGCCTCCTGAGTAGCTGGGATTACAGGCGCGTGCCACCATGCTCGGATAATTTTTTTTTTTTTTTTTTTTTGTATTTTTAGTACAGATGGGGTTTCTCCATGTTGCTCAGGCTGGTCTCGAACTCCCAACCTCAGGTGATCTGCCTGCCTCGGCCTCCCAAAGTGCTGGGATTACAGGAGTGAGCCACTGCGCCCGGCCGATTCCACACAGTTTTAACTGCTATTTTTTTGTGTTTTATATGATGGCTTACTATGAGTAGGGATGTTTCTTTCCATTGATTTGCTTGTTCAGAATTTCTTCAGCTAGTCATGAACATTTTCCTTCCCAAATAAACTTCAGAATTATTTGGCTGAGTTGCATAAAATGTACCATCAACATTATGATTTCCTTTACATTAAATGTAGAGTTTAATTTGGTAAGATGCTTTAAAACTGTGGTTTTCAAACCTTTTGGTGTCAAGACCCCTTTATATTCTTGAAAATTAATAAAGACGTTAGAGAGCTCTTGCTTATGTGGGATATATCAGTTAATATTTATCATGTCAGAAATTAAAACTGATAAAATTTAGAAATATTTATTAACTCCTAAATATAACGATAAAATGTATTGTATGTTTATTAGGAAAATAACTATATTTCCCAAAACAAAAGTATTAGTGAGAAGATTATTTTACATTTTTGCAAATCTCTTCAATGTTTAGCTTGGTAGAAGAGACCCGGATTCCCATATTGGTTCAGCAATCAATCTGCTGTGATATGTTGTTTTGATTGAAGTATATGAAAAAATCAGCCTTACACAGGTATGGAATTGGAAAAGGAAAGAGTGTTTTAATAGCCATTTCAGATAAGTGTGGATATTTTTCTTTGCTACTGCACCACAACTTGATAAGTAGTATTTTCATAGAGGTTAGCTAAAATGTTGAATCTGAAAATTTGTCAATGAAATTTTTTTACTTGGATACTTTAAAAGCCATTGATCTGTCTTGTTCTTTTAATTAGATCTTTTATTCATGCATTTTGTAACATGATTCACTGATCATCTGGCAAACATTGGTTCACTGAGTTATGGTGATCTTCCAGATATTAACACATCTTATTATACGAAATCAAGATAGCACATTCATTAATATTACCACTGATCTGATTAGAAAAGTCTTCAATCATTGAAAAGCTGACAAGCTCATTATGATAAATCCAAGTTACCCAAAATTTTAAGTTTCATTTAAAAGCTTAAATTATTATTATTATTATTATTATTTTATTATTAGAGATGGGATCTCACTACTTTACTCAGGGTGGTCTTGAACTCCTGGCCTCAAGTGATGCTCCTGCCTCAGCTTCCGGAGTAGCTGGGATTACAGATGTGACCCCCCCCACCTGACAAAAGTTTAAATCTTCTCATTAGCAATAAACACGGTCAGTTGTTTTCTTTGAAGCAACAGGCCCGCTTCATTCCCTTTTTTTTTTGTTTGTTTATTGAGACGTACTCTCGCTCTGTCGCCCAGGCTGGAGTGCAGTGGAGCGATCTTGGCTCAGCGCAAGCTCCGCCTCCCGGGTTCGCGGCATTCTCCTGCCTCAGCCTCCCGAGTAGCTGGGACTACAAGGCGCCCGCCATCACGCGCGGCTATTTTTTTTTGGTATTTTTAGTAGAGACGGGGTTTCACCGTGTTAGCCACGATGATCTCCATCTCCTAACCTCGTGATCCACCCGCCTCGGTCTCCCAAAGGACTGGGATTACAGGTGTGAGCCACCGCGCCCGACCACTTCTTTCCCTTTTTTTTAAAGAAAATGTCTGCCCAATAGCGAAGAGTTTTCTGTTATTTGTTCTTTCAAGTAAAAACAGTATTCCATGAAAAAAAAGAGAATACATTACCCGAAAAAAAAAATTTTGTTTAAACTTTAAGTTGATAGAGCTTTTTGAAGGTCAGAATTGAGAATAAGGAAGGGTGGACCTGAATTACATTTACTTCATTACTGATTTCTCCATTTCATAGTTCACACCCGGGGGCTTATCATGATGGACTGAATAATCCATTTATTCAGAAAAGGTCTTCAAGCAGTGGAAAGCGGACAAGCTCGCTAAGGTAAATTCAAGTTATCTAAAATGTTAAGTTTCGCTGAAAAGCTTGAATTTTGATTTGACTATTTTACTTTATTTGATGTTTTTTCCTGAAAAATACATATCGAGCCCCTCCCATGGACTGAACCCTGTTCTTAGTCCTGGGTATGACTACACGAAGTTGCAACCCTTACATTTTGATGAGGTTGAGAGGTGACAACGTGCTAGCAGCCCTCACTCGCTCTCGGCGCCTCCTCGGCCTCGGTGTCCACTCTGGCCGCGCTTGAGGAGCCCTTCAGCCCGCCACTGCGCTGTGTGGGCCCCACTTTGGGCTGGCCCAGGCCGGAGCCGGCTCCTGCTTGCGGGGAGGTGTGGAGGGAGAGGCGCGGGAGGGAACTGGGGCTGCGCGCGGCGCTCGAGGGCCAGCGCGAGTTCCGGGTAGGCGCGGGCTCGGCAGGTCCCGCACTCGGAGCGGCCGGCCGGCACTGCCGGCCCCGGGCAGTGAGGGGCTTAGCACCCGGGCCAGCAGCTGCGGAGGGTGCGCCGGGTCCCCCAGCACTGCCGGCCCGCCCGCGCCGCTCTCGAGTTCTCGCCCGGCCTCAGCCGCCTCCCTGCGGGGCAGGGCTCGGGACCTGCAGCCCGCCATGCCCGAGCTTCCCGCCGGCCTGACCCCCCAACCTAAGTAGGACAGCAAGCAACATGACCACTGGGGCAGAAACCTTTCTAGGCAGAGTGAACAGCAAGTGTTCTAGAAGCAGGCGTGTTCTAGCAGGTTTCAGGAAATGAAAGAAGGCTACGGTGGCCACTGAAAAAGAGCAAAGAGAGTAGAAGCAGAGCCTGCTGTCAATCAAGTCTGCTAAGGACTTGAGATCTTTTTCTCAGCAAGATGGCACGCTGTTTGAGGAGGGCCGTGAACAGGGCGGTGACCAGCGAGGACTGTGTGTAACAGGGTGACTCTGGCTGTTGTGTGGTTAAGTAGGGGAGGGCAATGAATGAGTCCTGAGGCCTGGCGCTCAGGATCCTTTCCAGCCTCTTTCTAGAGTGCTCCGCAGTCCTGCAGAGACCAGAAAGGGAAAACCACATGCCCTGGATTCCTGTGTAGCTGGGGTTCTGGATGGGACGGATGTAGGTTCCACCAATCAGAAGCACTCACAGGAGATTTAGGAAGGTCAGTTCTCCCACCTCAGCTTTCTGAGTAGCTGGGACTACAGGTGCACGCCACCAGGCCCAGCTAATTTTTGTATTTTCAGTAGAGATGGGGTTTTGCCATGTTGGCCAGGCTGGTCTCGAACACCTGACCTCAAGTCATCTGTCCACCTTGGCCTCCCAAAGTACTGGGATTACAGGCATGAACTACCATGCCCGGTATTATTTTAAAAATTCCGTAAACATTTACTTCCCCTCCTAATGTCTCTTCTCAGTGGCCAGCCTGTTGTTCCTCCCTGCATGATTCCTCACACAGCCTCTTCTTCCCCTGCAGATTTGCCTCTACTCTTCTAATCCTTTCTATTTCCCTCAGCCTTTCTTAAGCAGGGCAGTTCAGCTCTAGCATCTCTAATATGTAATATGTTCCACCCCATCTCAAGATCAGCAAACAGACCCTCAGGTGACCAGAATTTATGCTCCCTAGGTAACATTTGAGGGTCTTTAAAGGACAAAGACATTTTTCTTATATCATTCAACAAGTTAGTAAGACTATTTACCTTTATGGATATTTGAAGGATTCAGTGAGATATCAAATGTGATCTGCCTGGCTTAGTGCCTAACACATAGTATGTGATTAATAAAAATCAGGCCTTTAAAAAATATATAGACAGGGTCTTACTCTGTCACTCAAGCTGGAGTGCAGTGGTGTGATCCTAGCTCACTGCAACTTTGAACTCCCACCTTAACCTCCCCAGTAGCTGGGACTACAGGTACGTGCCACTACACCTGGTTAATTTTTTTATTTTTTTGTAGAGATGGGGTCTCACTATGTTATCCAGGTTGTGCTTGAACTCCTAGCCTCAAGTGATCCTCCCTCCTCGGCCTCCCAAAGTGCTGGGATTACAGGCGTGATCCACTGCACCTGGCCAGAAATCGGTTCTTGCTCTTCCTGACCTTCAGTTCTCATTTATTACGATTTCTGATTTTATCTTTCTTTTGTTTTAATATCATGGAAAACAGCTAATTCACAATTGGAAATCATTCCCAAGGAAGCAAAGTTTGGCTCCTGCTGGTGTTCCCTGCCCTGTCGGCACATGGACAGGCACATATTAGGGTTCAGTGCATGCTGGTTGACAAGGACCAGCAAGTGAGTTGTGATTATTTAAATTGGTTGTCTTGGGAGCCAAACACAGGGGACTATGCTGATGTATCAAAGCACAATCAAAAAGATCTAAAAGTCTCCTTTGTTGTATTTTCATGCCTATCTCACTGTCCTTATCAGCCAGTTCCCCCAGAATAACTAAGAGATTAAAAAGCTTAAACTTAATTTTCTTGCTTAAACTCAATGTTCCAAGAGCCTTCCAACCTGACAGCAGTAAAATATTTAAGTCTATTGGTCTATGGTTCCAGGAATTTCAGAGAGATGCTTGTGTCAAATGATTTCCAGCAAGGACATATTAAATTGCCTTTATCTCATCTGTCTGTGAGGATCTTGAAATGGAAGCTGTTTATTGGAGGGGTGCAGCCAGACGGTCAGAGCCTTTTTTGAAGTCCTCATCATCCAGCTCTTAGTTTATGACATTTGAAGTACTTACTTGCTGACAGAGATGGAAGTTAGCTATTGATTCAAATGATTGGCAGTACTTAGCAGGACTAGGTACATGTAACTCAGACACTGGAATGGATTTTTAAATTAACCTCACTACTGGATCTGCTATTCAGCCCCCAGATCTGGGAAAACACTCGTTTCAGAATCAAATGCTAAGATTTCATTTTAAAGCTGCACCTACCTATTACAGTTCCAATTTGGAAATTTTGCCTTGCTAAATCATATTCACCCATCACTCTGCATATGTCTGCCAGCCACCAAATTATCCCAAATATTGCTCCCTTCCTTTAGTTCAGATCTGTCTCCACACTCACTTTGTTTTTTTTTTTGTTTGTTTGTTTGTTTGTTTGTTTGTTTTTAGAATCTCCCTGTTTCACCCAGGCTGGAGTGCAGTGGCGCCATCTTGGCTCACTGCAACTTCTGCCTGCCAGGTTCAAGCGATTCTCCCGCCTCAGCCTCCCAAGTAGCTGGGATTACAGGCACACACCACCATACCCAGCTAATTTTTGTATTTCTAGTAGAGACGGGTTTTCACTATGTTGGCCAGGCTGGTCTCGAACTCCTGACCTCAAGTGATCCACCTGCCTCAGCCTCCCAAAATGCTGGGATTACAGGCATGAGCCACCGTGCCAGGCCTTCCACACTCCCTTTCGAGATAGACCTTCTGCCTTATTCAATTTCCTAGCCGCCATAATGCACGTGCCTTACCTGTGGCAGAAAGAATTCAACAAATATTTAAGCATAAAGAAGAAATTAAATATGAGATCCAAAATTTGTAGTCCACTGAAGTTGTGTGCAACTTTGGAATACGATTCTTGCATTTAGGTTTCAACATCCCAGGAAGCCGACTGAAGCTGTTTGTGGAAGAATACCCTGATTACTCCTCCCCCCAAATCTGTCTTCTCATAGGAAAGCAAAGTGGCCTCAGAGAATGCTTCACTAGATTATAAATATGGCCCTGTGTTTAGGGCTATCTATCCCACCTCCTAATCATCACTGTACCAAATATAACATGCTCCTCTGAGTCCAGGGTCCAGAAGTTTGGACCAAGGGCCATGGTCTGATTGTATTTTCTCAGTAAGGAAATTCTCAACCCAGTCAACATGTTCTACAGCCCATAAATCAAACTCCGCATTCACAAACAGGCCCACCAGGATATAGCAATGTAGGAGCCATAGAATCAGAATTGTGAAGAGACACAGACATCTAGGATATTATATTGCAATCCACTGTCATTAAAAAGTCGGATTAGGCCAGGCGTAACTTTAATTGTATGGATTGATAGTAATGATGGCTAAGAAATCCTCTTAACTGAGCTGGGTTTCTCTTCCCCTTCCTTCCCTTCCTTTCCTTCCTTTCCTTCCTTCCTTCCTTCCTTCCTTCCTTCCTTCCTTCCTTCCTTCCTCCCTCCCTCCCTCCCTCCCTCCTTCCTTCCTTCCTTTTTAAATCTGTAGAAAGAAACAAATAAAACTATTACTATGCCGTGCTTGGGAGCCGTATGCATTCGTCGGATCATAGCCTTCTTGTTATTGTGATGCAATTTTTTAATGAGCAAATGACATAGTATTCCTGGTGGATTCCTCTGACCAAGATTTCTATTAAGTTAATAGAAGAGATTAAATCAAGGTAATTGAAAAGATTTGTACTCTCTCTAATGCAATCACTCATTTTTAAATCTAATTACAGTGACGAGTGCTGGGCTTGAGTCACCCTTCTCTGACAGGGAGATTTTAGTGCTAGGCAGGTCCCACCCCTGAGGAAGGCTGAAATATCAGTGGTGTTTTCAGACTTTGATTTCAGTAAAATAGATGCAGTGGAAGCAGGTTAGCACCTTTAGGTGTTCATTGGTGGTAACTACTAAAGAGATCATGGAAGAGGGAGAATCTTTCCTGCCCTCTCCTCATACATTCTGCAAATGGATAGGCTGACATAAAGAGAGTTCCCAGCTGAAAAATTAGAAATATTGCATAAATAACCATACCATCCAGGCTAGCGGGAACATTTCAGAAAGGACGGCCTTGTGTTTGAGGTGGATGATGGGGTTTGGAGGAAGAAGGGAAGGGCTGCCCTCTGACAGGGATGGGAGGTGGCCTGGAGTGGGAGAGCCTCTCCATTGCACATCCACCTGTTCAAAAATTCTACTTGACTTGTCTCCTCTTTCTCTTTCTATCGGTTGGAAATTAGTTTGCATGGAAACATTTGAAATGCAGATAGCTTTGGGAGTCTGTAATCGCTGCTATATCCGTGGAACTTATTCTAATCACTTTAATTTCTCAATGCGATGGGGCATTCGAGGCAGGGAGAGGTAGTGGAAGGTAGTCTAACTGTATGTTTCTCATCGTTCATGTAGATACTAAATTTTTCATTCAAAAAATCAATAAATGGATATATTAAGTTGTACAATTTACTACCAAAAACACTGTCAAATAGAAACTGGAGAAAGTGCTGCCTTCGGGGGAATGGAACAAGATGAGGAGATTCTAAACTTTCCCTTTTAGAAGCTTCTAAATGGCTTGATTTCCTTTTCCTTCTGTCACATACAGGTATCACTTTAATGAAAACAAAAGAACTAGTTTAAAATAGTTTTAAAAGTTCACTCTTGTTAAGAAGTGGAATTGCTGTGTTAAAGGGGTATGTGCCTTTAAACATTTTTAAAATCCTGCTCAATGACCAGCAAAAAATGACTATAATAACATTACTCCTACCAATACTGTAAGAAAGTTCTTATTCCACATCATCAATGTAAGATGTTTTCAATTTTTAAATTGCCACTTTTCAGGTCAAAAAAATGTTGTTCTGTATATATTTCATTGTATACATTTTCCTTAAATATTTGATGATGATTGATTATTTTTTAGCCTGGTTAGTGAATTTAGTATTTTTTTTAACCCTAGCTTATCTGCAGAATTTGCTAAGAAAGTATGGGTTGTGCTGCTGGGTCTCAAAGCCAGTAGCTGGACTCCTGGACATGAGGACTGATGATTCTGTAGTGTATTGGTTGGTGCAATTGGGGAGACAGGAAGTGGCCACCTGGCCTAGATGCTCTTTTTGCTGTGCCCCAACTGTTATGTTTATGGTTGCCTCCCTCTCTCTCCTGCTCTCCAATCACCACCTCTAAGCTCAAGGTGCATTGCAACCCAACTCCCACTCCCGTGCTCTGTTACTTATGTTTTAGGCTATGATCCGCCAGTCAAACATTTCATCTCTTTTAGGCATTTTCCATAACTTCTGTTCAATTGAGACCATACAGTCTTATTTACTGGCATATTAAAAATACGTACTTAATGTTATTTCTAGGGAATTAGATGCAGTGGGTGTATGAGTCCATTTTGCATTGCTATAAAGAAGTACTTGAGGCTGGGTAATTGATAAAGAAAAGATGCTCACCATTCTGTCGGCTGTAAAAGCACGGCACCAGCATCTGCTCGGCTTCTTGTGAGGCCTCAGGAAGCTTTTACTCATGGTTGAAGGTGAATGCAGAGCAGGTATATCACATGGTGAGAGGGGGAGTGAGAGAGAGAGAGAGAGAGAGAGAGAGAGAGAGGAGGAGTTACCAAGCCCTTTTTAACAATCAGATCTTGCAGTGACTGATAGAGCAAGAACTCGCTCATTACCACCATGGGGAGCACACCAAGCCATTCCTGAGCAGTCCGCTCCCATGACCCAAACACTTCCCACTAGGCCCACCTCCAACATTGGCGGTCACATTTCAACACGAGATTTGGAGGGGACGAAACATCCAAACTATGTTAGAGGGATAGGTTGCTCAGTCTACCATCTTTCTCTAACCTCCTGGTGGTACAATGCCATCCCATCAGGGGTGCATTTGAAATAGACAGATAGATGGGTAAACGCATGTTGATTTCAAACCATTCCAGTCATGATCTACTCAATGATTGTCTACTCAAAGCTGAGGACAAAGTGGGAATTGAAAACTAAGTGGCCCACAGAATGAGCTTCTGGCTGTGCTCAGTGTGAGTTTAGGGTTTTAAGATGTGTACTTTTTGGGGTACAATGTGACCTCTGAATGCAAGCCAACCACTTCATCTGGTGCTTAGCTGAAGAAACAATGACCTGTTCCAACATGGAGGAACAGCTATGCTGGAATTACACAATTACCATAGGTCACTCTTCAATATGGTGGCTTCCTACAGAGTTCTCAATGGTAGTTTTGACTATAGGATATTTCACCTTTACACACTGGCTTTAGAACCCACCCTCCACCCACAACATGAAAGGCATAACTCTATTGTATGAGCATGATCATTTTGAAAATTTGAAAAATAATAAATTATTTGAGAAAAGCATCTAGTCAAGATCACTGTAGAAGAAAATTTTGCTCTGAGGGCAAGATACATAGAGAAATGAGATAGGAAGTGATTTGGGAGCATGAAAACAGTAAGTCAGAGAGCAGTGGCAGGTGGAAACTGACAACTCAGGAAAGGAGTTGAGGTTCCCACCTGCAACCTAATGGGAGTCCCACCAGACATGAGCTAGGGTAACCCACAACTCCGAAATTGACCAAATAGGACTTTGGGGCTTGGTCTGAAAACCATATTACAATCTTTTAAATTTAATTTTGTTTTTATTTTTTGTAGATAGGAGGTTTGGCTGTGTTGCCTAGGCTGGTCTCATACTCCTGGCCTCATGAAATTCAACTTCCTTGCCCTCCCAAAGCACTGGGATTATAAGCATGAGCCACCACACTCAGCCCATATTATAATCTTTCATGTTATATTTATTGAAAAATATATTCTAAGTTCTAGCAACCGTCTTTAGTTAGTCAAAGTATTGGCTATTTGTGTTTTTGTTTCCAGATTCCCGTCAGCAATTTAATATTGATTTTTGCCATCTGTCACTTAGCTGTGTCTCTCAGATTTGTTTCAACTATGAAATTGCTACAGATGTACTTATCTAAATCATAGATAAAAATGTTAAACAAGGCAGAACAAAGATGTGAACTGTGTGATGCTTTGCAAGAGGGCACTCCACCCCCTGTCATTTATAACCTTTAGAATTTTTTGGAATGAAAGGATTTTTCAGAACACTGAATGCAACATACATATTGCTGAGACACAAAGACCTAGAAAGTGGGTTGACTGGTTCAGTGTCACACAACTAGTTATCCATTTATTAAGAAATCCTTGTGTGTGTATTTTGTTTAATCTCTTACATGAACTGCCTTTTGGTGGAAAAGCCTAGATACTCTGCAACACCAAGGCCAGGGCTGTTTTCCACTGATTCCTTTGATAATGCAGAATTAATCATCACTGTTGAATAGAGTTGTTTATGTAGTTCTCAAAGCCCTGACATGGTTTGGCACTGTATCCCCACCCAAATCTCATCTTGTAGCTCCCATAATTCCCATGAGTTGTGGGAGGGACCAGGTGGAAGATAAATGAATCATGGGGGAAAGTCTTTCCCACCCTGTTTTTGTAATAGTGAATAAGTCTCACGAGATCTGATCATTTCATAAAGAGGAGTTCCCCTGCATGAGCTCTCTCTCTTTGCCTGCTGCCATCTGTGAAAGATGTGACTTGCTTCTCTTTGCCTTCCACCATGATTGTGAGGCCTCCCCAGCCATGTGAAACTTTAAGTCCAATAAACCTCTATTTTTGGTAAATTGCCCAGTCTTGGGTATGTCTTTATCAGCAGTGTGAAAGTGGACTAATATAGCCCTTGTGTCACTTTCATCTATATGTAAGGATATCATGGAATATTCTATGAAATATTTTGTTAATATTAAGATAAATTTGTCTGTACCCTTCTCCTGCCCTAATAAGTAAATGATTATATGGACTTAACTTGACATTGCTTGGATATTAATGAATTTGTTTTTCACTCCATCCTCGTCCTATTCCATTCTGTTATTCATTAAATTGAGGAAATCTTATCCATTGTGATTTCCAGAAATATATCCTCAGCCGCTATATTTCCTCAGAGGTTCAAACTTTTCTCTTCCTATCTGTACTACAGACTTGGTAGAGTTTGAATGTGTTTTCCCTCTGATCTCACATTGAATTATAAATCCCCAGTGTTGGTGGTGGGGCCTGGTGGGAGGTGATTAGATCATTGGGGCAGACTTCTCCTGAATGGTTTAGCACCATCCTCTTGGTGCTGCCCTTGTGAGAGGGATTTCATGAGATCTGGATTTTTGTTTTTTGTTTTTGTTTTTGTTTTGAGTCAGGGTCTTGCTCTCTCACCCAAGCTGGAGTTCAGTGGAGTACATGGCTCACTGCAGCCTCAAACTCCCAGGTTCAAGTGATACTCCCACCTCAGCCTCTACAGTAGCTGGGACTACAGGTGTGCACCATCAGTCCTGGCTAATTTTTATATTTATTGTAGAGATGCGGTTTTACCATGTTGCTCAGGCTGGTCTCAAACTCCTGGCCTCAAGTGATCTGTCTGCCTTGGCCTCCCAAAGTGCTGGAATTACAGACGTAACCCACTGCACCTGGCCAGATATAGTCTTTTCTGCTTTCTCTGTGGGAAGTGCCTGTTCGTACTTCACCTTCCACCGTGAGTAAAAGCTTCCTGAGGCCTCCCCAGAAGCAGATGCCAGCATTATGCTTCCTCTACAACCTGCAGAACCATGAGCAAATTAAACTTCTTTTCTCATAAATTACCTGGTCTCAGGTATTTCTTTATAGCATTGTAAGAATGGCCTAACACAAGACCTCAAGCTCAACACATGAAAAACTAATTATCTTCCCTTTGCCAATCCCACTTCTAGATCTTATTTCTGCTATGGTATCACCAAATTTTTTTGACCCAATTTTTTAGGCTAAAAACCTGTTTCAATTGCCGACTTTACCTATTTGCTCATCAAGTTGTATCAATTCTATCTCCAAGAAATTGTAATTTAGATGCTAATTTTATCTCATTTTGATAGCCACAGTAGATTTTAAATTGATTTCCATGTTCCCATGGCTCCACCCTCCATTGCCCTCTCCAGAATGTTCTTTCTACAACATCAACTCAGTTTTTGCTAAACTGGGCACCTCTAAAACCTCTAAAAATTTTGAAATATGCTAAAAGTTTTTCCATTAAAAAAAAAAAAAAGATAGGCAGACTTTTAAGAAGGATCTCCAAGATTCCTGAACCCTGGTTTCTCAATCAAATACTAATCTACTTACTGCTGTGAAGGGATTTTGCAGATGTGATTTAAGTCTCAAATCCATTGGCTTTAAGATTGAAAGATTATCCTGGTGGACCTGACCAAATCACATGAATGCTTTGCAAGCAAAGTTTTCCTCATTGGTCAGAGAAGGAAGGACAGAGACATATGTTCTGGTCAGCCCAGAACGTAAACCTCCATACTGCGAAAGGGGCCTCTAAGAGGTGAAATCAACCCCCAGCTGACAGCCAGCAAGTAGATCGAGATTTCAGTTCTACAATATCAAATAACTGATTTCCGGCACTATTCACAATAGAAAAGATTTGGCATCTGCCTAAGTGTCCATCAAGGCGTGAATAGATAAAGAAAATACAATACAGCCGGGCTCTGTGGCTTACGCCTGTAATCCCAGCACTTTGGGAGGCTGAGGCAGGCAGATCACCTGAGGGAGGGGGTTGGAGACCAGCCTGACCAACATGGAGAAACTCCGTCTCTACTAAAAATACAAAATTAGCCAGGCGTGGTGGCACATGCCTGTAATCCCAGCTACTTGGGAGGCTGAGGCAGGAGAATCGCTTGAACCCGGGAGGCAGAGGTTGTGGTGAGCTGAGATAGTGCCATTGCACTCCAGCCTGGGCAACAAGAGTGAAACTGCAGAAAAAAAAAAAAAAGGAAAAAGAAAGAAAGAGAGAGAGAGAGAAAGAAAGAAAGAAAGAAAGGAAAGAGTGATATATATGTATTCTTACTTATAAGTGAGAACTAAACATTGAGCACACAAGGACATAAGCATTGGAATAATAGACATTGTGGACTACTAGAGGGAGGAGAGAGGGAGCAGTGATAATAAGGTGATGTCATCTAAAATAAAAGAAAGAAAATGTAAGTATATATATAGTGTGGTATATATATATATATACACACACGTACATATATATACAGTGTGTGTGTGAGTATATATATATATACATATATACATATTATCTTAAGTGAAACAACTCAAAAACAGATAGTCAAATACCGAATGTTCTCACTTAGAAGCTAAACAGTGTATACACAAGGATATCCGGTGTGGAATAGAGACTGGAGACTTGGAAGGGTGGGATGGGGTGAGGGATGAGAAATTACCTAGTAGGTACAATGTACATTATTCAGATGATGGCTACACTAAAATCGCAGACTTCACCACTGTGCAACATATCATGTAACAAAGCTGCACTTGTACCCCTTAAATTTATACAATTAAAAAAAGAGAATGGGCTTGGTGGTGAATTTTCCCCCAGAGCCTCGGAACAGGAACTCCCCTTGGCCCACACCTTGATTTTAACTTCGTGAGAATCTGAGCTGAGAAACCCATGATGCTGTGGCAGACTTCTGATCTGCAGAACTGTGAGCTACTAAGAGAGCTTTTTTTTTTGACAGAGTCTTGCTCTGTCACCCAGGCTGGAGTGCATTGGTACAATCACAGCTCACTGCAGCCTCGACCTCCTGGGCTCAATTGATCCTCCAGCCTCAGCCTCCTGAGTAGCTGGGACTACAGGCATGCACCACCACACCTGGCTAAATCTTTTTTGTATTTTTTGTAGAGATGGGGTTTCACCATGTTGCCCAGGCTAGTCTCAATATCCAGGGGTCAAGTGATCCTCCAGCCTCAGCCTCCTGAGTAGGTGGGACTACAGGCATGCACCGCCACACTTGGCTAAATCTCTTTTGTATTTTTTGTAGAGATGAGGTTTCACCATGTTGCCCAGGGTAGTCTCAAAATCCAGGGGTCAAGTGATCCTCCAGCCTAAACCTCCCAAAGTGCTGGGATTACAGGCATGAGCCACCGTGCCCAGCCACAGGCTTTATTTTAAGCCGCTAAACACGTGGTCATTTGTTACACACAAATAAAAGACTAATAACTACATTTTGTACATACTGAGTTAAGCTTAACACATTTCTTTATTTCAAAAATTCTCAAACGTATATCGATGCTCATTAATGTTCTTATGAGTTTCCGAGAAGGCAATCCATAATGACATGTTTCCTAAACCATACTGACCAGAGCACTGGGAAGGGACACTGTCCTACAAACACCATTTTGGGAAACTTCCTATAGAATCATTCTCCTTCCCTTAATTTAATACCTGTGATGTCTTTCTATCATTTGCCCAATAATATTCAAATATCTTAATTTGGCTTTTGGGGACCTGCACACTCTAGTCTAGTCCCAGCCTACATTTCTAGCTTTGGCCCCTCTCATTTTCCCACATCCAACTGGGCTCGCCCTTCTAGACCAAGTTGTATCAGTTGAAACTTCTCTGACTTTACCCATCTCATTTTTTGAGACACATTCAAATATCACTTTTGTGATAAGTACCCCACACTCCCAGGCGGATAATGTTTGCCGTGCTTTTAAAGCTTCCCTTATGCTTTGCATATAGAGCCCTTATGTTCATGTCGTGTTGTATAATAGTTACAGTTCACCTCCTCCTACCCAACTGTGAGCTCCTTCGGGGAAGAGACTCTATTGCACTCATCTCGGCATCCTTCATGACGGACACGGACATGAGGCTTAATTATCTGTCCCTGGATATATTCCTTTTTCTCTTATAACAATTGAGGTAACATTAACTTGTCTTTAATCATCTACCTCTTTTTTTCCCCTTGAATTAAATTTTCAAGGTTTTTTTTTTTCTTTTCCAGTGGTGACCAACTAGGAGAAGTGGGTAAAGTAGAGAAATGGAGAGTGAGGAATATTGAGGCAATCTTAGGGAATAAGAATGAGGGAAAGATCAACGTGTGAAAAAGTTTCTTTTTTTTTTTTTTTTTTTTTTTGAGACAGAGTTTTGCTCTGTTGCCCAGGCTGGAGTGCCATGGTGCCATCTCGGCTCACTGCAACCTCCGCCTTCTGGGTTCAGGGTTCAAGCGATCCTTTTGCCTCAGCCTCCTGAGTAGCTGGGATTACAGGCACCCATTACTGCACCCAGCTCATTTTTGCATTTTTAGTAAGATGAGGTTTTTCCATGTCAGCCAGGCTGGTCTTGAACTCCTGACCTCAGTTGATCCACCTGCGTAGGCCTCCCAAACTGCTGGGATTACAGGCATGAGCCACCACACCCAGCCTGAAAAAGAGTTTCTGAAACTGAAAATCTAACTACTCTTGTCCCTTTCAGAAGTGCGTCCCCCTTGAGCATTGTTCTCTCTTTCACACCCCAACTTTGCTGCCTGTTTTCTTTTTGTCTCTCGCTTCACAGGGGCCATGCATAACTCTTGACTGTATTTCAGGCTCAGCCCATCCCCACTGCCTGTTCTACACTTAGCCACCTGAGAGTGTTTCACATGTTCTGTGTAAGAATCAGTGCCTTTCTGATATTCAGTGTCAAAGCCATGTCAAGCAAACAGAAAGGGTGCACTATTAAAATAATCCTCTTCCTCCCTTGTTTTTCGATTTTGAAGACTTATTTTAAATGCTTCTATCTAACGTAGAAGCTGATGATGCTGACCACACCTCGCTTGACTTTTCTACATGCCCGGCTGCCTTTGCAGTTAAGCTGGCTATAAGTCTGCCCATTAGAATCTGGGGAGAAGTAACGAAAGTTGCTTTAAGTCTTGGTCTATAAGAGATCCCATACACTCCTTCTATCCTCTCTTCCCCTGCCACAGTGGCCTTGGAGGCCCTGTGTTCCAGAGAGCATGGTGGCTCACGCCTGTAATCCCAGCACTTTGGGAGTCCAAGGCAGGCAGATTCCTGAAGTCAGGAGTTCGAGACCAGCCTGGCCAACATAGTGAAACCCTGTGTCTACCAAAAATACAAAAATTAGCTGGGTGTGGTGGCACATGCCTGTAATCTCAGCTACTTGGGAGGCTGAGGCAGAAGAATCGCTTGAGCCCAGGAGGTGGAGGTTGCAGTGAGCCAAGATCATGCCACTGCACTCCAGCCTGGGTGACAGAGCGAGACTCTGACTCAAAAAAATAAATAAAATAAAATAAAATGAAATAAAAATAAAATAAATGAGAGCCAACTGATCTAAATGACTTTGTGCAAAGCTATTACTGATTTAACACCACCAAAATTTGGCAGGGGGTGGTGGCTCACACCTATAATCCCAGTGCTTTGGGAGGCTAAGATGGGAGGATTCACTTGAGGCCAGGACTTTGAGATAAGCCTGGCAACACAGGGAGATCCCTTCTCTACAAAAAAAAAAAAAAAAAAAAATTTAAAATCAGCCTGGCATGGTGGCATGTGTCTATAGTCTCAGCTACTTGGGAGGCTGAGACAAGAGGATCACTTGAGTCCAAGAATTCTAGGCTGCAGTGAGCTATGGTTGCACCACTGCACTCCAGCCTGGGTGACAGAGTGAGACCCTGTCTCTTAAAGAAGTAAAGCTGCTGAAATTTCAGGGTTTTGTCATTCATATAGCAGAGCCAAGCCACTTTGAGCTTAGCCTGACTTATACATTGAAGTAAATGTACACTTATACTTCAAAATTGTCCAAAAGAATTCACTGGTTGCAAATAAAAAAAGTAAAAATAGAAGATTACTTGGAAAGAAGTCATTCAAGAATCTCTGCAATTTTTTTTTCAAGTGAAGCTTTGTTGTTAAAATTTAAATGCTAAACAAATGCTGTAGACGCTCCAGATTACAATTAAAGCATCGGAAGGAAATAGATTTCCCACGCACAGATATAAATTTATCCAAGAACTAGGTTGTACCCCTTCCAGTATTCTTTCAAAACTCTTAATTATAGAGATTACTAGCTCAAGGAACAGGAGGTTAAACATCTGCTTCCTCAAATGAAGCCAAAAGCCTGAAACAAATTGGCTGAATCATACTTAAAGGAAAGAATGAGAGGCTAAAATTAAACGTCTCCACCAGCATCTCATGCTTCTTCTGATGAAATAGTGTTATACATCAAGTACTTAATGGAGAGGGGCACAGTTAGGTGGTAGGGGCACCTTTGAGAGAAGCCTTCATGAATCAGTTTATTCTGTTTCTCTCTTCACATACACAGTCTGATCATTTCGCCATCTTTTGTGAACAGCTTATAGTAGTTTCAGACCTGAACCCTTGTCTGGCTCTCGTCCTTTGAGAGCCTTGCACCAGAGACGGCTTTTTCTACACTGCGATTAAAGAGATGGGGAATGCACTTCGTCCTTGGTTCCTTCTCTCTCTGGCCTTCCTTGATCTGGTACCTGAAATGTCCGTATTTATTACTTTGGTAAAAAAAGTTAAAGGTTTTTGATTCTTTCTTCCTTTCTTTCTTTCTTTCTTTCTTTCTTTCTTTCTTTCTTTCTTTCTTTCTTTCTCTCTCTCTCTCTGTCTCTCTCTCTCTGTCTCTCTTTCTTTCTTTCATTCTTTCTTTCTTTTCTTCTTCTTTCTTAGATGGAGTCTTGCTCTGTCAACCGGGCTGTAGTGCAGTGACATGGTCTTGGCTCACTGCAACCTCCACCTCCTGGGTTGAAGTGATTCTCGTGCCTGAGCCTCCCAATTAGCTGGGATTACAGACAGTCGCCACCACGCTTGACTAATTTTTGTATTTTTGCAGAGAGAGGGTTTTACCATTTTGGCCAGGCTGGTCTTAAACTCCTGACCTCAAATGATCCACCTGCCTCAGCCTTCTAAAGTGCTGGGATTACAGTGTGAGCCACTGAGATTGGCCTATGATTTTTGAAAGCTATGATGAGAATGTATGTATCACTGCCTGTGAGTTACACATCACAGGAGATTTCCACCCATCTGGACTGGTACCTGAAACAGAAAGCTAAACAGGAATGCTAGAAACAAGGGAGGGAGGACAGAGAGAGGATGGAAAGAACAGGAGGGAGGAAGGATGAAGGATGAGGATGATAAAGTCAAATTCTTGCCTTTCGCAGTCCTACCCTGGGATTCGGAGTGTGATGGTGAAGTGCTGCCTGTCCCAGAGAAGGGCCACAGAGCTGTCTCCTCAATGTTGAGTCGTGCTTTCCTTTGACACACCTATAGGTTTGATTTTCATCATGGAATCTCAGAAATACCCCAGACGCAAAGGGCTGGGATTACAGGAGTGAGCCACTGTGTCTGGCAAAAGACTACATATTATACTCACAGGCTCAAGAGATAGGAGGTATGGCAGGTCATGAAGGGTCATGTGGGGAAGCCTCAGGGTGGTCAGGAGGTAGAACACAGGAGCAGGGCGAACGTGGAGGCTACAGCCTTATTAGACTTCTGCGGGAAAGTCAAGGCAGGGAGGGGAAACAATTTACGACTGGCTAATTGGAAAAATTTCAGCAGCTCTAGGCTATAGGTTATAGGGGTGGTCCTAATTTCCTGGTACTTCTCCTGGGATGATTAAGGCAGAGGAGTGCCACCTCCTGAGCTGGAGGGGTTGGATGGAGGAGGGTGGTGGCTCTGGATTGGTTAGTTTGAATAATATGGGCGTGCTCTTCCTGGCTGACCTTTGCTGTCTCTAAGAACTGACTAGCTCTGGGAAGGGCAGTGTCTCCCCAGCCAGAAAGGTTTTTAAGATGTCAACACATCCTAATATACTGAAAATAAAAAAGCATAGAAGCAACACAAAATCAAACAATACAGAAGCCTAAAAATGAAGCATGAACAATCTTATCCACACCCTCCCCAACGCCCATGTGCAATTCCATCTCATCTGAAGTTAAGTTGGCACTTGAATGTGTATTCTTGTGCATATGCTCTGTGCAAACACAGGTGCACAAACATGTTATACCCAAATATAGGTTTTTAAAATAAAAATGAGTTCACACCCTGTACATCTCTCTGCTTCTTACTTTTCACTTGAGTTGGTTTCATGAACAGCCCTTAACACTGATGCAAGGAGATATAACTTTACTTTTAATCGATGCTTATAGTTTATAGGGTGGATATCCTAATTTATCCAACCATTGTCTCTTTGCAGACATATAGGCTATTTTCAGGTTTGTTTCTTTTAAAAAATAATTACACATAAGCTTCCATAAATACCTGTGGTCATAAATCCTCATATTCTCATGCCTCCCTTTTCCAGTGGGATTGTTGCATCAAGAATGCATTGTAAATGTTGATTGATAGAGGAGATCGTGACAGATTTCTTCTCCAGAATGTTTTAGCAATTGAACCTGAGATCAGCAATGTGTGGAAGTGCCAATTTTTAAATTTTTTATATTTTTTAGAAGGGGATCTAGCTCTGTCACCCAAACTGGAATGCAGTGGTACAATCATGGCTCACTGCAGGCTCCAACTTATGGGCTCAAAGGATCCTCCTGCTTCGGCCTCTGAAGTAGCTGGGACTAAAGGCACGTGCCATCATGCCCAGCTAATTAAATAAATTTTTTTTTAGAGACAGGGTCTCACTGTATTGTTCAGGCTGGTGTTGAACTCCTGGTTTCAAGTGATCTACCCACCTTGGCCTCCCAAAGTGCTGGGATTATAGGCAGGAGCCACCATGCCTGGTTCTGAAAGTGTCAATTTTATTAGTTTTACCATATCCTGGTTATCACTGGTTGTTATAATGTTTTAATGTTTACAAATCTGATGCATGATCATTTATAATTTTTCTAATTTACGTTTTCCCAACTACTAATAACACTGAGCATCTCAGGCAAAAAAATAAATAAAACAAAAACAAACAAAACAAAAAAAACAAAAAAACTTTTCTCCTTAATTATAGCTTATAAGACCTATGAGAACCATATTTTTCTTTTCTTTTTTATTTTTTTTTAGAAGGAGTCTCACTCTGTTGCCCAGGCTGGAGTGCAGTGGTGTGATCTCAGCTCACTGTAACCTCCATCTCCTGGGTTCAAGTGATTCTCCTGCCTCAGACTCCCGAGTAGCTGAGACTACAGGTGCGTGCCATCACACCAGCCTAATTTTTGTATTTTTAGTCGAGATGGGGTTTCACATGTTGGCCAGGCTGGTATTGAACTCCTGGCCTCTGGTGATCCACCTGCCTCGGCCTCCCAAAGTGTTGGGATTACAGGTGTGAGCTGCTATGCCTGGCCAAGAACCATATTTTTTCTCTTTATTTATTATTTATAAGAGGCCGAGAGAAAAATGAAGTTTATTTGCCTTGAGGAAGCTGCATGTGTTACTGCACAGCACACGTAAGTGCAGATGCTTGCTTTTGCCTGACATGCCTGTGTTATATAGATTCCGTCTTCCTGGAATAAGATGAAATAAAACTGGCTATTTCCAAATTCATTTGATCCAGGCTGTGTACAGGATATTTCAAAAATTCTGTTTGTTATTTTCCCATCTTGGAAGATAATGAAAAGACAACAGCTATCGGTTTCTTCCTTCTGACTATTGTAATTTATTTTCTTTGAGGAATTAACATTACATTGAATCTGTTTTGCTATTGACTATAGTTTGGTTTACAGCATGCCATAATTTTGTTCTATCTTTGAGACCTGATGACACCAGCGGTCTGTGATTCTTGGAATTGTTAAACCTTGTCTCATTACAGAGTATGAATCAGGGAACAGTAAAATTAAGCCCTGGTTTCTCGGAGTGAGTCTAATGGCAAATAAACCTGTGAGGGCTAATCCCTTAGTTTCTGATATAGTGGACTTAGGGGGGATATTAACCAGGTGGTAGCAGCCCTCTTTTAATAGTCAGGAATAGTGCCCGAGATCCGTTTAAGGTGGTGGGTTGTGGGTGGAGGATGCTTAAGTGGTTGTGAGGCAGGAGACCGGCAGGATTTGTTTTCCAGCAGTGACCCTGCTGACCAGAACAGGTTGTGGTTGAAACATGGTGCAATGAAAAAGGCAGATGGCTACAAAAGTGACCTCTAGTTGTCCTCCCTGCTCATTAGCATAATGAGCTACACTCCCACTAGCAACATGACAGTATACAAATGCCATGACAATGACTCAGAAGTTATCACCCCTTTTCTAGAGATTTCTGAGTATCCCCCCTTAATTCGCATGTAATCAAAAGTAGGTATAAATACAGCAAGCTACAGCCCACTGGTGCTGACTCTGCGCGCACTGCCTATGGGTTAACTCTGCTTTACGAAGAACAGCATTGGTTCAATAATAGATGCTTTCTGTCACCACCAGCTTGCCCTTGAATTCTTTCTTGGGAGAAGTCAACAACCTTCCTAAGGCTAAGTTCTAATTTGAGTGCTCCCCTGCCTTGAATCTGTTGTTATCAGCCAGGGCTCTCCAGAGAAAGAGAATCCAATAGGATATCTATCTATCTATCTATCTATCTATCTATCTATCTATTGTGAGTTTTGTTTTAAACAACCTGCTCATATGATTGAGGAGCTGGTGAGTCTAAAATCTGTAGGTCAGCCTAGCAGCCTAGAATTTGAGGCAAGTGTCAATATTGTAGTCTTGAATCCAAAGGCTGGAAATTTGAGCAGAATTTCTATGTTGCAGACTAGAGGGAGAACTCCCTGTTTCTTTCTTAGAAACCTCAGTCTTTGTTCTTAAGGCTTTCAACTAATTGGATGAGACCCACTCACATTGTATAGGGTAATCTGCTTTACTTAAAGTCAGCTAATGATAATTGTTAATCACGTCTAAAAAATACTTTTACAGCGACATCTAGGCTAATGTTTGACCAAACAACTGGGCACCATATTCTAACCAAGTAGACACATAAAATTAACCACAATAGCAGAATGTAGTTTATTTGCTTCATGTGAGTTCAAATGATCCAGCTGCTATGCATTTCTCTGTTGACCAAGCAACTTAAAATGGAGTCTTGTTATAGTCACGCTATCATCCAAGAAGGATCCCTGATATCCCAATCATTTTCAGCACATGTATTCCCATGAAGAAACATTGCTGAGACCATGAGCATAACATGCTTCAGGAAGGGAGCAGGAAAATATGTGGAGAATGCATAAGTCTCTCATTCTCCAACCTTCCTTCTTTTTCTCCTCTGGCCACTTAACCCAATAAGTTGACGTCCTTTTTTTTTAAGTGTCTGGTGTTAAGAGAGCTCAGTTGAAATGAAATAATTCATTTCCTCTTGGCACAATTCTTCTGGCTGATGGAAAAAGGCATTTTGGAACATATGAACAAATTTTAAGTAGAATTTGCATCTGATTGTTGGCCTTTGCATTGATATTGATTAAATACGTTGAATAATTTTTAAATGTCCATTTCTCTTTCACGTGTATCATTTAAAAATAATTTATTAAGGTAAAATTCACATAACAAAATTAATCATTTTTAGTGAGCAATTCATTGATATTTAGTGCATTCAAAATGTTGTGAAGCGCCACCTATGTCTAGTTTCAAAACATTTTTGTCGAGAATGGCGTGAACCCGGGAGGCGGAGCTTGCAGTGAGCCGAGATCCCGCCACTGCACTCCAGCCTGGGCGACAGAGCGAGACTCCGTCTCAAAAAAAAAAAAAAAAAAAACCATTTTTGTCTCTCCAAAGTCAAACTCTTGCCTACTAAGCAGTTTCTCCCCCTTTCCCCTGGCAACCACCCATCTGTGTTGTCTCTGTATGGATTTATCTATTTTGGACCTTCCATATAAATGAAATCACACAGTACGTGGTATTTTGTGTCTAGCTTCTTTCACTTAGTATAATGTTTTGGATGTTCATTCACATTGTAGCATATATCAGTACTGCATTTTTTCCATAGATGAATAATATTGCATTTTCTGTGTATACTACAATTTGTTTATCTCTTGTCTGCCGATGAACATTTCTGCTGTCTCCACATTTTGGCCATTGTGAATAGTGCTGCTATGAACAGGACCTGCTAGGTTCTTTTGGTTCTTAATGCAAGGCTCTTTTATCTACCCAGGACACATCTATGCTTAGAGAAAATAGAAAACCTCCTCTTCCGAATCTAGCCATTTTATGTGAGTTAGATTAAAATGAACATAGAAGCTAATCTATGGTAAATGCAACCTAGAACATAAAGTTTAGTAAAGAAGACAGCTGGAAGTGTCCTAAACACACAGTAAGCACTCTGACTGGTAAGCTGGTACAGATTGCATTTCATATCCAGACAGCAACCATTACTAGCAGTCTTTCTGTCTCAATTTGGCATGAACCCCTCGAAATTCAAAGCCCAGAGAAATGGAAGTTTCCTAATTCTGCAATCACTTCCCCTTGAATCAGTGTAAGCCCAGTAAACATATCTTTTTTTTTGGAAAATAGTCAGTAACAATCACAACCAGGAAGGAAAACCCATTGGAAAAAATAAATTGAAGATAAATATTTTCTAATTATCTACACATTTCTCACTATTGTGAGACCTCAGTTTGAGAAATCTTTACAGGTAGTTGAAAACGATAACAGACCTGCTTTGGACCTTACTCTTTTTCTTAGCACTGATTGCAAAACACAAAAACCTCCTGCAAAAGTGGAACATGTTGTCAAGCCGTACCGAATACAACTTCCTTGCATTTCCAAATAATGCTGTTTTGCAGAAGAAATTAAGTTGCATGGTTTTTGTTTCTTAGCTAAGTAACAATATGCGTGAACGTGACATAAAACCTAGCTTCTGGAGAATAAATGCAAATGAACACCAAATCTTTCTGTGAAACCAATGCTAGAATATTATTCATACTTTAGTAAACTTTAGTCCTAAAATCCATCAAATTTCACGAGAACCAATTACTAGAGGGAAACCTGGGAAACAAAGGTTAATAAAACAAAACAAAAACAATAACAATAACATTATTTATAATACAGTTCTTTAACATTGTGAGAATATTTATTTTCAAAATGGCTATTTTACCAGCATGGCAGAAACAACTTTTCAAGTCTTAAGGAACATTTTATTATAAACACTTAGTAGCCATCATAGAGTGAAGAAATTGAAGATAGAGTGAAATCAAATCAAAGGTGAAATTATCAACGTGACTTACACGAAGTTCACATATTTGCATTAACCCAAGTATATGGAAAATCAGTATCTGCTGACCTTGAGTTTGGAAATGACCAATAATGTATATTTAAAAACTGAGGACACGGAGAAAAATATTTGCAATAATAAACATATTCCTATTATAAAAAAAGGAAAGAAAAAGAAAAAAAAAACAGTGTCTTCTATGGAAAAGGTGCTTTCCCATAGAAAAGCACTTATTGTATAAATCGTTATTTTAATTTTAAAAGTGAAATTGCTTATTAATTATTCATCCCTTCATCAAACAATTTTGAGTACCTCCAATGGGCTAGGCAATATTTTTTATTTTTATTTTTAATTTTTGAGACAGGGTCTTGCTCTGTCACCCAGGTTGAAGTGCAGTGTCGTGATCATAGCTCAGTAATGCATTTCTTCCACAGCTGAATAAAACTGCATTTTCATGTACAAATTGCATTTCATATCCAGACAGCAACCATTACTAGCAGCCTTTCTGTCTCAGCTTTGCACGAAACCCCTCAAAATTCAAAGCACAGGGAAACAGAAGTTTCCTAATTCTGAAATCACTTCCCAAATTTTCTTTTTAGTTCATATTTTTAATTGACTCAAAGTACAAAGATCCCCCCAGGAGGCCCTGGAGGAGGGGAACAGCCTTGGAGAGGCAGAGATTCACTGCAGCAGCCCACCCCCACCTGCTACCCACTCCCCCACAAGAGTCCCAAACTCTTTAATCCTAAAAAACTGGATGAGAGTGCAGGCAGATAAGGGCTCCTTCATCTTCACACAGGTGACAAGCCACCCTGCCCTGTCCTGCCCAAGGCCCTGGCCCTCCCCACCCAAGTCAGGCTCCCAGCCCAGACCCTGACCCTGGCAAGGCAGGGGACAGCAATCTGCTCCTACAGGAGTTGGGGCCGCCATCCCCTCAATCCCTTGGGTTGAATTGATTCTCCACTTCAGCCTCTTGAGTTCCTGGGACTACAGGCATGTGCCACTGGGTCCAGCTAATTTTTATGTCTTTTTTTTTGTAGTAGAGACAGGCTTTCACCATGTTGTTCAGGCTGATCTCAAACTCCTGGGCTCAAGCCATCTGCTCCCCTTGGCCTCCCAAAGTGTTGGGATTATAGGCGTGAGCCACTGTGCCCAATCGGGCCAGGCACTTTTAGAAACTTGGAGAACATTAGTGAACAAAACAAATAATCACAGCTCTCATGGCCTGTATGTTGTAGAGGGTGGTGGGTGGCAGACACAATAAACAATAATAAATAAGTTATATAGGATGTCCAAAGGTGATAGACGCTTTGGAAGAAGAAGAGCAGACTGGAAGAGATCGGAAGGGGGAAGCGGTGGGAAGTGAGGGCTAATTGCATTTTATTTATTTATTTATTTATTTATTTATTTATTTACTAGAGATGGGGTCTTGCTATGTTGCGCAAGCTGGACTTGAACTCCTGGGCTCAAGCTCTCCTCCCTTCTCAGCCTCCCAAATAGCTGGGACTCCAGGCCTGCACCACCACACCTGGCTTAGGCTGCATTTAAATGCAGTAGCCAGCAGAAGCAGCAGAGCCGATACTGGAGCTAAGATTTGAAGGCAAATGCCAGCCTCGCGGGTACCTGGGGGAGTAATCCCAGTGAAAGGAAAAGCAAGCACTGAAGGCAGAGGAGAAAAGATCTGAGCGGCAATGAAGTGCAGTCCATATCCCGGAGTGTCTTTGGCTTTCTCCAAGGGAAATTCGGAGACCTTCAAGGGGTTTGAGCAGACGAATGATGTGATCTGACTTTAAAACATTATATATACTTAAGATGTACAACAGGTTTTGATACACATATACATATTGAAATGATTACTATAGTCAAGCAAATTAACATAAGCATCTCCTTACATAGCTATCATTTGTGTGCATGTAGTGAGAGAGTTTGAAATCCATTCTCTTTGCAAATTTCCAGTATGCAGTTCAGAATTATTAACTGTGGCCATTACACTGTTCATCAACTGTCTAGATGTATTCATCTTACGTAAATGCAATTTCTACCCTCTGACCAACACCTCCCCATTTCCCCCATTCCCCAGACCCTGGAAACCACCATTCTACTCTCCTCTTCCATGTATTCATCTTTTAAAAATTCCACATGTAAGTGAGCTCATGCAGTGTTTTTCTTTCTGTGTCTGGCTTGTCTCAGCATAATGTCTTCCAGCTTCATCTATGTTGTTGCAAATGGCAAGCTCTCCATTTTTAAGGCTGAATAATATTCCATTGTACAGAATATATATACTGTATAATATGGTATATACACATGTATGGTATATACATATGTGTGGTACATACATAGATCTTTTACATTTTCTTTCTTCATTCATCCATCAACAGACCCTTAGGTTGTTCCCATTATCTTGACCCATGCTGTAGTAAACATGGGAGCACAGATCTCTTTGAGGTGTTGATTTTATTTCGTTTGGATATATCACCCAGAAGCAGGATTACTAGGTCATATGGTAGTCTTTTTTTTTTTTTTTTTTTTTTTTGAGACAGGGTCTTGTTATGTTGCTGAAGATGGAGTGTGGTGACAAAATCACAGCTCACTGCAGCCTCAAACTCCTGGGCCTAAGTAATCCTCCTGCCTCAGCCTCCTGGGATTACAGGCACATGCTGCCATGCCTGGTTAATTCTTCTTTTAGAGATGGGGTCTTGCTATGTTGTCCAGTCTGGACTTGAACTCCTGGCCTCAAGCAGTCCTCCTGCCTTGGCCTCCTAAAGTGCTGGGATTCTAAGCATGAGCCACTGGACTTGGCCAGTAGTTCTATTTTTAAGTTTTTGACTTTCCTTTCAGAAAGGATCACTCTGGAGACTGCAGTATATAGAAGGCAAGGACAGAATCCAGGTGACCAACTGACGAGCGGCTGACATTCTCCAGGGGAGAGATGAGGTGGCTCAGAGCAATACAAAACCGCAGGCTGGTGCGGGAGTGCTCAGATCCTGCAAGGATCACTAAGGCCCATGGTTGCCCTCCTGCTTCAACATTAAAAAATTGAGACCAGACAGAATACGTCAGTTCTGCACAACTGTTAAAGAAACTCATCTTGAAAGCTAAATGTAACAAAAAAAAATTACTTACAACTTGTTTTTAGTAAGAATTTGCTCTTCTGAAATTTTTTTATTTATATTTATATTTATTTATTTATTTATTTATTTATTTATTTATTTATTTATTTATTTATTTTTGAGACGGAGTCTCGCTCTGTCGCCCAGGCTGGAATGCAGTGGCACAATCTCCATTCACTGCAACCTCCACCTCCTAGGTTAAAGTGATTCTCCTGCTTCAGCCTCCAGAGTAGCTGGGATTACAGGTGTGTGCCAACATGCTGAGCTAATTTTTGTATTTTTAGTAGAGACGGGGTTTTGCCATGTTGTCCAGGCTGGTCTTGAACTCCTGACCTCAAGTGATCCACCTGCCTTGGCCTCCACCTGCTCTTCTGAAAAACTGATACTATTCTGATAATGCAGTTGTCCTAAGGAAGACCAGTTTTTATTTCAGAAATTATTATTTTTTTGTATTCATGCGTCTGAATTAGTTATGTACCTATTAACGTGAAGACATAGTCTATATCTAAAAAATACTCTGGAACAACCTAGACTTCATAATTGATTTTTTGGACAGTTTGACTATTCATATTGATCATATTCACCATATATTTGTCAACTTTTTTCTTCATTTCATACTATTTATTTGCTTATGTATTTATTTAGAGACAGGATCTTGCTCTGTCGCCCAGGCTGGAGTGAAGTAGTGTGATCATAGCTCACTGCAGAAGAATCAAGTGATCCTCCTGCTTCAGCCACTCCAATAGCTGGGACTAGAGACACATGCCACCACACTGAGCACTTTGAGAGGCCAAGGAGGGGTGAATAATTTGAGCCCAGGAGTGAGAGACCAGACTGGGCAACATGGCAAGACTTTGTCTCTAAAAAAATACAAAAATTAGCCAGGTGTGGTGACATATGCCTATAGTCCCAGCTATGGGGAGGCTGAGGTGGGAGGACTGCTTGAGCCCAGGAGGTCAAGGCTACAATGAGTCATGATCACACCACTGCATTCCAGCCTGGGTGACAGAGTGAAACCATGTCTCAAAAAGAAGAAAAATATTTTTTTTGTAGAGACGGGGTCTTGCTCTGCCACCCAGGCTGGTCTCAAACTCCTGGCCTCAAGCAATCCTCCTACTTTGGCCATCTCATACTATTTAGAAACCACCATAGTTAGAAAGGTGAAGATCCTTTTTTATTATTTATTTGAAGAACAAAACGACTGTTATAGAAATGTTTTACTTTAAAATATTTACTCATCAACAACGCCAGAGCCACAAAATCATGAAATTTACAATGAAAAATTATGGTTTTTCAATTCTGTAGTTCTCTTATCATTTTATTTTCTAACATATTTGCCTCTGGCCTACCCAATCTATTAGGTTGGTGCAAAAGTAATTGTGGCTTTTGCATTAAAAGTAATTTAAAGTAACAGGAAAAACCACAATTACTTTTGCACCAACCTAATAGTTTACAAGTGTTTGACAAAAACCATATGATTTTCTCAATAGATGCAGAAAAGCCTTCAATAAAATTCAACATCCCCTCATGCTTAAAAACTCTCAATAAACTAGGTATTGATGGAACATATCTCAAAATAATAAGAGCTATTTATGACAAACCCATAGCCAATGTCATACTGAATAGGCAAAAGCTGGAAGCATTCCCTTTGAAAACTGGCACAAGACAAGGATGCCCTCTCTCACCACTCCTATTCAACATAGTACTGGAAGTTCTGGCCAGGGCAATCAGGCAAGAGAAAGAAATAAGGGCTATTCAAATAGGAAGAGAGGAAGTCAAATTGTCTCTGTTTGCAGATGACATAACTGTGTATTTGCAAAACCCCATGGTCTCAGCCCAAAAACGCCTTAAACTGATAAGCAACTTCAGCAAATTCTCAGGATACACAATCAATGTGCAAAATCCACAAGCGTTCCTATACACCAACAGTAGACAAGCAGATAGCCAAATCATGAGTGAACTCCCATTCACAATTACTACAAAGAGAATAAAATACCTAGGAATACAACTTACAAGGGACATGAAGGACCTCTTCAAAGTGAACTTCAAACCACTGCTCAAGGAAATAAGAGAGGACACAAACAAATGTAAAAACATTCCATGCTCATGGATAAGAAGAATCAATATCGTGGAAATGGCCAAACTGCCCAAAGCAATTTATAGATTCAGTGCTATTTCTATTAAGCTACCAATGACTTTCTTTGCAGAATTAGAAAAATGTAAATTTCATATGGAACTAAAAAATAGTGCATATAGCCAAGACAATCCTAAGCACAAAGAACAAAGCTGGAGGTATCACACTACCTGACCTCAAACTATACTACAAGGGTATAGTAACAAAAACAGCATGGTACTGGTACCAAAACAGACATATAGACCAATGGAACAGAACAGAGACCTCAGAAATAACACCACTTATCTACAACCATCTGATTTTTGACAAACCTGACAAAAAGAAGCAATGGGGAAAGGATTCCCTATTTAATAAATGGTGCTGGGAAAACTGGCTAGCCATATCCAGAAAACAGAACCTGGACCCCTTCCTTACAACTTATACAAAAATTAACTCAAGGTGGATTAAAGACTTACATGTAAAACCCAAAAACATAAAAACCCTAGAAGAAAACCTAGGCAATACCATTCAGGAATAGGCATGGGCAAAGACTTCAGACTAAAACACCAAAAGCAATCGCAACAAAAGCCAAAATTGACAAATGGGATCTAATCAAACTAAAGAGCTTCTGCACAGCAAAAGAAACTATCATCAGAGTGAACAGGCAACCTACAGAATGGGGGAAAGTTTTTGCAAGCTACCTATCTGACAAAGGTCTAATATCCAGAATCTCCAAGGAACTTAAACAAATTTACAAGAAAAAACCAACCCCATCAAAAAGTGGGTGAAGGATATGAGCAGACACTTCTCAAAAGGAAACATTTATGCAGTCAGCAAACAAACAAACAAACACTCATCACTGGTCATTAGAGAAATGCAAATCAAAGCCACATCTTATGCCAGTTAGAATGGCAATTATTAAAAAGTCAGGAAACAATAGATGCTGGTGAGCCTGTGGAGAAATAGGGACACTTTTACACTGTTGGTGGGAGTGTAAATTCGTTCAACCATTGTGGAAGATAGTGTGGCAGTTCCTCAAAGATCTAGAACCAGAAATACCATTTGACCAGCAATCTCATTACTGGGTATATACCCAAAGGATTATAAATCATTCTACTATAAAGACACATGCTCATGTATGTTTATTGCAGCACTATTTACATTAGCAAACACTTGGAACCAACCCAAATGCTCATTAATGATAGACTGGAAAAAGAAAATGTGGCACATATACACCATGGAATGCTATGCAGACATAAAAAATAATGAATTCATGTCTTTTGCAGGGACATGAATGAAGCTGGAAGCAATCATTCTCAGCAAACTAACATGGAAAAGAAAACCAAACACCGCATGTTCTCGCTCATAGGTGGGAGTTGAACAATGAGAACACATGGACACAGGGAGGGGAACATCACACACTGGGGCCTGTCGGGGGTTGGGGGCAAGGGGAGGGAGAGCATTAGGACAAATACCTAATGCATGCGGGGCTTAAAACCTGGATGACAGCTTGATAGGTGCAGCAAACCACCATGGCACATGTATATCTATGTAACAAACCCGCATGTTCTACACATGTACCACAGAACTTAAAGTACAATAATAAAAAAAAAAAATTGGATGCCTAAGGGAACAAGGTGTTTCACATGATTTTTGGGATTAAATAAGTTCTAGCTCAGAAAAGAAAAAGCAGAGGAGGGCATATTTTAGAAAATCTAGCTTTCAGATTTCCTTACATTTATTATCACATTCTCAGTAATTCTTTATCCATCAACTGCTATTTATAAAGCACCTACTCTGTGTCAGGGATTGGATGGAATGAACTGGGAATAGCTGTGAATAGGTGAAAGAACTTGTCCTATTACCTGTTTTTAATCATTAAGATTCTACTTTCAAATACAAGGATGCTATACTCCATTAAAAAATAATTTGTACTTAAAAAAATGGTTATAAGCAGATTCTGATTTTTGTCAACCGAAATGTCTTTTCTTTCTTTTTCTAAACCAAAACAGAATATACTAAATTGCTAAGCAGCTAAACTTTTTTAGTCATTGGTGAGAAAGCAAGCAGGTTTAGCAATTGAGAGAACAGAAGATTTTGGATATTAAAATCAGGGATCAAAACAATTCCAGTATTAACCACTGAGTGTTACTAATACAAAGACTCACAACAGCAAGAACACTACTAAAATTCAAATGATTGTATTCAGCTAAGATACAATTCTTATAGAGCTTACCTATGAATCGCTCAAACATATCTATAGACACACATCTCCTGGTTGAGAAGCATGGGTGCTCCATAGATTAAATATGATAAATGTGTACCAGTTAAGGGTCCATTAACTACTGATAGAAGAAAACTTGAGAACCTTGGTAGCCTAGCAAAAGAAAAGTTTATTTTTTCTAATGCAGAAGTTGTAAGATTCAAACTGGAGCTACAGAAGGCCATCAAGAGAGGACTCTCATGCATGATTTGCCTGATAACAGAAACTATCACAGGAAGTTTTTCTGTTGTTTTTGTTTGTTTGTTTTTTCTTTTTTCTTTTTTTTTTTTTTTTTTTTAAGATGGAGTCTCACTCTGTGCCCCAGGCTGGAGGTTTTTTTTTTTTTTTTTGGGGACAGAGTCTCGCTCTGTCTCCCAGGCTGGAGTGCAGTGGCACGATCTCGGCTCATTGCAAGCTCCGCCTCCCGGGTTCACGCCATTATCCTGCCTCAGCCTCCCAAGTAGCTGGGACTACAGGCGGCTGCCACCACGCCCGGCTAATTTTTCGTATTTTTTAGTAGAGACGGGGTTTCACCATGTTAGCCAGGATGGTCTTGATCTCCTGACCTCGTGATCCACCTGCCTCAGCCTCCCAAAGTGCTGGGATTACAGGCGTGAGCCACTACGCCTGACCTTTTTTTTTTTTTTTTTTTTTTTTTTTTTTTTTAAGACAGAGTCTGGCTCTGTTATCCAGGCTGGAAAGCAGTGGCACAATCTCAGCTTACTGCAGCCTCTGCCTCCTGGGTTCAAGCGATTCGTGTGCCTCAGCCTCCTGAGTAGCTGGGATTACAGGCGTGCACCATCACACCCTGCTAATTTTTGTATTTTCAGTAGAGGTGAGTTTTCACCATGTTGGCCCAGCTAGTCTTGAACTCCTGACCTAAAGTGATCCGCCCGCCTTGGCCTTCCAAAATGCTGGGATTACAGGCGTGAGCCACCAGGCCTGGCCACAGGAAATTTTTCTAAACCACAGCTTACTACATGAGTCACATGAGCACAGCTAGGCACATATACAAGAACATTTGCCTGGCACACTGTCTCACAAACCCAATCCAAAACTTCAAGGGCATATTCCTAATTTATTTGACTATCAGGCCATAACTAAATAAGATAACGGGTCCTACCAGCAACTTCCAACATTTGCCAATCAAAACTCGCCAGCCCTTGTAAGACTTTGCCAATGCCAATAAGCTTTCTTTCCAAACAATTTACACACCTCCTATTTCCCCAAGAAAAACTTAACCTTATCTTTTGTTCTCTGGACATACTAGAAGCCACCACCATCCATATTTATGTCCTGGATTTCAATCCTTCTTCTTATATATTATGCCTAAATAACAACTTTTTACTTGGAAATTCACCTCTCTATATTTTCTATGTTAATACTAATATAAAGGCTGGTTGAGACTTGGAATTACTGAGCCTTTGTCATTCAAAATCTTTCCTTCGAGTTTTACTTGTTACTGTTTGTGGTCTAGAAATAGTCAACTTTTCCAACTCTGCAAGGCTCTACATTTCTAGACTATAGTCGTCCATCTGTGAGGGGATTAGTTCCAGGACCCCCTAGGATACTAAAATTCTCAGTTGCTCAAGTCCCTGATATAAAATGGTATAGTATTTTCATATAACCTATGCCTATCCTCCTTTATACTTTAAATAATCTCTATATCATCCCTATATTACCTATAATACCTAATACAATGTAAATGCCATGTAAGTAGTTGTTATACTGTATCATTTTTTATTTGTATCCCTTTTTATTGTTACACTGTTATTTTTTATTTTGGAGGGTTTTAAAGAATATTTCTGATCTATCATTGGTTGAATCCTCTGACGTGGAACCCACAATTGTATTCCCTCTTATTTCTGCTTTAAAATTGGCCAATTTACCTCTTTCCTCTACTGTTATGCTAATCACAGCCTGTAATGACCAACGCTCACCACTAACATTCTTATTTTCCAACCTCTTTGCCTCAGCGGGCTAGCAGGCTGCCTTCTGGGTTATCACAGGTAGTGATTAAATGTTCTGCCCTGCACAGCACAGATCTCCAGTTTGTTGGTCTCCATCCTCATATGGCAATGTCCTCACCTCCCACTGCCTGAACTCTAAGACAAGCTTTTAGGTTTTTGTTAAAGCAGCACTCCACTTATAGGCACAAATTTCTCTATTAATTATGGAGGGATAACTGCTGCAACACATAACCCCCAAATCCTGGTTACTTAACAGAAGTCTATTTCTTGTTCACGTGAAATCCATGAAAGGTTAAGTGAGACTTATGGCTTGCTTCAAAAAGAAGTAAGGAAGATTTTGAATCCTACTCACTGTGTTGGATTTCTGAAAAGAGCCTGCTTTATCCCAAGTTCATAATTTCTTTCTTGTGATTCATATTTAATCCAATAGCTTCAGCGATCTTGGAAGCTGAATAAAATGCCAGATCTCATATAAATTACTTCTAAATACAAGCTTTTGCTATACTAGCTTCCTCTCATTCTTTATAATCATTAGGATAATGCGATTGCCCATGAATATTGGGAGGAATCGCTGATTGTGAAGCAAATAATGAACACATGTAGCAACATTAGTTCATCCATGCTGATTTGAAGCAAGACAGAAGCTCCACTCATGAGAGGTTATCATGGCCTAGTGTGGAACAGGCTGAGCTTTGGAGTCAGATAGAGCTGCATTCAAACATCTGCTGTTTACGAGCTCGTTATCCTCGTTGCATTTCTTAGCCTCCATTTATTCTTTGTCTACCTGCGGAGCAAAGGGGAAATGGAATCATACATTTCAGGTCTTTATCCTGATGTTTGAGAAAAAAAGGGTAGGCAGTGCTTTTAAGAAATCACCTTCCGAGCCAGGTGCGGTGGCTCATGCCTGTAATCCCAGCGCTTGGGGAGGCCTAGGTGGGCTGATCACCTGAGGTCGGGAGTTGGAGACCAGCCTGACTGACATGGAGAAACCCCATCTCTACTAAAAACACAAAATTAGCCGGGCGTGGTGGCGCATGCCTGTAATCCCAGCTACTCGGGAGGCTGAGGCAGGAGAATCGCTTGAACCCGGGAGGCGGAGGTTGCGGTGCTGAGATCGCGCCATTGCACTCCAGCCTGGGCAACAAGAGCGAAACTCCGTCTCGGAAAAAAAAAAAAAAAAAAAAAAAAAAAAAAGAAATCACCTTCTGGGTGCTAGGTGTAAGCTCATTGCTACTGAGATCTCATTGATTCTAGGCTGTCTCAGCAGACCAAGCCAGGATATTGATGTATGTATATACAGTCATACAGATATATGTTTGTGCATGTGTATGTGTGTACCTGCATGTATCTTGCACATAATTTCAATGTTTCCACTGACATGCGCACCTGGATTCATTATAGCAGGATTTCTGCTTCATTTTGATAGGCTTTTTAGCATGTAACACATATTCAGATAGCAAGAGTTCAATTAGCAAGGAATTAGGAGGTGTCTGGTGCATAGTATCAGATAAACATTTTTCCTCATAATTTATCATAAATACAGGTGGTATAGATTAGCTCTTTGTCCTTTGTTCTTAGGCATCATGTGTGTAAATAAAATTTGAAGGATGTGATTAACTAAGAGCTACAAAGTCTGTCACAGAATGGAATCTGTGATAACCTTCTATTATAACCTGCAACAGAAGTTATTACATACACGAAGGTAAAGAAATATAAATGGCTGGGCATGGTGGCTCACACGTGTAATCCCAGCACTTTGGGAGGCCGAGGCAGGCAGATCACAAGGTCAGGAGTTGGAGACCATCCTGCCTAACACGGTGAAACCCTGTCTCTACTAAAAAAAAAAATACAAAAAAGTTAGCCAGGCGTGGTGGTGGGTGCCTGTAGCCCCAGCTACTCGGGAGGTTGAGGCAGGAGAACGGTGTGAACCTGGGAGGCGGAGCTTGCAGTGAGCCGAGATCGCACCACTGCACTCCAGCCTGGGCAACAGAGCAAGACTCCGTCTCAAAAAAAAAAAAAAAAAAAAAAGAAATATAAATATATATTAAATATGCCTAAACCTCAGCTATTGTCCTTTTGTCTAAAAATAAGTTGAGATTTTTGTCTAGAGGGTGACATGACATCCAACTTGCTAATGCCTGTCATTTCTGGACAGAACACGAACCTATCAATGGGCAGATTTTCTCTGGGATTATTCCTAGATAGGGTATTAGAATACTTTGCTTTGATTTTTTTGAGACAGGGTCACTCTGTCACCCAGGCTGGAGTGCAGTGGCACGATCTTGGCTCACTGCAGCCTCGACCTTCTGGGCTCAAGCAATCCTCCCATGTAAGTGTGTGCCACCATACCTAGCTAAGTTTTGTTTATTTTTTGTAGAGATGGAGTTTTGCCCAGTTGCCCGGGCTGGTCTTGAACTCCTGGGCTCAAGAAGTCCACCCACCTCGACCTCCCAAAGTACTTGGATTACAGGTGGGAGCCAAACGCCTCACCTATCAAACCTTTGCTAAATTTTTCTGAAGAGAAGTTAGCCACTGTCAGGTAAAATAAAATTATATTATATTATTTGTAAGAGTAATATTTATTATTACATTTAAAAAGTTAGGGTAAAGAGAGACTTACTTTCATACTATCGCAAATAATTTCTCAAACCTATGTTATTGATAAGCCTGACAAGTAACCAGGTGACAGAATATTAATTGACTTTATTATCTATTTGTAAACTAATTTGGTGGATTTTTACTTTACAATGAGTAGACATTGAGCATACAATGAATAGCAAAATTAATCTTTAACCTAGGAGTCATAAAAAATTAGTTTGGAATGAGCTGACAGCTATCATGTAGGCCATTATTACTTCATTAGACAGAAAACTTGCTGATATTTCTATAATGCTACTGTTTTTTTTTTGTTTGTTTGTTTGTTTGTTTTGAGACAAGGTCTCACTCTGTGGTCCAGGCTGGAGTGCAGTGGCATGATCTCGGCTCACTGCAACCTCCACCTCCCTGATTCAAGCGATTCTCATGCCTCAGCCTCCCAGGTAGCTGGCACTACAGGCAAGCGCCACCATGCTTGGCTAATTTTTGTATTTTTGGTAGAGATGGGGTTTCGCCATGTTGCCCAAGCTGGTCTTGAACTCCTGGCCTCAAGTGATCTGCCCGCCTTGGCCTCCCAAAGTGCTGGGATTACAGGCATGAGCCACTGTGCTGGGCCCTGTATTACATTTTTAATGTTAATGAAGAGGACCACAAGCTTTATAGCCAGGGTTATTATTATTACTTTTCACAAATAAGTTGTGTTTCTACATTTCAACAAAATAATTTCTATCATTGAGTGTTGATATGGGAATCTCACATGCACAATTAACTGTATTTGGTAGTTGCAGTTTACAACAAGGTTGTCTTGTGGCCAGAAAGAGTTAATGGAGTTTCTGTAGTGCCCAATCTATTATAGAGAATCATTGAATTACCTCTGTGTGGCATGGAATCAGGTAATCTGAGAATATAAGTTACCTAAAGATGCTCTAACATCATTCTATAACTTAAAAAATGAAGGAATTTACATTCAGAAAGGTGATGTGACTAGCTCAAAATCAAAATTAGTGGAAGTAGATCCAGAATTCAGGCCTGAGACTCTGGTTCCGAGGGCTTCATGCCTAGTGAGCCCTCTTTAAAAATATGAGAAATGAGCAAATCAACTGTACAAAATCACATTCATCTATCAGTTACTCTGAGGTCTGTCTAGGAAATTATCAATTAAGCAAGACTTCAGCATTGGTAACACTAAGAAGCCTCAGAAAGTAATTCCCAGGAGAATTACAAAAGCATATTGACTTTCATTTGGCAACTCTAATGTTACTTTCTGTAAGATTAGTTAAATTTGTAACCATGGCAGCCCTAACTGTAATATTAAAAATATTTTTACAGGCAGCGATTTTATTTTTCAAATAGCTTCATTTTGTAACCATGTTATTAAGTCACAGTACATTTGCTCTAAATATAATCTGCTAAAACTTTGTTTTGATCCTTTCTTGTTTTCTGTTTTGTTGATTGGTTCGTTGGTTGTCAGGTTGCTTTGCTCGTGATTTATTTATTCTGTTGTTTGCGGTTTGTGGTCTAATATCAGTGCTACGTAGGATATGGTGAGTTTGCAGTTAATGCTAATTAAATGTACATATTTCGGGATTCTTTAATCACTGATCCTTCACCTTGATGTTGAACTGCTCATTATACCCTGGAGCACAGAAAAATGCTCCTTTTTAGACATCAAGTACATCCACTTAGTACTGAGAATTAGCGTGGGTTTAGTTCTCTTTAGGCATTTTATGGTCAACTGTATAAAAGCACAGTGAAAATAATCAGAATTCTGGAGGTTTTTTATAGAGCAGAAATAATGAGCCTGGTTCTCTGACTCACAGGTCACAGATGCATCCCACTCTCAGGTCAGCTTGAGAGGAGGAAAGCAGAAAAAAGCTTCCTCTTGCCTGGTGGTTGGTATCGGATGTCTTGTTTCTAAAATCCCAGAAACTACTGTGTACCTGAAACTGAGCTGCCCATAAAGCCCCTTTGCTCTGGCACTGCAGACTCATCACTGTTCAGAGTAGCTTTTGAGATCAGCACAGAGAGCTCCAGGGTTCACCTGAACCCATGCCCTACAAGAGCCACCAGGCAAAGCCAGGCTTCATTCCTTCTTCGTTTCCTATACATAGGGGGGGCTTCCCTGAGCTCGTGACACTGCCAATGTCTTTGTGATGGTCATTTCGGATAAAGGAGCAAATGAGTTTTTGTTCGTTAGTGTTTACTGATGATTATTTTTAATCTTATTTAGGACAGAATTGATTTTTGTTTTTTTGTTTTGTTTTATTGAGACAGGGTCTCTCTCTGTTACCCAGGCTGGGGTGAAGTGGCATGATCACGGCTTACTGCATCCTCAAACTCCTGGGCTCAAGTGATCCTCTTGCCTCAGCCTCCCAAAGCGCTGGCACCATAAGCATGAACCACTGTGCTCAGCCTGAGTTTTTAAATTATAGTTCGATGACTATGAGGAAGCTAAGGACCAAAAGACGGGGCCTTTCCCAAGGTCTATAACCAGCAAGTGAGTGGCAGGGTTGGCATTCATTCCTTTTTCTCCCATTTCAGCTTTTATTCCTTTTTCTCCTCAGCATGTAGTACATACTGGTTACTCAATACATTGTTACTGGATTAGTTATTTATTTATTTATTTATTTATTTTGAGACAGAGTCTCATTCTGTCGCCCAGGCTGGAGTACAGTGGCATGATCTTGGCTAGCTGCAACCTCTGCCTCCTTGGTTCAGACGATTCTTCTGCCTTAGCCTCCTGAGTAGCTGGGACTAAGGGCATGCACCACCACACAGGGCTAAGTTTTGTATTTTTAATAGAGATGAGATTTCACCATGCTGGCCAGGTTGGTCTTGAACTCCTGACCTCAAGTGATCTGCCTGCCTCGGCCTACCAAAGTGCTCAGATTACAGGCGTGAGTCACCGGCACCCTGCTTGTTACTGGATAAATTTGATTCAGTTAAATTAATCATCATATTAGTTGATTAGTCTTTTGGGTAGACAGGTATGTTTGCTTCTCCTTCTGTCAGTTTTTTGCAACAAAGTCTTTAGTATAGAAAGCAATGACATGTTCTGCAACATTTTTTTCCTGGTAATTTCTCAGCACCCAGAAGCTTTTTAGTTATAAACTTCAAAACACATTTGTTTATAGGAAAGAATAGAATGTCAGAGATATCAAGCATAGACATTGCTTTCAGCTTTCTGGTAGGCTACAGGAAGTGTTTTTATCCAGCTCAGTGAAGTAAGGGCAGATAGCACAGCACAGCAAATTCAAAGTGTTATGACACAGCAAAACCAATTTCCAACCTTAAAATATTGGAATGAGTAGAGAATGTCAATTGATGTCAGTTGCTGAATTTTGGAAAGCATGTTATTAAGGAAAAACAAGTATTGAAAGGGGGCTCTAAAATCTCTTATGACCTCATTCATCCCACCGCAAATCATCTTACATAAATAACAAATTTGAAATACAATATGGAGCTTGAAAAAGAGGTGTGATTGGGAACCAGAGATCTGGCTTCTAGCACTGGCCCCCACTAACCTGATGTTTGAACTTAGGAGAAGTACTCTGCCTCTTCCAGTCTAGGTAGTGAGAAAAATATTGAAACAAGGTTATTTGCTGGCTTTCTTATTTTACACCCCAGGATTTTCTAACCTAAGAGCACACACACTCAAAAAAGTGGAGATCATTATTCCTATCAAAAGCCAAGATTTTAAAAAGTTATGTCCCCCCCTTTTTTTTCTGTTTTGTTTTAAGGAACGGAGAGTATAATAGGCAAGAAGGAAGGGAGAAGACAGAAGGAAAATCTCCCCCATACAGAGACAGAGTGAGGGGGACTCCAAAGCCAAAAGAGGAGGTCCCCATATGTCCCCTTTTTTCCCTGGTATATGGCCATTATTGTTGTGTTTTTCTAAAAATTGAGTATTAGATTTTAAAATTATAAAGAATATGAATTAGAATTTTATATAAAATATAAATTATCTATTTTGGCAATGAGTTGGATGTGCAGAGCAATGAAGACTCCAAGGTTTCCAGCTTGTGCAACCAAGTGACAATATTTTCATTTACAAATACATGGAATCTGGGGGAGAAAGCGGTGGGGCACTGGGGGTCATGAGTTCAGTTTGGAACATTATAATTGTGAGGTGCCTCTGAGGATGTCAGAAAGATAGTTAGACATACATGTATGAGCTCAGAGGTAACTTATGGGCTTGAAATATGGTTAAAATATACTCAGCACTTACTAGGCCTTGAAGCTGGTGATGAAAACCTTGTCGGAAGTTCACAAAAGAACTTCAAATATTGTTAGGGATTGCTGTGGTTTCAGTTTGTCCCTACCAAAACTAATGTTGAATTGGACTCCCATTGTGGTGGTGGTGGGTGGTGGGGTCCAGTGGGAGGTGTTTGGGTCTTGGGAGTATTTCTCATGAATGGCTTGATGCCCTTCTCACAATAGGGAGTGAGTTCACACTTTCAAGAGACTGGATGAGCTCTTGTGGGAATGCTCCTACAAGAGTAGGTTGTTATAAAGCCAGGGCACCCCTCAGATGTTACCTCTTCACATGTATTTGCTTCCCCTTTGGCCTCCCGCCATGTATTGACCCAGCAACAATAGCTCTCAGCAGAAGCCGAGCAGATGCCAATGCCATGCTTGTTGAACTTCCCAGCCTGCAGAACCATGAGCTAAATAAATCTCATTTCTTCATAAATTATCAAGTCTCAGCCATTCTGTTAGAGCAACACAAAAGACAAAGACAGGGATTTTAAAACAACATCTACAAAAAAGGTTGTGTCAGTGGTTCCCAAACTTTCAGAAATCGCAGATGAGTAAAATTAAAACAGACAAACAATTGAGAAATTGGTTAAAAGTTGCAAACTTCTGTTAACTAAAGACATTAAAAAGGAAGAAAAATCCACTATCACCATAATGTCATAAAAAATACCCCCCAAATAGATAAAATTAAAAAATACATATCCCTACATTAAGTAATTTGTTTAAAAGGATATAATTAACTTGGTGAAAAAAGTCACATTATCCTTATTTTTATTATTTTCTGTGAATCTTATACCAATACCGTAGACTTATGGCCTCACTTAGTTGGTTGATATTTCAGTGTTATGTGAAAAGAAGGACAAAGTTTGGTGCATTCATTATCTCTCATGTAGTCTACATGAGGCTTCTGCAGCCCCCTCGCCCATCTGTCGCTGTCCCTCTCCTGCTATTTGGCTCTGTTGCCCTGGCAGTAGCCCCAGTTCAGGACACAGATGTTCCTTTCCCAGTTCTCTGCAGCCCTGCTGGAGCTGTGAGAAAGCTCAGACTTCCATCCCTACATTGCTGAGAACTGGCAGTGTTAGAATAAAGAAGAAACCCCTCCAGACTATCCGACCAAACATTTCGTCTCTGAGAAATGTTCACTCACCCTAGCGTGTGGAGCTGAAAGTCAGTCAGTCTATCCAATTGATCAAGAGATATTTCCTGGGGCCTCCTATAGGCTTGCTTCAGTGTCAGGCACTGCAGATGTAGATACACAAGACATGGTTCTCCTTCCTCCAAGAAACTCAAAGGATAGAGAGGCGTGTCTGGCCAGGGCCAACCTTTCTGTAGGTCTGATGAGCACAACTCAAAATTGCCTCCTCTGGTTGTAGGTAGAGCCTGGAGTGCCCGGTTAACGTTTCAAAGGCAAGTTCATGAACCGCCCATGAAGTTCATGCCTAGTGACGTCTTGTGCTCACCCAAGACTCCTAATTGGGGCACTCCTGTGAGCACCTGGCAAGCCAGTGGGGGTGAAGCCACTTAATTGATGGTTATGTACAACCATATCTGTTGCACAGCCTCGTTACTGGTTTGAAGGTAAACAACAATAAAAGCAATCTAAATCCTAGTTGTCATTCTTTCCTGTCTATGATGCTGAACCAGCTGTTTATTGCCTGCTGCAGTTGATTTGGAGTCAGAAGGTTGGCACAATGACTTGTGCCCTGGTGGAGAGTGGGAAGAGTGGACAGCATGTGAGCTCTCTCAGCCACTGTGAAGGCCTGCTGTGCCACGGTCATCAGTGACAACTGGGCTCTGTGCCCCAATGCACATGGATATTTTGGGAGAGATCTGAGGTGCACCTATTGCCACAACCAGGTTCCTTTCTGAGACTGGCACTAACTAGGCCAGCGCCCAACAGAACCAAAACACAGATACATTTGGAGCAAGTTTGGAAAGGGGAGAATATGGCTCATGTCCCATGGGGGACAGAAGCCTGAGCCCAGGTGCTAGTGGTAACAGTGACCCAGCCCCTGCCTGAACATTGTCACAACCATTCTCTGAAATCCCAGGGGTCCTCTCACCACCACCTCATTCCATGGGTATGTTCGAGGTAGGGACCCCCACAGTTATGACCGTCCCTCTCCAAGAACTAGCAGTACTTCTAGGCAGGCACCCAGCAGCTAATGCAGTGCTGGTGAGAATTGCCCACTAGCACTAGAGCCTAGGACATGCTCCCAGACTCATGCAAAGCCTTCCATGACAGCAGGGGTGCTTAGCATGTTAGTCACAAACTGAGCCCTGGCTTTGGAAAGAGGCCTGAGCCTATTGCTAGTGCAACAGGCACAAAGGTGGCCCTGGTGATGTAATCTAGGCTGCATCCAACTAAGCAACAGAAGGATCCGATGCTAAGGAGAGTGTGTCCCTCTTCCCTGGAAGCAGGTGTGGGAAGCTCCTTTGCAAAATGAGCCTGTGCTAAGGAGGACTGGACCTGCAGTTGTCCCCTGGAGGTGGTTGGCCAATGATAGGATAGCTGAGAGGCTTGCTCTCTGGTCCCAAAACTGAGGACGGAGGGGACAGTGGTGGTGCATGTGCCTTGCCTGGTATGAGGCACCCAACCTCTTGAGTACTCACCTAGACTAAGCCTGTGGTTCTGAGCTCTATGGCTTGCAGGGCTTCTCAACTCTGGGAGGTGCAGGGTCTGTGTCATTCCAGGTGCACCTTGCATGTAATAAATAAGGTACCACGGAGCTGCATCTGCTTACTCAATTGTACCTTTATTCTGAACATCCTATGTCTTTTGCTGGCCCTGAAACCTGGACTGAAGTTTTGAGGTCTGGTGCAGCACACAGGGGAGACAGAGGCTTAAAGCAGAAAACTATTCAGTGTGGTAAGAGCAGGGTTAAAGTTGGATGCATGGTTTTATGGAAGCACATACCGGGAATACCTAATCCAGCATGAGGTGTGGGATCAAAGGCTTCAACTCCTGTGCTCAATTATAAGGAATGAAGAGACGTTATTCACAAGAAGGTCGGTGGGGAGGGATGTGTAGAATAAAGACATTCCAGGCAGAAGGGACAGTGTGAGCAAGGGTATGGAGTTTAGTGAACTAATGACTAGGTTGTGCAATCATTAATTCCAAAATTGGTAAATACATCCCAAGATTCTGATGTAGAGTTTCTCTTTTTCCTTCCTTCCTTCCTTCCTTCCTTCCTTCCTTCCTTCCTTCCTTCCTTCCTTCCTTCGTTCCTCTCTCTGTCTTTCTTTCTTCTCTCTCTCTCTCTTTCTTTCTTTGCTTTCTTTCTTTCCTTTCTTTTTTTCTTTCTTGGTCTTGCTCTGTCGCCCAGACTGGAGTGCGGTGGCATGATCTCGGCTCACTGCAGCCTCTGCCTCCCGGGTAGAGTTTCTAAAGAGAATTGTCTATTAATGCATTCAGTCATTCAACAAATATCTGCTGAATGCCTACCCTGTACAAGGCAAAAAGTGTTCAAAGATCAATAAAATTTGTTTTCTGTCCCCAAATAACTCACAGCTTAGAAATTATTATTTATAGAGACACAGGTGATAGCGTAGATGTTAGAACAAAATGTTATAAGAACATGAAGAATGGAAGGATTACTTGTAATTAAGCAGCTCAAGAAGGCTTCACAGGGGAAGAGATTTTGAAATTATTAAATAGAACAGAAAAGGGCCATTTAT